>NC_000012.12:16459650-17084650 GCF_000001405.40 Homo sapiens | reverse complement strand
AGAGAGACACATGAGAATGGATTTATTAGGGGAATTGTCTCACTCAATTATGAAGTCTGAGTAGTCCCATGATAGCCCATCTGCAAGGTGGAGGATCAGGGAAGATAGTAGCTTGGCTCAGTCCAAGTCTAATGCCTTAGAACCAAAGAAGCTGATGGTGCAACTCTCAGGCTGAGGTTGGAGGCTTGAGAGTCCAGGGAGCCACTGGTGCAAGTTGTCCTAGAGTCCACAGGTCAGAGAACCTAGAATTCTTTCATACAAGGATGAAAGAAGGAGGGTATCCTGGCTCCAGAAAAAAGAAAAAGAACAAGAATTCACCTTTCTCTTTTTTCTTCCATTCAGGCTACCAGCGGGATGTTACACTCGGTCTACTGACTCACATGCATCTTCTCCAAGAACACCCTCACAGACACACCTGGAGAAGCTCAAGCATTCTAATCAAAATGAAAACCACCTGGAATTCTCTTTCAGCAGAAGAGGAATGGGTTCCATTCCTATTGAAGCATTGAGAATAAATAACCCTTTACCAGCTACCTGAGTATTCCTTAATTCAGTCAAGTTTCATCCAAAATCAACTGTTGCAACTTATTCTGAAATGTTCAACTAGCTTTACATTCTTTAGATTAGGTCCTGCTTGTTCATGATATATTGTACTTTTGTATAGAGCTAGATTTTATTTAAAATACTGTGAAGTTTGTTTGAGGCTGAGGTGGGAGAATCAATGAGCCCAGGAGGTTGAGGGTGTAGTGAGCCGTGATTGTGCCACTGTGCTATCCCCTGGTAACAGAGTGAGACCCTGTCTCAAATACATAAATAAACAAACAAACAAATAAATAAATAAATAAATAAAATTTCTACATTGTAGCAAAAAAACAAATAGAAATTGAAATCCAAAATTGTATATACAATTTAAATTTGAATTAAAAAGCACAAAGTGCTTACAAATTTTAATAATTTTTGTGTAAGACTAGCACACTAAAAATTATGAAATAATACTGAAAGGGTGATATAAATAAATGCAGAGATTTATGGTGTTTATGGATTGAAAGACTCAATATCATTAAGTTGTTCATTCTCAAGTCAATCTGTAGATTCAAGGTAAGCTTAATTAAAATCTCAAGAAAATTTTTGTTGTTCTTGTCTTGTTACAGTTCTTGTTGCTGAAAATGAGAAAAGACAAAAGCTTGGCAGAAGTTATTGATTATATTTAAATCTATGGTTAAATTTACATAAGAAAAGATTAAATGGTGGCATCATCAAGATAGCAGAGTAGGTGATACCAGGCTTTGTCTTCACCACAAAAAAAGAGAGACAGCTGTTCAAAAACCAAAATATCCCCAAGAAAGCTCTAGGGCCTGTAGGATACAGTAAATTCCTCTTCAAAGATTTTAGCCTGTTAACTTCCTTTAACATTCAAGAGGGGTAAAATCGTTAAGTACAATGAGTTCTGAATTCCTCTTCAGAAAACTAATGTGTCAGTATGTTTTGCTTCCCTGTTCTTTGCTCTCCATTTTAAAGTTTAACTTCCTCGTTCTTAGGCCTCCTTGCCCTTACTTTCAGTAAACAACACCCTGCTAGCCTCTATCACCTGCGCTGTCCTTAGTCATCCTTAGTCACCTGCTCTGTAACCGTCCTTCCCACTGAAACTACTCATCCCACCACTCTGGCTCGTACCCCTGCCGTCTTTGAAACAGCCAATCTGAATTAGCTTAGACTGTGCAGTCCAACCCTAGCCAATAGGGGAAAGAAACAGCAGTAGGGATTAACTGCTTTAGGGATAAGAATCCCTTCCCCTCCCTTGTCCAGTGTGCTCTCCCCATTGCTCCATCTGCGAGACACACCCTTCTATAGAAGTAAATTTGCCGCCGGGCATGGTGGCTCACGCCTGTAATCCCAGAACTTTGGGAGGCGGAGGCGGCCGGATCACATGAGATCAGGAGTTGAGACCAGCCTGACCAACATGGAGAAACCCCGTCTCTACTAAAAATACAAAATTAGCCTGGCGTGGTGGTGCATGCCTGTAATCCCAGCTATTCGAGAGGCTGAGGCAGGAGAATCACTTGAACCCAGGAGGCGGAGGTTGCGGTGAGCTGAGATCGTGCCACTGCACTCCAGCCTGGGCAACAAGCGTGAAACTCCATCTCAAAAAAAAAAAAAAAAAAAAAAAATGTAAATTTGCCTTGTTGAGAAAGCGTTTTGCCGGAGTGCTGATTCTTCTTTGTGGCACTGAAAATGTTTCCACCAGGTCCATTTAAGAAGCTACAGCAATACAGAAAAGTAAAAACAAACAAACAAACTATCCAAAATGAAAAGGATCACTGGTGAGATCGCATATCTGAGATGCCAGTATATGTTTAAGAACAAAGAAGAGAAATAGGGACCGCTATAGTTATTGGCTACAAGGCAGAAACCACAGTGGTCCCCAGTGTCTTGCTCGGCAGAAAAGACTGGCATATTTTGCCACTTAGGTAATCAACATCCATTCCCACTGGGAAACTCCAGAGAGAAAGATGTGACTGTACATCTCAGCTACAAGAAGCAGCCCTTGCTGAACTACTTCAGAAAAGATGCCAGATCTGCGACTGCACTGGGCATACCCACATCTCAAACACCAGAGCCATCAGCATAGCGAGTTAGTTTGCACTCCAAGCCCCATAGCCAAACTCTCACTACATGTTCCTACACTCTGTGAACCAGCTCAGCCACCATATAGAGTTAAGTTTTGCCCTAACCCCAGAGTCATTGTATCTCTGCACATATCTGTTCTCCTACTCTCAGTTCCTGGCTGCTTCACAAGCATCCACATGTTACATACTGTTACAAATGCAGTAGTGGGGATGCCTGTGCCACCAGTACTATGCCATTAGTTGCTGCTACATAGGTGCTGAAACAGCCTTTGCAAAATTATAATCAGCCAGAAGGTAATGACAATGGGGAAGATCTGATCTAGCCCAACTGCCCACATGGCTTTAGCCCCCAAGCTGCTTTTGATTATTAATGGGCTAGCTTTGGGAGATATTTATAGTTTAAATGATAATAGCCTTTCCCCAAAACTCAATCAACTTTGTAGAGCTGATGAGAGGTTGCTAACGGGCTAGAACAAGCAGAGGAGCCCTAACCCTGTTAAGGTGCAGACATAAACCATTGTCAGCCATATACAACTTCCTTAATTGCTCCTGCAAATAACATCACTGTTGTAGAACCTAAGATTGGCCTTTTGAGATGTATTTTCTTTTCTTTTTCTTTTTTCTTTTTGTATGTTTGACACCCACGGCTCCACCTGGACCTGACGACTCCACCTGGACCTGCCAACCCTGTTCCTGTGGCCCCAGCCAGAAGTGATTCAGCCCACAGGACGACAGCTTTGACCCCCTATGATTTCATCTCTGCCCCAACCAATCAGCAGCAAGCACCTGTTACCCGGCCACCATCACCCTTCCCCAAAACTGCCTTTGAAAAACCCCAAACCTACAAGCTTTAGGAAGACTGATATTAGTAATAATAAAACTCCCGTTAGCCACACAGCCGGCTCTGCATGAATTACTCTTTCTCTATTGCAATTTCTCTGTCTTGATAAATTGGCTCTGTCTAGGCAGTGGGTAAGGTAAACCTGTTGGGCAGTTACAGTGTCACTTATCAGACACTAAAGCTACTGCCCCTGTGAACAGGCAGACAGGTCAAATCCAATGCCAAGAGAGATCCCCTGGGTTATAACTTTCTTGATGGGAGAAACACAGTTGGGAGGACCTTAGCAGTCATAGTCACCAAAGATCCTAACAACCCTCATCACCGTTGCAGACATCCACACTATTGTCTTCTGAGGATACCTGCAATTCTCAGCAACACTGACCTCATTTGACAGAACTGCACAGAGACTATATAGCTGCACCATCCCTGGTGCAGAATTGCTGCATACCACAGAGCAAGGGCTCTCCTACTTTCCTGCAGGAAAAGAGATATTTCTACAGCAAAACTAGCTTGTAAAGCCTAGAGGAGAAGACTCCTCCATCAAATGCACAGGCATCAACATAAGGCAATAAGAAACATGAAAAAACAAGTAAACATAGCCTGGATAAAATAGGGAGACGCTGTCTCTACAAAAAATTTAAAAACTGGCCAGGTATTATAGCAAGTGCCTGTGGTCCCAGCTACGTGGGAGGCTGAGATGGGAGGATAGCTTGGGCCCAGAAGGTAAAGGCTACAGTGAGCCATGATAATTTCACTGCACTCCAACCTGGGCAACAGAGCAAGAGCCTGTCAAAAAAAATAAATAAAATTTAAAAAACTACTAAAACACAATAATTTCAAAGTAGCTAATGTCAAAGCAGTTGAGATAAACAAATTGCCTGACAAGGAATTTGAAGCAATTCTTTCAAGGAAGCTCAGTCTCCTTCAAGCAAATATGGAAAGAAAATTCTATGAAATTCGGAAAACAGTAACTGACCAAAATGAAAAATGTAACAGAGAAATGAAAAAAAAAAATAGAAATTCTGGAGGTAAAAATATAATACATAAAATACAAAATCAAATAGAAAATATCAAAAGCAAAATTAATCAAGCAGAAGAATCTGTGGAGTAAAAGGTCATTTGAAACTATACAGTTAGTAGAAGAAAAAAAGAAGAAAATGAAAATGAATGAAGAAAAGTGATGGGATTAATGGGACAGCATCAAAAGCATAAACATTCAAATGACAGTTCAGGTAAGAGAAGAGAAAGACAAAGGGCAGGAAGTTTAGTTAAAGAGATAATAGCAGAAAACTTCCCAAATTTGGAGGAAAATGTGGCATATATACACAATGGAACACTGTTTAGTGTAACAGAAAAATAAAGAAGGCGATACTGTCATTTGTGACAATATAGATAAACCTGGAGGGCATTGTGTTAAGTGAAATAAGTAAGCTAGGCACAGAAAGACAAATAGAGTCATGCACCACCTAATGGTGTTTCAGTCAATGACAACCAAATATACCATGGTGGTCCCATAAGATTATAATATGTTATTTTTACAGTAGCTTTTTTATATGTAGATATGTTTAGACACAGGAAAATTCACCATTGTGTTACAGTTGCCTACAGTATTCTGTAGAGTAACATGTGTACAGGCTTGTAGCCTAAGAACAATAGGCTATACCATATAGCTTACTCGGCAGTAGGCTATACAATTTAAGCTTGTGGAAGTACACTCCATAGTGTTTGCACAATGATGAAATTTCCTAACAACACATTTCTCAGAACATATGCCCATCGTTAAGCAACGCATGACTGTACCACATGATCTCTCATATATGGAATCTTAAAAAGTGCAACTTATTGAAACAGAAAATAAAATGGTAATTACCAGAGTCTTGGGGTGAGGGGATTGATAAGATGTTAGTTAGAGAACACAAAATGTGAATTAGGAGAAATAAGTTCAAGACATCTATTGTACAACATGGTGCTTACAGCTAATACATTGCATACTTGAAAATTGCTAGGACAGTAGATTTTACGTTTTCTCATCATACACACATACATATATGTTTGTGAAGTAATGCATGTTAAATAGCTCTATTTAGCCATTCCATAATGTATACAAATATCAAAACATTATGTTTTGTATCATAAATATATACAATTTTTACTTGTCAATTTGAAAATTTAAAAATAAAGACTAAAACCCTGAGAGAAATTATGTGGTGTAATCAGTAAAAATTGAGTTGTAAAAGAAATTATGTAAAAATATATTAACTTCATTACTCTTTACTAGTAAGATAATGATACTATTTAAAAAATAGAACATTAAGTATATAAAATCACCTATATGTACACATGTATTTACTGAAACAATACATGCTGCACAAATTATCACAAAAACAAAAAAAAGGAAATACAATATAAGAAAAAAATAACATAACAGAGAATATAACAAGATATGACTCAGAATTCAAACCCAGTTGTCAAATAAAAGGAAATATTTTTAATTGGGTATTATCTAAATTAAGTTGTATCCATATAGTAAAAAATATATAGAATATATGTACCTACTAAGAAGAATGAGGCAGCTCTATAAATACTGATGACAATGGTTTCCAAGTAAAAAATCATCAGGAATGGTGAGTACTTTCACATTTTTAAAAATCATACATACACACACAGAAACACACAGACACACATAGTTATCTCTATAAAGATATAGAGAAAATAATTAAATATTGATTGCCTTTGAAAATAAGATTTGAAAAAGAGTTGAGAGAGTTACTTTCACAGGGTAAAATAAACAGGGTAAATTTACTTGTATATATTAAATCTTGTGCACGCACATATTTTATCCATTCAAATAGAAACAACATTGTTCTAAGAAGTATGCCTTTTTTTTCCATCGCAGCACCCTGTTCACTTCTTCAAGAGTACTTCAAAAAAATTTGCAATTAAAAGAATGCATTTGTGTTTATGTTCATTGTTTATCTAACTTGTGAGGCTTTAAGATTTGTGTGGGCTAGGACAAAGTATGTTCCCCACTGCACAGAACCTGGTCTGCAAATAAACCCTAAATCTGCATACTTCAAAAGAATGAATGAACATAACCAAGTGAATGAAAGTAGGTGACTGAATCCACCAAGAGATGAAAACAATCAAATGAAAAATTATTTATACTGGTAATGAAATACAAGTTAAAACTAAAATGTTATAATTTGCTTATCTAATTTGCAAACTCTTTGTAATTATTAACATCCAACACTTTTGAAAGTATGCAAACAGGCACTTGCAAACATTGCTGGGTTGGAAAGAGTGCGAAATATTCAGAGAAAAATTCAGAAAATGGAAAAATTGAACTTAACATATAGTTTCACAATATAAAGAGTTGGCTAGAAAAAATGAGGTATAATCCTATGACGCAATACTACGCTGCAAAGAAAACCTACTTTACAATAATAATATTTTAAAAGTTCACACATTAATAACCAAATTGTTTCTATTCCTGAGCATAATTTTTAAAAGAAAAAAATGTGCACACAGACACATATACATTGCAAAAATATTGCAAGTACATAAGGCAAGAATTTCACAGTGGCTATATATTAATGTCAGGGCTATTTGTACATTTAGATATTTTGCAGATTTTCTATAGTGAACACATATGACTTTTTAAATTACAGCATTTGCAACAAAAATATGTCACGGGTAGACTAACATCTAAATGGGTAAAATGCTTGATTCCTAACTGGCAAAACAAAAAAACCCAAAAGTTAATGAAATATAATTTCTATTATGAGACAGACCTAGTCCTATAAAATAATGTTTTAAAGCATTTCTTTTCTATTTTGGGTGAGCAAAAAAAAAAAAAAAAAAAGAACATTTCAGACTTAAAATGTGTTGGCATCTTGGTTTAATCTAAAGATCATGATTTTGACTCATATCGTCCTTAATTCAAATAAGGCTCCACTTTCCACCAGAGCCCAGTCTGGCCTCTCCCTATGTACCAGGTTGTTTTTATGCAGATGAACAGTAATGTTACATAGCTATCTGCAAGGATAAATTCCCTTTAACTTCTCCAAGTTTCAGTTTCTATATCTGAAGTAGTGATATTGGTGCCAACCCCAAAAGAATTTAACAAAAATAATGCTCACAGAAATGCCTAGAACACATTCATCTTAGTGAATGTATATATACCATACATGTACAAATTGTAATTAACATAAACTGTCTATATGTAAATATAGACACAGATTGCATGCCCATAAAAATGGAGACTTATAATTGCACACTAACAAATGGAAGTGCATTTTATAAAGAGAGGATTAGATATGCTTGCAAGTGGAACATAAAAGGCCAGTATATTTTCTATTTTTCACTGACAATTTTAAGAGTAAACAGAAGGGGTTTACCAATTTTGATTTATTAATATCATGCAACTTATTTTTGGTTCAAAACTAGGTTTATTCATTTAGGATGGGCAGAAATATGCAAGAAAGAAAGAAAGAAAGCCAAGATTTAAGGAAAGACTCTGAAATAAAATATGCACACACAGACTTGAAACAATCTGGTCCTAGGGTAACAAAGTAACAGGTTTTTCTCCACACATTTCCCCCACCCCCAGACAGGCACTGAATCCCAGTATGCAAACAAAAGGGACATATTGTAGAGGTGATTCATACAGCTGGGAAGACAAAAGGCTGTACCAGCCAAAGCCAACATTTAACAGCGGCCTATAATGGCAAACTTGTTTCTCTCTTTTTGAGGAAAAGTGGCATGTTTGAATAAGTGGCATATTCTTTAAAGTTTCCATTTTTAAACATTAACTAATATACCTAAAATAACTACCAACTTTCCCTTTTTTTTTACAGAAACCCAGTTTTTCATAAATATCTGTCTGTGCTTTCATCTACATATGTGCTGCTATCTTTCCATAAACTCAATCACAGTGTAATTTAGTCTGTATGGGTAAATGTAGAAAGGCTCTCAGATGGCTTAGAAGAAATAGAACAAAATTAGTTTGGATTTTTTTCCAAGTGGATTGTCACAATCTGTGCATGTTATTTCCCTTATCGTTACATTTATGCAACATTCAGATTCCCTTCCCTCCTTCATCTATCTCCTATTTAAGATAAACAGGGGAAAAATTAAGTGGGTATAATCACCTCTAGATTCTTCATAAACATTATACAATAGCTAAGAAACTGTAATGTTTGAATGGCTGTTATTGGTTTAAATTTGGCATGTGACATTGAAGCAATGTATCCTCTACTGTGCCCAGGAAAATCTTAAAAATCTCAATCAGAGTTCCAGGCACAGATAGGCAGAGGAGATTTTTTTTTCTTTTTTTTTTTTTTCTTTTTTTTTTCTTTTTTTTTTTTTTGCTATGCTATGTTTTAACATTCCAGAATCTGGTCTCTGTCAAGACCATCCTTCAAAGGAGCCTCCATTTTAACACAGCTGCCGCTAGATTTCAAATACAGGAATTAAAGCAGCTTGTTTATAGAAATGTGCTTAGTCTCATTTCTAAGGAAATTTATATGTGACATGCTACATATGTATTTTATTAAACCATAATTATTTGCTACTAACAAACATAACACAATTAAATGCATGTTAATCTCAAAGTCACAATAGAAATTATTTCTTCCAGGCAGTTCCAAGGTGGCCTCCAAAAGTGGAGGGTCTTTGAACTTCCTTCCATTGAACATCACTCTAATAAAAGGATGGCACCTAGGATTTAAACATCATTTTCCCAACTAATGGCAATATTGTTGCAAGTACCTGAAGTAATTAGATTCAAAAGTCATTTCTAATTCTTCTGCATTTAATCGATTTCTCCCTATGTGTGCCTCCTAAACCTTCTAAACCTCCTAAACCATAAGAAGAATTTACATTTTTATAGTGAATATTTTCCAAAATGAATATCAATTACCCATTTGCACTTTATTCTCTCTATTACTAGCATTCCCTTTGGAGCAGAGGTCTTGCCTCCTTGCCTTCTATACCCATGTTTGAAACACAGCACCAGCCAGGTGTGGTGTGCACCTTCTCAGGAGGCTGTGGCAGGAAGATTACTTGAGCCCAGGACTTTGAGACTGAAGTGAGCTATGATTGCACCACACTGCACTCCAGCCTGGGCAACAGAGCAAGACCTTGTCTCAAAACCAGCAAAACATTGCTAGAAGAGTAGTCTTTGAATTCAATAAATTATCTATTTTATGGTAATATAGTTTAGAGCCTACAACTACATCAGATATTCAGAAAATCTTTCTCACCATACTAACTTTTTTTAAAAAATTTTCATTGTCATATAATAGTTGTACATATCTTGGTGGCATATGTAATATTTTGATACATGTATACACTGTGTAATGATCAAATCAGAGTAATTGGGATATTCATAACCTCAAATATTTGTCTTTTTTGTTGTTAGGAACATTGTAATTCTTCTCTTCTAGCTATTTTGAAACATACAGAAATTGTTGTTAGCTATAATTTTCCTAGTGAACTATCAAATACTAGAACTTGTCCTTCTATCTAACTGTATGTTTGTACTGACTATAATTTCATCAGGGACCTCCATTTCTGATACGAAGTGGATGAATAACACCACCATTTTAGATTCAATATAACCTAGTCTCTTCCAGGTTAATGTAGTTTCGTTGGAGAAAATACTCAGCTTTTCAGAATTGCTCTACATCCTCCCTTTGTCATCTTTCAGCCAGTGGAACCTGAGTTTAGAAGAGGCTTGCATATGGCTTAGCATTGGAAGAGACAGGTGAGAAGAAACAGGGCAAACAGGCAGTAATGCTCCAGTGAGTTCATCCAGCATCCAGATCCCTTAGAGTGTTTTTCTATTCGGCATTGTCAAAGCTAACTCACCAGCATCCCATCCTTATTCCAGCCTGTAAGAAAGGAAAATGAGAAGTAGTAGTGAAGAGCATGAAATTTCCTACTTGGTGATATGACCTGGAAGTTGTGTACATTATTCCTGTTTAAATCCAATTGACTGGAACTTACTGGATTCAGTAAGTTTCATAACACATTCTGATAGCAGAGATATTTACATGAATAGCTAACAACTATGTAACAAAAAAAAGAGTTTTCATAGAATGGGTGAAAATAACATCTAACAAAAGCTGTTCAAGCAGGAAGACTCAATTCATCTTGAGGAATTAGGTAAAGCATTTTAGAGCATGTCTCATAAAATGAACTAAATGGGTTATATTCAATTGATTTATAGAACATATTTAGTGAATCTCAGCAATGTAAGTAATGAGAAGCTAGGTAATGAGAAGCTAAACAATTACTACACCTTTACTAATTACTAATTTTACTATACTTTTCTTGCATGACCGAAATCATATAAAATGGTGAAACCCAGGGTATTTGAGACACATTTTTTAAAGTTCAAAGTTCTATGATATATTAAAATAGAAATGCTACTTATCATATGCTACACTTTCAAATCAACTGGGTAATACTGTGCAAAATAGCAAACAAATATTGAGAAAAAGTTTTGTATGACTTGAATCAGTTATCTTTGGTTATAGACAACTTTTGGTTGAAAACAACTAACACAGACTTTAGATGTGGTGCAGGAGTTTACAAAAAATTACCTAAGACTCTGAGCTCATTGATCTCCCAACTCTGTCTGTTTTTGTTGATTTTTAGTCTTTTTATTCTCGCCCCATCTACTCATCATGGGTCTTTTAGTTATTTATTTTTAACAGTAAAGCAAAAGCATACACAAAAGCTCCTTAGAAGACCTAAGTTTCTGCTTTCTTGATGAAAACTACAAGAAAACTTAGGAAAGTAAGTATCCTGAAAAAGAGATATTCCTATAGCTAACGTAAATCAATGACTAGGCTGACCCTCTGGAGTGGGGCATATTGCCATTCTAATTAAGTCAAGGTTTACATATTAAGTAAGTAGAGGGAGAATGTCTTTGGGGTAAGCAGATAATGAATTCTTTCATAGCTATGTAACCTCTGAAATCATGGCCTTCATGTGCCTTGATAATTCTCGGACAACTTTAAGGTTATTTCCAATCTCCACTGCCTCCTTAGGTAACTCACTTCATCAGTGATGCCATCTCTCTCCTTAATAAATAGTATTCCCTTTCTACTGCCTCTTTGTTCATGGAATTACTAGTCTCTCCCATTATAAAGATAAATAAATCTCTTCTCATCCCAATCACTGATTCTAACCACCTTGCAATTTTTCTCCTTTCCTCAATGGCCAAGTATTTCTAAAATGTAATTCTTACTCATTGCATCTGCTCATTTACTGCCCTTTTACTTTCTAACCCTAATTAGTATGATCTTTCCTCCCACAAAAACAGCAAACCTGTTATGGGTAGAGTCAACAGTGGCCAGTGATTTTAATATTTCAAGTGAAATACACAATTTTCTGATCTTGTAAAACCTGAGTACTGTGTGGCATTTAACTCTGTTTACTACCTTCCTTTGGCACCTGATAATATGTTGTTTACTGGATTTTCTCATACATTTTTGGCCACATCTTGGTCATTTTAATAATTTATGTATTCTCTTTGTATATATCCTCCACTGATATGGGATACTAATATGATAAAAATACTCTACATTAAGAAATATCTGTTGTTATAAATAGAATACAATTGGTTTTGTTAGACCATTAAATTTCTCTATCACTTTTAAGTGAACATGATATTCACCCAGAAATGATTTTCAGTAATATTGAAGACCAAGATGATAAACAGATACCCGGTTTCATCACATAGACAAATACTGTAAAAGTATAATTTAGAAAGTTGTTAAATATGCAGTCAAGCATAAAGAAAAAAGAAAGGGGATCGTCAGGTGCTAGTAACAAATAGAAAACTCAAAACCAGATGAAGCAATCTCAAAGTAATTCAATTGTGACTCTTGAGTGCTTCAATAATCCTTGAGGGTTAAAATCTAACACCATTATATGGAAAGAAAATGTGGCCTCTCATCTCTAAAAGGTTGAAAGCTTAAACAGTCATCTGAGTATGGCTGAGATCCTTCAAATGTTGCCCTAGGCATTATTAAAAATAAAAAAAAAAAAACTTAGGCAAAAAACCCTAACTACTGACCTTGAAAAGTGTTTTTAAATACTGGCTACATATCAAGGAAAAAAAGAAAAGAAGACCACCATAAGAGATAGGATATCAAGGCCTATTGCATGATCGAGAATGGAGTCTACATATATATTGCCTACGTGATAGTAGAGACACATTCTAGGAAATTAACTTAATGCTACTTGAGGATTATTGAAAACCCTAAATTCCTTATTGAAGCACACATTTTCCCGTAGCAGTTTGTATTGAACTTCCACAGACCTCTGCCAAGCTCACAGGAAAAAATTACAAACCTCGAAAGAAATAAGCCCTCTAAAATCAATACATTGAATATGATAAAAGAAATTTATTTATCCAGCTCTTCATCCATCTGATAGATGTTTATCAGATGACCACTATCAACTAGAGCGTTTTGAAGGCATAGCATATACAGAGGTAAATAGAGAGTGATGAGATGAAGATATAAAAGAAGGGAAAGAAACTACAGCAAGCCAGGATAAGAGGAGGAGGAAGAGGAGTAATAGGAGGAGGAGAAGGGTAAGAATCACATCAGAGAAAAGTTGTAATAAGAATTTACTCTCTGAAATTAAAACTTAATGGACATGTGTTCACTTCAGGGGTATACATAGTAAAATTGGAACAATACAAAGAAGATTAGTTCGGCTCCTCCTCAAGGATGGCATGCAATTATGTGATATTGCTATACAATTTTTAACATCAATTTTTAAGTCTGATAAAGATAGCACTAAAAAGAAGTCTACAGAATAATATCACCAATGAACATTGGTGAATAATCCTCATACAATATCATCAAATATAATTGCACGGGCAAACAAAAATATTTTAATATAAACAATTGAAGAATGCTAGGATGGTACAGTATTAGATATTTTATTAAAATATTTTACTATGTTAATATATCTAAGGAGAAAACTCATAAGAATATCTCCAGATAGGATGAAAGGTGCTAGACAAAATTCAAAGCCCATATCTGCTAAAAATCACTTAGTAAAATAGAAATAGGTGAATGCAATGAAATACTGTGCCACTTATACATACCAGAATGGTCAAAATAAAATAAAATGCCAAGTTTTGTTAAAGATGTGGAGCAATAAGAACTTTCCTATACTGTTGGAAAATGATATGTTGGACAGTGCTAAAGCTGAAGATTTGCATAACCTATGGAACCACCAATTCCACTCTTAGGAATGTAATTGACGAAGATGAACTTAACATTTCCCTCAGCTTGACTAAACTTTAGATAGAGTTCTTCCTTACTCTAGAGGGCTGACCTTCCTTAGAGCATTTACTTTGGAAAACTTGTAATTATAAATTCTTTCTCTGCCTTTGTCAAATGAATAGTTTGCAAATATTTTCTCCCATTCAACAGATTGTATCTTCACTTTGCTGATTGCTTCCTTTGCTGTTCAGAAGCTTATTCGTCTGATATAATTCCATTTTATCTGTGCATTTGAGGTCTTAGCCATAAAATTTTTGCATAGGCCAGTGTCCTTAAGTATTTTTCCTGTTTTCGTCTAGTACTTTTATAATTTTAGGTCTTATTTTAAGTCACTAATTCATCTTAAGTTGAATTTTTTATATGATTTGACATAGGAGTTCAGTTTTATTCTTCTGCACATGGACATCTAGTTTCCCCAGCACCATTTATTGAAGTATGTCCTTTACCTAATGTATATTCTTAGTGTCTTTCTCAAAAAAATCATCAATTGGCTATAAATACGTAGATTTGTTTCTGGATTATCTGCTCTGCTCCATTGGTCTATGTGTCTCTTTTTATGCCAATTCCATGCTATTTTTGGTTATTATAGCCTAGTAATATATTTTGAGGTCATGTAGTGTGATGCCACCAGCTTGCTGTTTTTGGGATTGCTTTGGGTATTCAGGCTCTGTTTGGCTCCCATACAAATTTTAGAATTGCTTTTTCTATTTCTGTGAATAATGACATTGGGATTTTGGTAAGAAATGCATTGAATCTATAGATTTTTGGGGGAAGTATGGTCATTTTAACAATATTGATTCTTCCAATCCATGAGCATTTGTTTGGGTCCTCTTAAATTTCTTTCATTATTATTTTGTAGGGGATTTTTTTAATGTAAATTTTCTTTTAAAAAAAAACCTCTTGCCAGTTATATACCTAGGACTGTCTTTCTCCAGGACCTGGAAGCCATCCCTTTGAAATGTAATCCATATTTAGTCAACTGGGAGACCTATCTCTCAGTATCTATTGGAGGGTAGAAGCCTAACATCAGTGGGTCCCCACTTCCATGCTACACAGCTATCTCCTATGGTAAAGGCAGATAATTAGTTATGGCCAGTTGGCAAACACACAATCCTCCCATACCTGCTCTTAATAATTCTCCTATCCATACACTGGAATTGAGTTTAGACTGTGCTCTGCTCTCTCTATCCTATTGTAATAGCCTTGAATAAAGTCATCCTTACCTGTTTAACTTTATCTGGTGCACGTTTTGACTTGACATTCCCAACAGAAATGCAAACATGTATACTCCAAAAAGACATGCACTAGAATGTTCATAGCAGTACTCTTCAAAATAACGCCAAACTTGAAACTAGCCAACTGTCAATCAACAGTTGAATGAATACATAATTCATGGTATATTCACAAAATAATACTATTCAACAATAAAAAAGTCTACAACTGCAGGAAAACATAACATCAAGCAAAAAAGGCAAAATAAGCCAGTCACAAATGCCTTCTATTTTATTTAATTCATATAAATTACAAAAACAAGTAGAGCTTATTTATCCTCTTAGAAATCAGGCTCATAACTACCCTTGGTGGAGACAGTAACAGAGTTGATCAAGTGCTGGTCATATTCTGTTACTTGTTCAAGGTGCTAGTTACACGGGTGTATTCAGAATGTGAAAATTCAGCAAACTGTCTAGTTCTGAAAGATGCACTTTTCTTTATGGATATTACTCTTAGCATTTTTAAAAGTCACCCAGGGGTCCTGTTAAGCTTACAAATTTCAGTACTACATTTCTAGACCTTCTGATTTAGAAAATCTAGGATGGGACTAGGATAGGAGCATTTTAACAAGCAGGTGGTCTTGGCACACTTTGAAAAATACTGTGTTTAAGGGCCGTAAGGTAATGAAACTCTAATTACTTTTTGTCAAAGAACCAATGAGAAAAAAAAGACATAGTAAAATTTAAATGTGACAAAGAGAAAAAATTATGGAATAGAACTCTACCAACTATAGCATTTTGGATATATTTTTGTAAATAAAGAGGTGCAGTTTAGTAAACAAAGTAAAAAGCTGTTTCTGCTCCACTCTAATACAAAAAGTATATCATTTTTGCAAGATTTTCTTTATCATTTATGGTTTAGGAGAGGGGGCATTGCTATGGCAATGCAACAACAAACATGGTAACCTACATTTAGCACCTGAGTGGAGATTGGGCTGAATATGACATAAATCTGTCATCCCTTCATCTGCAGGATTGGCTTGGCCATTCTCTCAACCCTTCTATCCTGTACTCACTCCCGCTAATGTTGCAGTGATTAGGAATTTGGCCAAGCGTGCTGTGAATTGTGTGTCACAACCTCTTCTGAAGGTAGCTATACTAAGCTGCAACTTCTTAGGGCTTATCATCCCATTAATTCAAGTCTGAGAGAAGAGATTCCAGATAACAATAGGAACAAGGTAAATACAGCTTTACCTCTTCTAGGTTTAGGTGGATACATTATCTGAGCCACATTGGGCTACTCCAGCAAAGAGATCACTAACCAAGATTTTGTTTTATTTACTTGACTCACCAATGATAAGTAAATTATTGAAACAGTTTTATAAATACTCTAAAAAATAACTGATACATAAATTATACATGTCTGCAGAATATAAAACAACAAAAAAATATAATTTGTGACTGCAGGTATGAATACAATCTCTACATACTCACTTGGGTGTAGATTCATAAAGCTGTTATTTTTCCAACTCCTTTCCTGACTTCTTTCCTCCCACATTCTCCCTTACACAATATCTTGTATTTTCTCTACAATAAAGGTTGAATTCACTGATTTGCTAGTCTACAGTTTTTCTGGTTTGTCTTTTGACCCATTTTAAAACTAATGGATTTGTGTTTGCCACTTTTAAATCCTCAGATATCTTCCCTGAATCATGTGATTTCCCCCCCCCTTTTGCTGTCACTTTGGTTTTGAAAGAAGTAAATCAATACTGTGGCTTACAAAGCCCTGGCACTATTGTCGGTAAATATATTGCATTCAGTTACTTTTGCTCACTAACTGTTGCTTGATATAATACTAGAGCATCCTCTGCTGCACCAGAAAAAAAAAAGCTATTTTGAGCTGTGAACCAAGGATTGATTTCTTTTAAAATATAATATATATTTTATGTATTGCATCTAACCTTGTTATTTTTGTGATTTCATGGAAACCTATATTTTCTCATTTGTGTGCAATAGAGGCAGCCTTCTGCGGAGGTGAGGAGTTGTTTTTGTCTCTCCAGCTTATATTCTGGTAAGTTCCACATATAGTCATTTAATCAATTATACTTCTTAATGTCCCAAGCACATGTTCCAAAACACATTCCTAGAGTCAGAAAGCTTATGCGGATTCTAACACTTTTCAACCTCTCTGAGTCTGTGTTTCCTCACCTATCAAAGGAAAATATTCACAATAAAACCATTTTGTGATATTGGCAATCAACAAGATAATGCAAACAAAAGTGTAAACTGAAAAGCAACCTGTAATTGCTGGTCAATCCTGTATCATCAAAAGTTAAGCAAAGATTGTGTAAAAAGAAGGATAGGTGGGTTTCCTCCAGCTACTCACATTGTCTACTGTCCCTTATGAAGGTGGAATTTGTCTAGGGCATACCACCTATATTAGTCTGTTTTCACACTGCTATAAAGAATACCACCTGAGATTGGGTAATATATAAACAAAGGAGGTTTAATTAACTCACAGTTTCACATGGCTGAGGAGGCCTCAGGAAACGTCCAATCACGGTGGAAGAGGAAGCAGGCATCTTCTTCACAAGAAAAAGGGAAGACAGAGGGGGTAAAGGGGGAAAAGGCCCTTATAAAACCATCAGATCTCATGAGAACTCACTCACTATCATGAGAACAGCATGGGGAAATCACCCCCATGATCCAATCACCTTTCACTAGGTCTCTCCCTTGACACGTGGGTATTATAATTTGAAATGGGATTTGGGTGGGGACACAAAGCCAAACCATATCACCACTCTGAATGTCCCTGATATCGTTTGAGCTTGGAAGTTAAGTGTGATCAGGCCTGGTTACTACTGAGATGGGAGACAAAGGAGGAAGTCCTTACAAAGGAATCAGTTGGATTAGCCACATTTGATGCACCTATGTTCAAGAAGATGAGAGCTTCAGGAGAAAGCTGGCAATCTGGAAGATACATAGTGCCACTATAAATTCTGATCTCCAATCCCTGAAGGGCTCAACGTACCCTGTTTTTCAAGTCAATTTTCACTCCTAATGAGCACAAAGACTCTCTCAAGCCCCTCTGCATCCTCTACCTTAGACTCCCCTCATTTTCAGCAAACAACTTCTCCCATTATATCCTATTTTTAAAATACACTAACATGGATGAGAAACCTCACACTCTGCCATCACCTAACTTACCAATGTGCCTCCATTCAGTCTCCCTCCTTCTGGCTAGAAAGTGAGCCGCATAACTCCAGCCTGCCACTTTCTACCACATAACTCCTGTGAACAGTTAAAAATGATAGAGTCACCTCATCTTAAAAACAATAACAAAAAAAAGCTTCTCTGGATGGCACATCAATCGTCAGCTAGAAATTTACCTTTCTTCTTTGTCTTTACAGCCAAATTTCTTCAGATTCAATGCTTAATGTCTCCACTTCGCAACAGCCTACTCACTCTTCAACCCACTGCAATCTGGCCTCTTCCTACTACACCACCAACAGATCTCTTCTCTTTAAAGCACATGGAAACTTTTCAGTCCATATCTTCCTTGATCTCACAGTGGCTTTTGTTTTTGTCATTTATGCCCCTTTATTTTAAAAATAATGTATTGACATGAAATTCATCATACAATAAATGCTGAATAAGAAAAAAACTACAAAAAAAAACTGTTTCCCCCAGATATTTCTTCTGAACTCCAGATCCATATATGGAACTGCTGTTTGATATTTTCACTTGTCAATCATGCATACACCTGTCATACACATATAGACAGTCCCCAACTTATGATGATCCCAATTATAATTTTTCAACTTTATGATGGTGAGAAAGTGATATACATTCAGAACTTGTACTACAAATTTTTATTTTTTTCTAAGCTAGTGTTATGCAGTATGACTGTCTCTCAAGATGCTAGGCAGAGGTAGGGAACAGCAACTCCAAGTCAGCCACATGATTACGAGGGAAAACAACAGAGACTCTACAGTGCACTTTGTTGTCAAAAGATTTTGCTCAACTTAGGCTCATGTGGGTTCTCAGAACACTTAAGGCAGTTTAGGCTAAGCTGTAATATTCAGTACCTTACGTATATTACGTTCATTTCAACTTACGATATTTTCAATTTACAATGGGTTTATCAGGACATAACCCTATCATAAGTCGAAAAGCATCTTTACTTCAAATACAACATAAAAGACTAATGTCACTATGTTGTCCAAAATACTGTGCTTCCTTTTACTTTTCGACTCTCAGTAAATGGCAGTGCCATTTACCCTGTTATCTAAGTTAAAAACCTAAGTGTTACCCTTGATTTATTATTCCCCCTCCTCTCCCATATTCAATCACCGAATTTTATTCAGTTTATCTCTTTAATATCTCTTGAATCCAATCACTTTACTCCAATTCCATCAGCATTAACCTTGTCCAAAACACCATCTTCTCTTCTATAAATTAAAACAAGTGCTTCTTAGCTTGATCCCATGCCTCCAGGCACAGTCTATTTTCCATATTGCAGCCAGAGTGATTTTCTAATATACAGCTCTTGTTGTGCCAACCCTATGATGAAGAAATATCTTCAACAGCTCCATATTGCCCTCAGGATAAAGTACAAACTCTTTAAAAATGCTTCCTGGACACTTCAAGAACTGGTTCTGCTTACTCCTCTCTCCCCGTGTCCAGCCACTCTTCCCAGAATTCTACATCTTATGCACAATAGCTTTTTAGTTTTTGAACAGGCTACACCCTCTTTTTTAAAACATGTCTTTGCCCAAGCTGTTTTCTTTGTATAGAACGCTCTCCTCACACAACTACACAGCCACTTTCATCTTACGGCTTCTGAAAGGTCAAATACATTCTTTCTGCCTTCAGCACAGATTTTATTTGGATCCTGTTTTGGTCATCCTATATTTAACTACTGCTCAGTGTAATGTGTTTTAGTACAGGTCAGGGTTAATTGCCTTGTCTTTATCTCAAACTTATGATTCTCTATCCTGGCTTAGCAGAGACCATGTGTTTTTGCATCTTTTTTGAGAATATTAAAGTACAGTGTCCTAAGTTTTTTTATTATTTCTGAATAAAAATAATTTTCAAATTATGCCTTTATTTCATGGGTGTGAATATATGTTTTAAAGACTGTGGCTTTGTCTTAATTAGAGACTCACCTGTGTTCCCATTAATCTTCCCCTCACCATACCTCAAGGCCAGTTTGATAGAAAGATACACCCAACCTGGAAAGTTTTTCCATGATGTCCTTGCAAGACTTTGAGTTTGGAAATTTAAATTAAAAGATTGTGATGAAAAAGAAAGAAAAAAAGGACCACACTGACTCTATTAACTAAAATTAAAAAGAATCATAATTGAATACTTTATTGCCAAAAGGATCTTCTGATAACATGTTTTGGACAAAGATCATATTAAAAATGTATACCTACCTCCTATGGGCTGAATGTGTCTGTTCTCCTCAAAATTCATTTGTTGAAACATAATCCCCAATATGATAGTTTAAGAGATGAGGCTTTTTGGGAGATGATTAAGTCATGAGGATAGATCTTTCATGAATAGGATAGGTACCCTCACACAAAAGGCCTGAAGGAGTTCATTTGCCCCTCTTGCCATGTGAGAAAGCAGTAGGGAGGTGCCTTCTATAAAACAGAGAGCAAGGTCTCGCCAAACACCAAATTGTCTGGCACCTTGATCTTGGACTTTCCAGCCTCCAGCACTACAAGAAATAAAGTTATGTTGTTTCTAAATTATCCAATATAAAGTATTTTAGTACAGCAGCCTGAATGGCCGAAGATATTACTCATGATTTTCAGTGTTTAAATACATCTTTGTAAAATGCAAAGAAGAAAGTTTTTCTATTTTTAGTAGAGACCGGGTTTTGCCATGTTGGCCAGGCTGGTCTCGAACTGCTGACCTCAGGTGATCCACCCTTCTTGGCTTCCCAAAGTGCTGGGATTACAGTGTGAGCTGCTGTGTCTGTTGTCCCAGCTACTCAGGAGGCTGAGGCAGGAGAATCGCTTGAACCCTGGAAGACGAGGGTTGCAGTGAGCCGAGATCGCGCCTCTGCTCTCCAGCCTGGCAAGAGAGCAAGACACCATCGAAAAGAAAGAAAGAAAAGAGAAAGAAAGAAAGAAAGAAAGAAAGAAAGAAAGAAAGAAAGAAAGAAAGAAAGAAAGAAAGAAAGAAAGAAAGAAAGAAAGAAAGAAGGAAGGAAGGAAGGAAGGAAGGAAGGAAGGAAGGAAGGAAGGAAGGAAGGAAGGAAGGAAAGAAGAAAACAAAAAAGGAAAAAACATTTTCTAAAATATTTTGTAGAAATCTTGAAAGAAACAGAATAAAATATTGGCTAGGAAACAATACATCAAGAGCACTCAGTAGGTATTAATGTCAGGGTAAAAAAAAGTAAGTAAAATTGAAAATGAACACTATGATTTCATAAATCAGTCTGAGTAAAATAATAAAACAAACAGTTCTACCAGCGAAAAAGAAACTAGACTTTTTCTTAAGCGATCCACATTTCTGAATCACCCACATGTGACTTTTAAAAAGTATAGTGTTCTTGGCATGTGAAACAAAGTTAACAGCACTGCTTTATCTTTTTAAAGTCCACAGAAGACACATTAACATATTCTATAATTTAACATTTAAAAATTGCCTTGGATTATGTAATTCTCATATGAAATAAATCCTACCTACCAGGGACACACTAGGAAGTAATGGGAAGAATCTCATATCAATGGTCAAGTAACTGATTCTTGCTCAAGACTTACAACTAACTATGTAACCTCAAATTAGTCACCTAGCCTCCAGTTTCTCTGTGACACATTTTCTTCTCCTATGAAATAATAAGTGGGTTGGACTAACTGGTCTCCAAGGTCTCTTTCAGCTCAAACTCTAGTATGGAATAAAATTGAAAAGCAAATGTACTTTTCACTAAAATAATTACTTACTACTGAGTATAATTGCTTCCTTTTGGTAAAAGGACATGCTCATTATACTCATTTTTATGTGTACAGCACTGTTTTCTATTTACACAGTATGCCTATAAAGCTAGGTGATGTTTGTTGAGCAAGCATAGAAGCACTTATTCTTGCAAATGAATCTAGTCCCATCTTAGATGGCTAAACCCAGAGCGTGCAGACTTATTCTACTGATGCTGAGATTGATTCGTTTGAAACTGTTAAAGTGATCTTCTGAGGTCAGGCAGAATGGTGCACACCTGTAGCCCCAGCTACCCTGGAGGCCAAGATGAGAAAATCCCTTGAGGCCCAGAATTTCAGACAGAGTGCACGATGATTGTGTTTGTAATAGACACCGCATTCCAGCCTGGGGAACATAGCAAGATTCTATAACTAAACAAATAAATAAAGTAAATAAATAAAAATGCCTTGCCCAGTATATACCCCAGTATATTCTGAATTGCAAACATATATTTTTTATCTTAATATTTCATGCATTTATTCACTTGTTAAGGATATCCTTACTGGGGATAAGTTTTAATATGTTGACTGTGTTTTTAATTTTTTCTTAGTAACAATGAGACATCTTTCATAATCAGTACTGGACTTGAAGATAGAGTGATAAGACTAGATAATATGGCAGTTGATATCTAAAATGTGTGATTTACTTATAACATAAAGAGATCAATTTTTTTGTGTGGCTGGTAAAATAGTAATTGTTAAAAATAATCTCAAAAGAGGAATTATAAATTTGGCTTGAAAAATTGCAGCATATTTAGAATAAATGCATGCATTCCAAGGGGAATACTTTGAAGCATAGCTTTATCTAATTCTATAATTCTACTACAGTTTGTTTAAAAAAATCAGTTTCATTACTTTGTAAATAGACATATTTATAATAAACCTAAAATTAAATCTGTGTTTGAAAGAATATATATATATATGGCAAGATTTGCTAGTTTTGAAGTTCCAATTTCTTCTATCACTCTTTTCCTTACATCTTCATCTCCTGTGTCCAGAATAAATACTTAAATAAATTACCAAACGGAAATTTAAAAGGTTCCTGAGCAAAGGTATCTTTAAGCTTCATGTAAGAATAGATACTTAATGGAAACTTATTCCTATGACCTGGATACCGGGGAACTCTTTCTTTCCCTTCTTGTCAATATTGTGGTAAGTTCTTTACCAGGCTGAATTAAACTGCTCTTGAAAGCAAAGCCACAATTGGAAAGATAGACAAATATTAACATTTATTCTGATATGCATTTTATTCCAAAGATCCCTTATCACAGAACATAAATTGAAACAACCTATCTCTTTTAAGTTGCAGTTTCTGCTACTTAGAGACAATTACTGTTTTTCTGTACAGTTCACTTTCCCCCAGTCACATGAAAGGTGGTATCAAATCCTGCAACTACTACATTGTCTTGTTAAAACAAAAACAACATTGACTGCTTTCATTAACAGGTATGGATTTTCTATGTGAAAAAGATTTTTATAATTTCTAAGAAATTTAAGAGAAAATGTTTTAAAACATTAAAAACACAGCTGGATTACTTCCTTCCAATCTCAAATTTTACTCCCTTCCCTTCATTCTTTACATTCTTTTGTTTTTAATTTATTCATTAATCTAGATTTCACATTCTACCCAATTGTCATTTTTCCTCACTAAACCCAAATTACTTTAAACAGAAATTTTGTTTGTTATTGTTTTTTAACATGATTTGTTAACACATTCCACTGAAATCTGGTCAAGGAAAAAAATTTGGCAGGTTTTTTATTTGTTTTTTTGATTTTATATTATTGTCAATCCTGAGTCAACATCGTGTTATAATGATCAATCATAGATTTGCAATCACTTTCTGGAAGTAAAATTTTAAAATATGTGTGGATAAGTTGGTATTATGTGTAACACTTTTTGCTAAATTAAAATTTGCACTTTCAACTAAAAGTAGCTAAGTCCTGTAATAGTAAATCTCAAGAGATGAACTCCCTGACAGGACACTTACAGACAAAGTTCCTACAAGTCATGGGTTCATAATGTCTACTGACCTGAAAGAGACCTTCCTGAGCTACGTGCAATGTCGTTTAGCAGAGCAAATAATCGAAGCTAATAGAAGGAACTTCCTGTGTCTTATGAACTCAACAGAATTACTTAATATCCCACCCCCTCCAACTCCAATATATGAAGAAGAGACCCATGATCTAGCGTCTATTTCTTTTCACACTTGCTCAGCCACCTGTGATTCATCCTCCAAGCATGCTAGGCTATGGGCCTCTACACAGGATAACTTGTCTCATTATCTAGTAATTTTTACGCAATTAAAGGTGTTCTGCCTTGGCATTATTCATCTGCAAATCTCTTCTGACCATCTTAGACCAAGTGTGGTTATACTCTTTGTGTTCCCACAGTACTGTCTACTAACTTCCACTTAACAGTTGCATTACAATTTCTCATTTTAATATGTGAACGAGGACCATACTTTATTCACTGCTGTATCCCCAATGCCATCTATAGTGCTTGATATATACTTGGTGCGTAATAAATAATCCGTTGAATAGATCTTCACTAAAAGCGTATTGTCAAACAATTTTATCCTGAGAATAGTATCTAATCATCTGGAGCTCTCCAGCCTTATGTCGATCCCTGAAGCAAGTTTCTGCACCATCAGGTAAAAAACCAGCAACAATGAAAGCGTTTCAGGAATCTCACCCTTGTTCACGACCTTGCACACTTCAGTGATTGCTCCTTTGTGTTCATTCAACTCATGCTGCATCAAAATACAGGCCTCTTGGCTCTAACGCATGGTTCTAGCTCTTTGGGTACTAATACTGACTTTCTTCTGCCTCAATTTGTCAATTATCATTCAAATTTGTCCTCAGTGAAGTACCCTTAGAAACAACATAGCAAAATTTACCTCTTCTTGCTTTAGAACTTTGCCTCAACTGGGTTTGCCTTAGACTTCACAGATAGAAATTTTATTATATAAACATTTGGTATGGTTTTGTGTCCATGACACAACATGACAGTGGTGCTCATTTAATTTTGTTTACTTGTTGATTCTACAGTACATTGAACCTCACAGTTCCTCTCCAGTAATATAAAGACTACATAATATGTTGCAGCTAGATACGTCATTTGATCTTATTGAATTATAGGCACACACAACTTAACAACAGGATATGTTCTGAGAAATATGTCATCAGGCAATTTTGTTGTTGTGCGAACATCTTAGAGTGCACTTACGCAAGTCTAGATTTTATAGCCTGCTACACACCTAGGCTTTGTGGTAAAGCCTATTGCTCCTAGGCTACAAATGTGTACAGCACGTTACTATATTGAATACTGTAGACAATTATAACACAATGGTAAGTACTTTTATATCTACATATCTAAACATAGAAAGGTAGAATAAAAATATGATATTATAATCTTACGGAACCATGGCCATATGTGTGGCCAACTATTGATCAAAACATGATTATGTAGCATGTGACTCTATTAGCATTTTAATAAACACTTAACTAATATGGTTAAATTAGCATATATGTTTACATTCTTAATAAAATGTTTTTATTTTCTCATAAAACGAAATAAGCATCTATAATTTTTCCATGTGCCTGTGGTCATTCATGTCTTTGTTTCAACATATTTGCCATTACAATGAAAATTACTACCCTTTGAATGGGTCATAACAGGCTCCTTCTACCACCCCTCCCCAACTTAGTCCGTAGGAGAAAGTAGAAGAGCTCAAACTGTTGACTAGTTAGCTGCATAGCACCACACACTAATAAATATTAATCCACAATTTTCCTTTGTCTTTCCTGCCTCCTTTTATTTCACCAGTGATATCAAATGTGAAAGCATCTGGGTTCACATTAAACCCAAGTGAATTAGGAGGGCATTCAGCACTAACACATGAAAGTCATCTGATGAAAATACATTTACTCTATAATTTTTATAAATGATATACATTATAATAAACTACAATAACATGTAACTTATTTGCACATCTTAATTTTTTAATGAGGCATTAAAATTTGTTAGAAGTGAGGTTTCAAGTGCTATTACGACTCACGTAATTCTGAGGAAAAACATCTGGACTAATTTCCTAATGTATTGTTCCATTAACATAGCCATGCTTGAGAGCAAAAATGAATATAGAAAGGAGAAAGGAAAAAGGGGAAGAAAACTGCTCAGTAGAAGGTAAAAAGAAGAAAGGAAGAACATAATTGATTGCCTTACTTTGCTTGAACTGAAATCATTTTGTGAAATAGCCAAGTTTATATTATTCAAAAAAGTTTAAAGACAGTATTAGTAACCCAAATATGTTTTAAAATTTCTTTCAGCTGGTAGTATATTTAAGTAGCATGTCTGGGCACTTTGACTGGACTTGTGTGTCTAGTCTAAAGGAAACTGATTTATGGGGATTAAGGAAGCTCTGAAAGAGCAAGTAAGGATGACTTCTACCAGGGTTCAGACATATGGTCAAGATTGTCCATCAGTGGGGTAGTCTGACAGAAGCCTATTTGCAAGGGAAGCTAAAGAGCAGGAAGTCTTTTAGAAGAGAATGTATCCTTAGGGAAGAAGGACCTGCCTCGATGAATTTGAACAGACATGTAACAAAGTTGTAAAGAATCAGGATACTGGGAAAAATAGAGTTGCTATCACCTGTATCTGTCCACACTCCCTAGATTCATGCCTGGGTTCTAGGAGAGAAAGAATTATAAGGAAAACAAACAAACCAAAGAGTCATTTGACTACGCTGGAGTACAAGCGTAATTGCAACACAACTTTGGTACCCTGAAGGGTCAGATCTGTTTCCAATGGCAAATTGTGCCTGGTGGGAACTGTGGAACAACAGCAGAGAAAGAAAAAGTTCCCTGAGGGCCTGGCAGAGATGCCAGGCACCACAGTGTGAATATTGTAAAGAAGACTTCTATCTGAGCATATAAGAAATTCTCTCTAAAAACTCCAAGAAATACTCAAGGAAACAGAGGTGATCTACATGAGGAGAGGTCACCTGAGCTAGGATAATCATCACAAGGCATAATATTTTCTAAAATGTGAAGAGGTTTAAGTCTCCTCATTTATAAGATCTCCAGGCCCCTTAGTTTCCTAATTAGACACTCAAGTTTAAAATGTTCCTAAGTATTCTATGAAGATGCAATTTGTCTCCCAGCTTCATTCAGCGTGCCCCTCCCTGAAGTTACCAGAACAGAACTGGAACCTAGACAATCTGGTTCCCAGGGCTGTGCCCTGAACCTCAACACTATACCTTCTGGCTAAATCTCAAGCCCTTCCACAAGGGTCATGTCAGCTTCTCTACTCTTCACCTGAAGCCAGCTATTCAGATCTTGTTACTAACCAGCATCTTCTATAGAGAAGGTTTTTGAGGGTATTTGAAGATTCCAAGGATTGTAACAGGATACAGAAAACTACTGTTCTGAAATGAATCGTCTCCCCATATTTCATATGACATTATGAACAAATTCAATTATTTTAATGAAAGCCTGTTCAAGGAGCCGAGTTAGCTTTTCTTAAAAAAATTTTTTTAACCCCTCAGTCATTTTACCATTTTTGGAAAAAAAATTACATTTAATCTTTCCTTCTGAGAAAAAAAAATACCAATATTATTAATACAGAGATAATGCCCATACTTTCAAATGCTTGTGAAGTACAAAAAAGCCAAATGACTTCATAGTTAGAAAAACTCCCCTCCCCCAAATCTATAAACTTTCAGAAACAAGGCAGGAATTGTAATGTTTTCTTGTTAGACTCCATAAAGGTCACTTTAGTAAGTAACTTATAAGTTACAGGCACATATTACCGTTGAGGGAAAAGTAATTTGTTGTAATCGTTTTTAATTATAGTTATTTTTAATTATCTTTGCTGTATGTGTAAACATTAAAAATACAAACAGTGCTGCTATAGCACAGATGGTTGGTGCTTGTTACCCAGGCTGTCAGGCATCATTTGAACACCATTGCCTTCTTTTCCCTAATTGTAAGGAAAAGCAATAAAGTTGCTTCTTGGAAACAGTGTTCATGTTTGAGAAAACTGGCTGCTACTAAGGAGGGAAGAAAGAAGTTATGGAAAATTTTGTCACCCTTTCTCTCTATCTGGACAATGCTTTTGAACTCTTCTACATCTGAGACCCTCTGCACACTAAATGGTTGTGGGTCACCCAGTGTTCAAACTAGACATGTCCATTCTTGGTTTTGCTCTAACTCAATCAACTAAGAGCTGGAATAGTTAAAAAAAATAAAGTTCCCTTTTAAAACCTGAATATGAGCATTGAAGTGGCAAGATAAAGTGTGCATACGAACGAACATTCCAAATATCTGTTTCTATTCAGGTCCACATACAAAAACTAAAGTAACAATCTGACATTCCAAAGTTTAAGTGCTGTTAACTCACTGGATGTCAACATATGGTTAAGGAAAAATCTCAATTTTTTCAATTAACATGAGAAATATTATATCTATCACCTGGTGTTGCCAGCAACAGAGCAGGTTGAACTCTAGTTTGAATGCCCTCAAATAGAAGATGAATTTGCTCTGTGACAGAGGAGTCAAGTCAAAGACTTCATCATAATCCAAATGTTAAATCCCTCAGATCAATGCAAAGAAAAAACTGCTCTTGGCTTAGCTTGACGTTGGTCAATATATTATATTACCATTTACATATTTTTAAATGATTGTTCAATATTTAATATTGTCTATTCAGGCATGCTGGACTGCAGCCATGGCAAAAAAAGAAAAGAAAAGAGAAACAAAACTTTGATAATCAGTATTGCATAGAAAAAAATATTCTCTATAAACATGAAATTGTAACCGAAAGAATAATTCAGGTTTCTCAAAGAAGAATTCTATCTGTAAACATAAGCATAGGCATAAGATGCTAAAAAGAGTATGGTTTACTGGCAGTTTATATCAGCTTTGGAGGAAATAAATGGGGTAACTGCTGTCTACAGTGACCAACCAGCTTTACTACCAATCATTCTAATGATCTAGGAGAACAGAAATAACCTGGAATAAAACAATATAATATTTTCCCTAACATTTGGTAATTTTGAATGTCTGAGGGCATTTAAATATTAATATTGTCTGAATGTTTATGTCTCCCCAAATTCGTATGTTGAATCTAGTCACCAGTGTAATGGTATTAGGTGGGGGAAGTTCGAAGGTGATTAGGTCATGAGGATGAAGCCCTCATAAATGAAATCAGTGCCCTTATAAAAGCAGTCCCAGAGAGTTGCCTTGCCTTCCTCCACCATATAAAGACACAGTGAGAAGGTGTCATCTATGAAGCAGGAAGTGAGCCCTCGCTGGACACTGAATCTGCCATCACCTTGATCTTGGACTTCCCATCCTCCAGGAACTGGTCAAAATAAACTGTTGTTGTTTATAAGCTGCCCAGTCTATGGTATTTTGTCATGGCAGCCTAAACAGTCTAAGACAAATACTAATCTGTAAAAAGACACACAAAACACAAGATATATATGTATATATTTAGATAATATTTTTTCATACGCAGATATACGAGAAATGAATGTGATAGAACAACATTTACTCAGAAGTTGAGGAAGAAGACTCTAAACTTGAAATAAAATTGCATTCTTTTTAAAATTGTTAATGGTAACTATTGCAATAATTAAAAATCAAGTTTTAATTTGTCACTGAAGGTGCCAGATGGACAGTCCCGGAGTGCATGTCTGTTTTGATCACAGAAACAAGTTAACAAAGACTGCTATGCCATTTCATGCCAATTTTATATTTAATGATGAAATTGCCCTTATTAAAACCATAGTACTTTGCTGAGATGTGGATGAGTGATAGAGTGCTGTCCTCTTAACTTCAAGATTGCAACACACAGTGAAGTGCAGACAAGATTGTGGTTACTTTGAACACAGCACATAAAAGATAAGCCAGAAGCAAACAATTTCACATTCTCTGATATTAAGTTAGTGTCTACTACATAAGCCAGAATTTCTAGTTTGAAGTCTGTGCTGTAAAAGCTTACTTTCGTTTAAGAACAACTCTAGCAACATATTCTTTAGAAAACAATTAAAGGGCCTGACATGAAGTCTAAGGGCTTCTGACCTACAGTCTTTGATAATACAGCTACACATAATGCATACATTTTTTTAAGCAAAATAATATTTAAAAGCACCATTGAGTCTGTAAAAATATAAGAATAAAACAAAGTTGAATGGAAAATAGGAACTCAGAGAAATAAGTCACTACCAAATCTAATTTTGCCCTGAGGACAAAGGTCAAAATCCAGTGATGTGGAGCTTGCAAAGGAAAGTGTGAGACTTCCTTTAGTACCAGAACAGTCCTAGAACACTAGAACTATAAACAGTACAATGAAGAATGAAAGGGTAAATTTTTTCCCCACAGAAGGGTAAAACAAAGAAACTTTCTTGTCCTAAATTTTGAGCTAGATGGTGGAAAAGAAGAATCTCCCTTGAGAATGCATTACCACACACTATCACAGGAGATTATAACACCAATTCACACTTTCATTTGTGGTTCCAAAAATCCCTTAAGCTTCATATTTGTTGGTCATGTTTTAGGATCAGTTGTGTTCCCAGGATCTAGAAGAAGTAAATGTAAATCTTCATGGGAAAAACTTAACTTTCACTCATATGTAAAAAATTCTCAGAAATAACCAGGCACAGTGGCTCACACCTGTAATCCCAGCACTTTGGGAGGCTGAGGCGGGCGGATCGTGATGTCAGGAGTTCGAGACCAGCCTGACCAACAAGGTGAAACCCCGTCTCTACTAATAGATACAAAAAACTAGCTAGGCATGGTGGTGTGCCCCTGTAATCCCAGCTACATGGGAGGCTGAGGCAGGCGAATCGCTTGAACCCGGAAGGCAGAGGTTGCCGTGAGCCGAGATCGCACCATTGCACTCCAGCCTGGGCGTGACAGGGCGAGACTCCATCTCGAAAAAAAAAAATTCTCAGAAATGAAGCTCCAGAGATCATAAGCTCACACTGAAAAATAACAACATACACAAGTCAACACAGCACTTTTGTGCAAAATCCTACAGAAATACAAATTACATAATTAAATATTCAAAGACCTCCAAATGACAGGTACATAATGATAGGTATGATTACTATATATTCAAATATAATAAATTATGATAACAGCCTTTTCTTAAGCTGTTTCCTCATTTATGCTATTGTTCTCCAGAGCTCTGATAGTCACTAGGTTTGTATTAATACTTACACATCTGGCCCTCTTTGTGCTTGGAGTCCACTGAAGTACTATTTTCTAACCTACTATTTTCAGCTGGTCCCACTTCATATTTAACTCCAAATATTTCCCTGATCCAGTAAAAATGAAATTGCATGTAAGAAATTACTCTACTTTCCTAATGGCTGTGAACTTCTCATTGCAATTTTAGCTACATAACCCTTCCTTGACTAGCCTTCCAGCCAAGAAGGTTAAATGGCTTTACCATTATACATTAGCCTTGCTTTTTCATATCCACTCATTCTAGACTGCATTCACACCTTTGCTTAGACTTAACCAAATCCTAATCCCAGCTCCATCATTTGTTAGCTGTGTCTTGTTAGTCTCCTGACCTTAAATATGAATTATTTGCTGGTCATGCTCATATTTCTACTCCTGCCTAGAATTGTCTCCAAAATGTGACACTCATATATCCAACTATCTACTTAAGATCTCTATGTGGATATCTGATAAACAATTTAAACTGGATGTCCAAATGGGCTTTGTATGTTTGATTATGTTGTTTGTGTTGTCCAAATCTGAGCTCTTGATCTTCCTTCCAAAGCTGTTCTCCAAGTCTCTTCAGCTCACTTGATGTCCTCCCAGTGGCTCAGCCTAAAGCATGATTCAAGGATCATGCCTGAGTTTTCCTTTCTCTCACATCTCACATCTAATTCTTAAGGAATTTAGTGGGTTCTATCATTAAATTAAGAATTTAATTAAAAATTAAAATCTGACTAGTTTTATCTCTCAGTATTCTCTGCATAGACTGATGCTATTGAGGGTGTTTGCTTCATATTACTGTCTAGTGTTTCATTTCTCCCATTGGAAGTTCTGCTTTGAATCTCACCTTGTGGAGGCTGGGACTGGGGTATGTCTTTGAGCGTTCCCTAGCTTTACCAATTCTCTCCCGCAATAGAAACTTCTACTGAACATATATTTAATTTCTGGCTGGAATTCTAATCAGTTAGAAACATTGATATCCCCCTCCTGATCATGATGCAAACTTTGTATGTCTTATCTTCCATGTGCAGCTTCCTTGAATACCAGTGTCAGCTCAGAGTAAATATTAATTGGCTACTACACAATAGGCACCGCATATTAGACCACTGGCCTAAATGTCAAATGCCTGACATATAGTTAAGTCAAGACCCTAGACCCATTCTACTTAGTCTGGATTCTTCTACACAAACTCAGCTCACTATCTGTTTATTTTTTAATTTTTTAATTTTAATTTTTACTTTTTTATTATACTTTAAGTTCTAGGGTACATGTGCACAATGTGCAGGTTTGTTACATATATATATACATGTGCCATGTTGATGTGCTGCAGCAGTTAACTCGTCATTTACATCAGGTATATCTCCTATTGCTATCCCTCCCCTCTCCTCCCACCCCATGACAGGCCCCAGTGTGTGACGTTCCCCACCCTGTGTCCAAGTGTTCTCATTGTTCAATTCCCACCTATGAGTGAGAACAAGCTGTGTTTGGTTTTCTGTCCTTGCGATAGTTTGCTCAGAATGAAGGTTTCTAGCTGCATCTATGTTCCTACAAAAGACATGAACTCATCCTTTTTTATGGCTGCATAGTATTCCATGGTGTATATGTGCCACATTTTTTTAATCCAGTCTATCACTGATGGACATTTGGGTTGGTTCCAAGTCTTTGCTATTGTGAATAGTGTCACAATAAACATACGTGTGCATGTGTCTTTATAGCAGCATGATTTATAATCCTTTGGGTATATACCCACTAATGGGATGGCTGGGTCAAATGGTATTTCTAGTTCTAGATATTGGGGAATCACCACACTGTCTTCCACAATGGTTGAACTAGTTTACAGTTCCACCAACAGTGTAAAAGTGTTCCTATTTCTCCACGTCCTCTCCAGCACCTGTTGTTTCCTGACTTTTTAATGAGTTTGAGATGGCATCTCATTGTGGTTTTGATTTGCATTTCTCTGATGGCCAGTGATGATGAGCATTTTTTCATGTGTCTGTTGGCTCCATAAATGTCTTATTTTGAGAAGTGTCTGTTCATATCCTTTGCCCACTTTTTGATGGAGTTTTTTCTTGTAAATTTGTTTAAGTTCTTTGTAGATTCTGGATATTAGCCCTTTGTCAGATGGGTAGATTGTAAAAATTTTCTCCCATTCTGTAGGTTGCCTGTTCACACTGATGGTAGTTTCTTTTGCTGTGCAGAAGCTCTTTAGTTTAATTAGATCCCATTTGTCAATTTTGGCTTTTGTTGCCATTGCTTTTGGTGTTTTAGTCATGAAGTCCTTGTCCATGCCTATGTCCTGAATGGTATTGCCTAGGTTTTCTTCTAGGGTTTTTATGGTTTTAGGTCTAACATTTAAGTCTTTAATCCATCTTGAATTAATTTTTGTATAAGGTATAAGGAAGGGATCCAGTTTCAGCTTTCTACATACAGCTAGCCAGTTTTCCCAGCACCATTTATTAAATAGGGAATCCTTTCCTCACTACTTGTTTTTGTCAGGTTTGTCAAAGATCAGATGGTTGTAGATGTGTGGTATTATCTCCGAGGGCTCAATTCTGTTCCATTGGTCTATATCTCTGCTTTGGTACCAGTACCATACTGTTTTGGTTACTGTAGCCTTGTAGTATAGTTTGAAGTCAGGTAGTGTGATGCCTCCAGCTTTGTTTTTTTGGCTTAGGATTGTCTTGGCAATGTGGGCTCTTTTTTGGTTCCATATGAACTTTAAAGTAGTTTTTTCCAACTCCGTGAAGAAAGTCATTGGTAGCTTGATGGGGATGGCATTGAATCTATAAATTACCTTGGGCAGTATGGCCATTTTCACAATATTGATTCTTCCTACCCACGAGCATGGAATGTTCTTCCATTTGTTTGTGTCCTCTTTTAGTTCGTTGAGCAGTGGTTTGTAGTGTTCCTTGAAGAGGTCCTTCACATCCCTTGTAAGTTGGATTCCTAGGTATTTTATGCTCTTTGAAGCAATTGTGAATGGGAGTTCACTCATGATTTGGCTGTCTGTTATTGGTGTATAAGAATGCTTGTGATTTTTGCACATTGATTTTGTATCCTGAGACTTTGCTGAAGTTGCTTATCAGCTTAAGGAGATTTTGGGCTGAGACAATGGGGTTTTCTAAATATACAATCTTGTCATCTGCAAACAGGGACAATTTGACTTCCTCTTTTCCTAATTGAATAGCCTTTATTTCTTTCTCTTGCCTGATTGCCCTGGCCAGAAATTCCAACACTATATTGAATAGGAGTGGTGAGAGAAGTCATCCCTGTCTTGTGCCAGTTTTCAACGGGAATGCTTCCAGTTTTTGCCCATTCAGTATGATATTGGCTGTGGGTTTATCATAAAAAGCTCTTAATATTTTGAGATACGTCCCATCAATACCTAATTTGTTGAGAGTTTTTAGCATGAATGACTGTTTAATTTTGTCAAAGGCCTTTTCTGCATCTATTGAGATAATCATGTGGTTTTTGTCTTTGGTTCTGTTTATATGCTGGATTACATTTTTTGATTTGCGTATGTTGAACCAGCCTTGCATCCCAGGGATGAAGCCCACTTGATCATGGTGGATAAACTTTTTGGTGTGCTGCTGGATTTGTTTTACCAGTATTTTATTGAGGATTTTTGCATCGATGTTCATCAGGGATATTGGTCTAAAATTCACTCTTTTTTTTTTGTTGTGTTTCTGCCAGGCTTTGGTATCAGGATGACGTTGGCCTCATAAAATGCGTTAGGGAGGATTCCCTCTTTTTCTATTGATTGGAATAGTTTCTGAAGGAATGGTACAGCTCCTCTTTGTACCTCTGGTAGAATTCAGCTGTGAATCTGCCTGGTCCTGGACTTTTTTTGGTTGGTAGACTATTAATTATTGCCTCAATTTCAGAGCCTGTTATTGGTCTATTCAGTGATTCAACTTCCTCCTGGTTTAGTCTTGGGAGGGTGTATGTGTCTAGGAATTTATCCATTTCTTCTAGATTTTCTAGTTTATTTGCATAGAAGTGTGTATAATATTCTCTGATGGTAGTTTGTATTTCTGTGGGATCGGTGGTGAGATCCCCTTTATTATTTTTTATTCCATCTATTTGATTCTTCTCTCTTCTTCTTTATTAGTCTTGCTAGTGGTTTATCAGTTTTGTTGATCTTTTCAAAAAACTAGCTCCTGGATTCATTGATTTTTAGAAAGGTTTCTTGTGTCTCTATCTCCAGTTTTGCTCTGATCTTAGTTATTTCTTGCCTTCTGCTAGATTTTGAATGTGTTTGCTCTTGCTTCTCTAGTTCTTTTAATTGTGGTGTTAAGGTGTCAATTGTAGATCTTTCCTGCTTTCTCTTGTGGGCATTTAGTGCTATAAATTTCCCTCTACACACTGCTTTGAATTTGTCCCAGAGATTCTGGTATGTTGTGTATTTGTTCTCATTGGTTTCAAAGAACATCTTTACTTCTGCCTTCATTTCATTATGTACCCAGTAGTCATTCAGGAGCAGGTTAAGTTTCCATGTAGTTTAGCGGTTTTGAAACTCAGCTCACTTTCAACCATTCCAGCACATATAACTAAGATACTTTCATCACTCAAACATAAACCTTAAACCAACTGAAGTCCAGGAGTAGGCAGTCCAAGCCTCTTGTGATGGTTCAACAATTGCCATAGGAACCATGGCCTTTCTGCCTTTACCCTCCAATATGCAGATGTATGCCTTCATCTTCATGCCTGGGACCCCAAGGCTATAAAGTTATTGCTTGTCCTTCAGACAGCATAGCCACATTACAGGCATAAAGAAAAAAAGCACAGCCTCAGGAGCAATACCTGTACCATTAAAGTGACGGCTTACCCAGAAATCATCATCTTACCCTTTATGGACAGAAGTATGACATGTATTTATCCCAGTGCAAGGGAGCCTGGGAAACAAATATCTGTAGCTGATATGTTAGCTCTCTGAACACAATCAGGATTCTATTGGTAAGTAAAAAGAAGCAATGCATATAATATGTAGATAACCAGTTTCTGCTATATCTAGCAAAGAATACTGGGCCTGTTTCATACTCTATAAGAAAAATCACAAAAGTCAAATGAGTATTAAGCAATAGATTAAAAATAAGGTTCCCTTTTTGAACAAATAGCTCATACCATTAAAATTACAAAGATAATTGTTAATTGGATCATTCTTCCTTAGAGCCAACTAAATATTGAAAGACTATTTTATTCACTCTGATTACATGAAATTGGTCAGTTTACTTCAAAAATAGATGTCCAGAAGATTCAGGCATTCTGTTCCAATACATATTCCAATTCTTTTAAACTTTTTTGCCCCAGTGAGCTCCTTTTCATGGTTCAGAATTTGAAAACTAGAAACAGCCTAAGAACATTGGTCTAAGAATAGTTATATGTTTATAAATATGGCTATTAGACTATAAGTATAAGGAATACTACTTAGATATGCTATTCCTGAGCAGTTAGTTTGCTACTGTGTAGAATTTCCTCTACTTGTTGACTGCTAGAAAGCCCACAACCAAATTTGTGGTCTACTCTTATAAAGCCTATAGGACTTCAGTGATACATATTTTTTGGCAAACTTCTTTCTTGACTATATTTTTCAGAGATGCATATAATATACACCCTCATACCACATTATATATGTCTTCATAGGCCAAATACTTTTTCAAAAAGGTTAAATAAAAAGAAACTAAAATATTCATTTATATATAATGCATTAACATAGGCTGAATGCTTTCTGCACATAGTGCACTGTATTATGAACTCTGAAGGTACACAATAGAATTTGAACACATGTTATTTGTTTACAGGAATTAGAGACATGCATGCATGTCTTCCTTCCCCATGTCAAACAGTGAAGTTCAATTTGCAATGATGAAATCATCAGTGAGATTTAAGTTTACATTAAGAGTTAGTATCTATTAGAAGATGTCAAATGGGAAGTAAGTAAAGACAGGATTTTAACATGATACATATTTGATTACTTTTTGAAAAAAAGAGTGAGACATGGTTGAAGAAGTGGAGAGCCCTGTAGACAGAATGAAAGAGTGAAAGAGTGGGGCTGGGTGCAGTGGCTCACGCCTGTAATCCCAGCACTTTGGGAGGCAGAGGCGGGCGGATCACGAGGTCAGGAGATCAAGACCATCCTGGCTAACATGGTGAAACCCCATCTCCACTAAAAATACAAAAAAAAAAAATTAGCTGGGCGTAGAGGGGGCACCTGTAGTCCCAGCTACTCGAGAGGCTGAGGCAGGAGAATGGTGTGAATCCAGGAGGCAGAGTTTGCAGTAAGCCTAGATCATGCCACTGCACTCCAGCCTGGGTGACAGAGCGAGACTCCATCTCAAAAAACAAAAAGAAAAGAAAGAGTGAAAGAGTGAAAGGCACAGACATGGAAGTGAATATGTTGAAAGCGTGTAAGCCATAAAACTGCAAATCTTAAGCGTTCATGAAGATACTTTAGGCTGATAAAAGCAAGATTTAAAAGGAGAAAAGTGGATAGCCTTATATTTGATTCAGCAAGAAACCAGGAATCACATTATTCTGGAAAAGAAAAGAGAGATGATGAACCACTGTTTCAGGAAGATTTTGTAAGCACTATCAAGGATGGACTGGCGTAAAACTGAACTGAGGGACAACAGATAGGAGTCTGTTGAAATGATCCATGTATGAAGTTATGAGAAGCAGGACAAAAATGGTTAACTGCTGAAATGGAAAGAGGAAGAACAAGAAAAGAGTCATTACAGAAAGCACTGGCAGTCTCCAACTTTAAAGTGAATCCAGCTGAGAACCAGAGGTTAAACTGACCACGTGGCAGCACCAGGCATGCTTATAATAGTGCATGTGTCATTATCTAGTTCTACAGGCAGACAGGTTTACAAAAACTGAACCCCATGTCTACGATTCTCACCAATTTTAAAATAATCTCCCAATTGCTATAATTACATTGGTGCTTTCTGAAATAAATCACTGGTTGTATCAAATCTCTGAAATCTGTCTTGCATTTGACCTCTTCTTTGCAAAGTGTTTTGGTTTGTATGAAAGACTAATGGCAAGTCCAAAAAAGTTCAAGGTATTATGCCACTCTGCATAAAGGTCATAGTAATAGATATTTTTAAATGACACCAGATAATCATATCTGAAATCTCCAACAGCATTATACTTGCTAGGTATGGTGAAAGTGGCTATTTACCAAAATCCATGTTTTCCTCTGTTCCTGGAAACCAAACTTGATCATATTTCCCTTAAGTGTGGTTATGTGACTGAGTTCTTGCCAATAATTGTCCATAGAAGTGATGTTCACCATTTCTGGACTGCACCCATATAACCACCCACATCCACTCTTCCGTTCTATAAATTTCACAGAATTCATTCTATGGATTTCAACCACATATTGAAGTTGTCAGGACCTCAGTCACTCTGGGTCTCTGAAGGATTGTACAAACCCTCCCAAGGCAGATGTGTTACAATCTTGAATTTGTATGTGAATGACATACAAATTTCTCCTTGTGCTTAAGCTGTTATACATGTTAGCATATATCTGTTAGAGCAGTTAATTAACCACCCTTACACATTAACACCGAGGTATTAAGTTTTTCCATGAAAACATTATTTGGCATAACTGAAATCATGGCTGTGATTCAGTCCTTTGAGATGATAGTTCCAGATTTCACCTTGATACACAACGAATTTCAGCAAAACTGGAAATGATTTTTTTAAAAACTTATCTGATTTTCCAAATTTTGTGGATCTTTCCTCTGATCTTGCAGCTCAGGGGTGTTGTTGGGTAATTCACAGCACTGAAGGTCTTAGGAGTCACATCTAAAAAGCAGATCTCAAAACCACATACAAAAGATAAAGCTGGTAGGAAGAAGCAGATCCAAGGAAAGAAGCAAGAAGAATAAGGAGTAAGTGCATCGAACTGAACATGTTTAAATGGTGGATAATGGATTGGTAATGAAAGATGTTAGAGGAATGTATTGGAACATATGTGGGTCTCAAGATTGTGTGCTCAAAAAGAGGACTATTACTGATATCCTACCTCCTTTTTATTCTTTTGTAAATATTCCTGATGTATGGCATATATAAATACATAAAGTATAAAAGTATAGTTGGATGAATTCTTAAACTGTAACCTAGTCTCTTGACCACTTCAGTCATTCTCAGTCTCAGAGCTAATTACTCATCTACCTTACTATGTTGTTGGCTCCAAGGTGCTAATACATACATTTTATTCTTGATATTTGTGGAAGTTATGCTTCTTAAAATTGCCACAAATACTGAATTTGTGAATATGGAACCACTGCTATTAGAGGACAGAATTAGGTTCCTATAAACTGCTAGTCACTACATTTTCATCAACCAATCAACATTTAACCTTGTTTCATGTGTATTTCTGTTCACATATACATTGAACAAAATATACCTTGTTGGTTCATTAACAATGAACTCATGGCCAACAACACTATAACTCGCCTGACCAAAGCTTACCTAACATCTTTATCTTTTCCTGAAGTTACATCATAGACTTCTTGCACTCAGGAGCACTTGAGCACTATGTTTAGGAGCCATTTTAAATTGCAAAACTGTTAACAAAGAAACCACAAAAATGTGAAAAAATGTGGGACTAAATAGACTGTGAAAAAAAACCCTGGTTTACAGCAAGGGACCCCAACCACCAGGTCATGGACTAGTACCGGTCCCTGACCTGTTAGGAACCGGGGCACACAGCAAGAGGTGAGTGATGGGCAAGTGAGCTTTACCTGTCAGATCAGTGGCAGCATTAGATTATCGTAAGAGCACAGACCCTATTGTGAACTGCACATGCAAGGGATCTAGGTTGTGCGCTCCTTATGATCTGAGGTGGAACAGTTTCCTCCTGAATGCCCCCCTCGCTGCCACTCCCCATCCCTGTCCGTGGAAAAACTGTCTTCCACGAAACTGGTCCCTGGTGCCAAAAAGGTTGGGGACCACTGTTGTAGAGTATGAAACCTGAAATACAAAGGCAGCTGGGAACATGTGCATTTGGCGACTCAATTTTTTACTGTTCTATGCCCATCTGCAAATGACTATGAAAGCACCCGGAGTATTGATTTTGGAATTACAAAAAATTTTTGGCAAATAGAAAAATTCACAAATATGGAATCTGAATCATAAAAAAAGGATAAGCTGTATTTTGGTAAAAAATTTTTTGTTTAGGTTCATGAGTGACATCAATATAAAATTCTCTTTTCTTGTGATACTTTGGACAGAATTTAGTGTGAGGATTATGCTGGCTGCCAAAAATAATCCTTCTTTTGCCCCCTTTTCTTCTTTTTCCTGAGGGAGTTTTTATAGTGTATTATTTCTTCTTTGTTGATGGAAAAATAAAGTCCAACCAGTGCTATAATTGGACTTGAAGGTCTATTACTTGAAGTGCTGTTTCTTAACATGCTTTCAATTTCTTTAACAGACATGGCTAATTTTACTTTTAAAATGTCTTCTTGTGTTAATTTAGCTAATTGTTTTTTAAACAGAATTTATCTATTTTTTCTGATTTATTACCAATAATAGCATCAATTTATTCATATTTTCTTATCCTTTTGATATGAATAGAATCTACAGCAATGTTGTCACATTCAATCCTTTATTACTAATTTGTGTTTTCAGTTTTTTCATCAATCTTACTTTTGAATGTATTGATTAATGTTTCTTCTATTTCTGTTTTATTTTCATCATTATATTTCTTTCATTTAATTTAGGTTTAATTCATACTTATTTTTCTACCTTCTTAACATGGAAACTGGAATCATGGATTTTACATTACCTTTTACCAAGAGAAACATTTCTCTCACACATTCTAATATGCTGTGCTTTTATTTTCATTCAAATTAAAATATTTTTAAATTTCTTATAACCTATTTGTTATTCAAATTTTTGAAACATGTCCACATATGTTTCTGTTATTGGTTCCCAAATTAATACAATTGTTGTTAGGAAATATATTCTGAATTATACAGTCCTTTATCATTTATTTAGACTTGTTCTATGGACTTTCTGAATTTCAGCATATGCCTATTAGCTCAATTTTAATAAACTCTTGAAATTTTCTATATATTTTCCAAATTTAGGTTTACCTGTTCTAACCAGTTATTGAAAGGGTTCTATGAAATCTCTAATTAATGGATTTATTATGTGTTCTTTTATTTTTATGTTATGTGTCCTTTTAGTTTCTTTTCATTTGTTATGTGTCCTCCTGCTATGATTTTGTAAATTGTATCTATGCTTTGGCTTTCTCGTATTTTTCTGTTGAATTTCCCCTTTTATTACAATAAAATATTTCCTTTTACATTTAGTAATACTTTATTTGTTCTAATATTAGTATTGCTACAACATACTTACAACATACTTTGGACTAGCTTTTGCCTGGTATGTTTATCACATTATTTACTTTCAAACTTTCTGTGACCTTATATTGATAGCTTGTCCATTTCAAGCAGCAAACCCAGTGGTTCTTTATTCCTGTCTCAGAGTGTTGTCTCTTGTTTTGATTATTGAGATTATTCGGATTAAGTTTATTTTCGTTTATCTATCTACTGATATTTGTGGTTTTAAATCTCCTGCTTTACTATTTGTTTTTCACTTACCTCATTTCCTCTTTGTTCAGTTTTACTATCTTTTATTATTTTGTCTGCCTATTTCTATTACTTTCTTTTAATAGTTACATAAAAACATGCTTTCTTTTCTGCCTTAGACTAGCATTATTATCACAATCAGGCTAATTCAATGTCCTTAAAAACCTTTTGGGCAATTGTTTTAAAGTATGTTAAATCTCTCTCTATATATATATTTTTGAAACCCAAAAGATCTTTAAGGACTCCATATATATTTAGGTTTACTCAAAAGATTTTGGATTCTGGTGGGCTTCACTCCTTCTTGCTTTTCCAAACTTCCAGCTGGAATAATTTTGATTCTTTCTGAAGAACTTCTATTAGAATTTCTTTTAGTTTGATCTTGATGCTAACCAGTGATTTCACCTTTTATTTGTAGAAAAGCATCTTTCACCTTCCTTTTTGGAGATTTTGGTTGGGTTTTTGTTAGCAGTTATTTTTCCCCAGAATATTAAAGTGAATATTTTATTATATTATCTTTCTATTGAAAAATATGCCATCATATTGTTGCTCCTAGAAAACATAATGTCTTTCTCTGTTTTTCATTGAGATTTTTTTTCTTTAGTTTAGTAGTCAGTTTACTATGCTCTGTGCCTATGGGTATATTTCATTGCATTGATCAGTTTGATATGTTTCATCAGCTAGCAATATTTTAGCCCATTTTTGTTGAAATATTTTTTTTCCTCATTTTCTCACGTCTCTTACAGTAGGGAGTAATAGGGCATGGTATGCTTAATAATGTTATAATGTCCTATATGCCATTTATCTTCTTTTTAATATTTCTCAAGATATTTTTTGTTGATTTATCTTCCAGTTTGTCTTTTTCAATTTGTCCTGCTATAAGAGAATACCACGGAGTAGGTAATTTATAAAGAATAGAAATCTTCTCACAGTTCCAGAAACTGTGAAGTTTAAGATCAAGGCACGGGCATCTGGGGAAGACTGCTTTCTGCCTTCAAGATGGGACCTTAAATGCTGTGTCCTTCAGAGGGGAGAAACACTGTGTCCTCACATGGCAGAAGGTAGAAGGGCACAAAGGACCAAGCTTCCTCCACCAACTCCTTTTATAATGGCATTAGTCCATTCATGAGGGCACTCAGTCTTCATGACCTAAACATCTCACAAAAGGCCCGACGTCTTGACCTGTTTAGTGTTGCTGTGTTGCTATAACAGAATGCCTGAGGCTGAGGGTAATTTATAAAGAAAAGAGGATTATTTGGCTCAAGATTCTGGTGGCTGGAAGTTTCAAGATTGGGCTTCAGTATCTGGTGAGGTCCTCGTGTGCTTGCACGCATGGAGGAAGGTGAAGGAATTCTGGTATGTGCAGAGATCACATGAAGAGAGAAGAAGCAATAGAGAGAAACCAAAGAAGCCAGACTATTTTTAACAATCTGCTTTCCCAAGAACTAATACATTTTTTCAAGAGCCAGAACTCACTCATCCCCCACCTCCACAGAGAGTAATATATTCATTAAGGATCCACCCCATGACCCAAACACCTTTCAGTAGACTCCACCTCCAAACACTGCCACATTTTGGGAATCGAATTTCGACATGATTTTTCACAGGGATAAACCACACCCAAACTGTAGCATCCACATCCCAACTCTGATGCATTGGGAATTAAGTTTCTAACACAGGGATTTTCTGAGAAACGTTCAAGTCGTAACATAGTTCATTGATGATATATTTTTTTTTTTTTTTTGCTGTATCAAGTCTGCTTTTAATGTGTTTACTGAACTCTTAAATTCAAGTATTTTATTTTACAATTTTATATTTTTATTGTCTACTTTTTATAGATTCAAGAGGCTGTTGAAATTCTTATTTTACTCTATATTCTTAACCCTTTTCCCATTTGTTTCAAGAATACTCACTGGCGGCACTTGCAGCTGCGGCATTTATGCTAAGATAACTTTGCCACGAAATATCTCACTTTTATTAATTTTTTTGCATCGTTCCAGTATATAAACTTTGGAAACAAAAGACATCATTCTATTTATGAGCATTCTGTTTTTAGTGTTCATATCTCCATTTGCAAAATATAGTAATTCCTGATCACTGAAAATGTCAAATCCTAGACAATGTAGCATTCCTACACATGATGTTAACATCGTTCTCAAACAGTTGTTGGCCAAAAATTCATTTGATGAATCCAATTTTCCAAAATAGACAATTCTGATGATTCTGATATTATTTCTGTTTAGAAATAACTCCAAGAACAGTTTTTATATTTTATTTTCACAATGAAAATCACTCAGATTTGCTTCAGCCTCAAAGAGAGTGTTAATGTAAAATTAAGAGCACTGGCAGTGAGTTGCACTTTTGTTTCTAGATGGGAAAATGATTAAACATATTAATCACAGTTATTTTAAAGGCCATAATCTGATTTGCCTGTATTAAATGTCTGTTTTTTTCTCATGTTTTCTTTTGGTCCTCTTTATGTTTTAGTGAATGTTAATAATTTTATATAAAATAATTATAAGGCTATGAATGTTATTCTTTTCTCCACAAATAATTTGTTACTTCTGGACATCAGATTACATAAAAACAGTGCATATTGATACAATTGAGGCTAGTCTACCTCAAATGTGTTCTTTTTTCCTAGTCATGGCCTCTCTACTTTATTAACTAGAAGGGTTTCCCAGGGCCATGACACCTTGGAGAGTCCTGAACTCCAACCTTTGTCTCTCTATCCCCTTAAGCTTATTGAGTTTTTCCACTTAGCTTTTATCAATTTTGCCCTATCTGTGCTCATTTGAAAAGCCAGCAAATGTTCTATAGAGAAACTGCATACAGAATGTAGGCAAATATTTGTGTGTGTGTGTGTGTTTCTTCTGAGACCTTGGTGTTTCAAATCCTAGATACCTTAATAGTCTCAAATTTCAGTGTTTTTCTCCCCAGACCAGAGATTACTGAAAACTCTGGGCCACTAATTTCTGCTAGGTCTCTGTGCTTTATATTGTGAATCAGCAAATATCATGAGGGGAAAGCAGGTACAAACGTATGGCTGACCTCAATAAATTCTCCTTCTCATTAGAATGCTGGCCCTTTAAACCCTAAATGACTTAAATTTTCCTCATTTAAAAAAATCTAAGTATATAGTAAGTTTTGACAAGATTAATCTGACAAATACTACTTCATAATAATCAAATTGTTTTCTCTTTGGTTCCCTTCTCTCTTCCCTACTCTCACTCCTGTCCACATACCACCACTTTTCTGGGTACTACTATGACTTTTGTCTACTACTGCTACTGCAGCAGTAATATCACCTTTCTTGGTGGGCACCTTCATATCTCCAAGACAGCTCTTCTGCTACTACTAAGTACCACTGCTAATGCACCAGAAGAACTCTCAAAGTGACACAGGACAAAGCAAAGGATAATTTGTCTCATCTTTTTTTTTTTTTCAGTTCTACTAACCTTTGGTAGAGAAATGCTAAGACAAGAGAGATGGACACTGCCATCTCTTTAATGAAAATAAGTTTCTCTCTAATGCCCATGGGCATATGCTCAGAGACATAGGCCCAGGAAATAACATACTGTTTTTCTTTTATTCACCCTTAATATTAAGACCATCATAAATCATATTTTGTTGTCATATTCTCTCTTTCTCAAGTTAAGGTAAATATCCCAAGAATTTCCACAGACTTATGCAAACAGAGTTTTGGTAGCCTACTTTCTAAGTCAACTTGGGCTGCTATAATGTATTATTTAGACTGGGTAACTCATCAACAACAGGAATTTATTGCTGACAGTTCTGGAGGCTGGGAAACCCAAGATCAAAGTGCCAGAAGATTCAGGGGCTGCAGAGGGCCTGTTCCTCATAGATAATTCCTTCTATGTGTTCTTACATGGCAGGAAGGGTGAATGAGCTCTCTAGCCCCTCTTTTATAAGGGTACTAGTCCCATTCATGAAGACTTCATCCCCTAAAGGCCCCAACTCTTAATACTATTGCACTTGGGTTTGGGCTTCAACATACAAATTATGGTGAGGCACAAGCATCTAGACCATAACATTGATTATATAATTTTGCTAAACCTTAACAAACACATATAGCAATGGTTACAGCCTAGAATAGTGGCTCTCAACTGTGGGTGATTTTGACATCATATTCAGAAGAGATGTGGCACTCTCTGGAGACATTTTTTATTTTCTCACCTTGCGAGGAGAATGTTGCTACTAGCATCTAGTGAGGAGAAACCAAGGATACAGCTAAACATTTCCTAAACATCTATAGGCCAATTTCCAGCTCCTTCATTCTCTTCAAAGAGTGAGCTGACCTAAAATGTCAATAGTGCCAATATTTAGAATCCCTGGCCTAGAGTTAAGTTGGATTCTTTCTGCTTGATAGTAAACTGGCAGAGCTTTTTCAAAGGTAATTGGGAGCCAATTATCAAACGCTTTTGAATGACAAAGAAGAATAGTAATTACCAACATTTCAAATTGTCATATTACAGAGTACTAAGTGCATTTATATATAACAGTAGTGGTGTAGAATTCTAGGAGCTCAATGTTTGTCTATAAGTGACTGACAAGACTTGATAACTACTTGATGTTGGACATAGCAAATTTATAATATCCCCAACATTGAAATTTATGTATTGTTTTTCCAATATCATTCAGCATTTGAAATCTGTAGAAGGAAAGAATACTGATAGTTGGAATGATTCAAGTTTGAGAGCTTTTAGAGCAGATGTGATGAAAAGTAAGGCGGTTCAGAATGGTCAATGTGCTGACAGCGATTGAAATGATACACACTGGGATCAAGGTTTAAAAAAAGGAAAGCTTTGAAGTCAGATTGGAAAATAGACTAAGATTAAAAATGAAGGGAGGAAGTCTCAATGAGGTCAAACATCAAGCATTTTGAGGAAATTAAAAGTTGGAACAATAAGAACGTGTGATAAAAATTAATATATGGGAATTTAAGAAGTTAGAAGTGGTACAACTTATATGATAGCAGCATTCAATGTTTGGCCAGGAGACTAAATTGATAAAATTGAACAAAAATAAATGCTTATATTTATTTGAGATATCTTTGACTAGGTAGTTGTTAGATGGTGTATTTGTCAGAGAATGATCCATAATAAATCACCCTAAAATTTAGTGGCTTAAGCAGTAAGTGTTTTTCTCTGTCATATTGCTACAGTCATTTATGAGGCTCTGTTTCAGGTTGTAGATTGGTTGTGATTGGCTCAAAACTTTGGTTTTGAATCAGAAATCTTCACATCTTTTTTCCTTTTCATTGGTTCAACAGCTATCCAGGGTATATTCTCATGGAGAATGGCAACCACACAACAGGGCAAGCAGAAAAAAACTCAGTGTTTCATGATCCCTGCCCCAAACTAGCAAATTGCCATTTCTTCCCATATCCTATTGGCCAAAGCAAGATGCACACATAAAAAGTCCAATAATAATAGAAATAAGAAACATACACTACCCTAAATGCAAGGAATTGCAAAGGCAAAAAGAAAAGTGCATTTTGTTAGAGAAAGAGCTTTACATTTTCCAAAAAATGATTCACTGTATCACAGATAAGTAACCCCCCCAGGCTATCAAATGCACTATGTTAGACACTTAAGAATTTATTCGAAGAAATAACTATGAAGGGAAAGAGGAAGGGGAAAGAAGCAGGCATAGGTAAGAACTTCAGACCACAGTGCTGGTCTGACACATCTAGCAAGAGAAGGAAAAGGAAAAAGGATTAGGTCAGAAGAGTCTCACATTGCTGTAAGAAAGTCATGGCTGGAACAATGGGAAGTCCTTGAGCCAAAGCTTCCCAGATGAGTCTCACTTACCATGGGTATAGCTCAGTTTTTGCTTAGGAGTAGCCAGGGAAAAGCATAGCTTTAATATAAAGGCAATGATGGGCCGAAAGAGTTGATATCTGGGGCTGTCGGTCAACTCCACTTCCCCCATTAGAAAATCTAAATGGTGCAGTTTCACGACTGCCATAGTCCCACTATACATTGGTGTGTGGGAATCAACAAAGTTCTCAATGAATGAAGGAAAGGTACCACCAAGTAGATGAAGATAATAGTGCTGACAGTAATGAGAATGATTAAAGTACAGTGATTTGATATAGAGCACAGAGATTTTGAATAGTTTATTTGAATGAAACCCATGATGGCTGCAAGTGATCTCTTCTTAATAGTTCACGTTATCACTTTAATAATGCTTTACCATATTGCCAACAAATATTATCCATTTCACCAATTTTCATTTTTTGCCACCTTCTAGAAAAGTCAATATTGATCTTTCATTCATTTCTAAAAATCACACTTCTCTAGGAATACTTGAATATTAATCTTGAAAACTGTTGGACTAAATATTACAAATATTTCCCTAAGTTTAGCTATAATGTATTTGGATATAAAAACATGAGCTTATTTAAGCACAAATCCTTCTTAATAAATTAGAACTTTAGTTATTTGGTTGCCTTTGTATAAATTTCAATATTTTCTTCTCAGAGTTGGTTCATCCAATTGTAGTTCTTTGCTCCAAATTTAAACTTGCGTGACTGAATCATTAGCATTTTTCATAAGTCACAGCTCATTCTGAGAGTAATTTTTTAAATGTCTTATTGAATATATACTATTCTTTCTGTCTTTTAAATATGCTTAGCACAGGCCAGGCGTGGTGGCTTACGCCTGTAATCCCAGCACTTTGGGAAGCCGAGGCAGACGGATCACAAGGTCAGGAGATCGAGACCATCCTGGCTAACACGGTGAAACCCTGTCTCTACTAAAAATACAAAAAATCAGCCGGGCGTGGTGGCGGGTGCCTGTAGTCCCAGCTACTCTGGAGGCTAAGGCAGGAGAATGGCGTGAACCCGGGAGGCGGAGGTTACAGTGAGCCGAGATTGCGCCACTGCACTCCAGCCTGGGCGACAGAGCGAGACTCCGTTTCAAAAAAAAATGCTTAGCACAATGGATGAAGGACCACAATGGATGAAGGAGTACAATGGATGAAGAAGTGGGTTTTGGAGTCAGACAAACCTGTGCTTGATACCTGGCTCTGCCATTCGATAGGGCACGCTTCTATTGGTCCCTTATATCCCTTCATCGGAAGGGAATAGTGCTTGCTAGCACAACCCACACTCCTGGCCTCTTCTATAGGAGTAATTCAATTATTAAGTGGAAGGAGAAATCGAGGATCCACAGCCTAGCCTCTGCCTTTCTCCTTCATCTAGGGAAATGACCTGTCTCTCACATGTCTTAGTTAGCTCATCTTTGCCATGCAAAGGAATCGCATTCCTAAATGAACAGCCTGTGGTAGCCCAGTAATGCCTGTAATTTAGCCCAGTAATGCCTGTAATTGCCTGAATTTAAAATGTTGTGTCTAATTATAGGATTGAGTTTCACTAAGTTCACTCACTCACAGATATATTTTGCGTTCTTTAAAATTAGCTTAGCCAGTAATAAAAGTAAAAATTAAAATTTACTACTTGACATATTTCATTTATTCTAAACTACATATTATTTTGAGATTTTAATACCTCTAAAGTTAATTGAATCTTACCATCACTGCTAGCTACCCTATTTTTGTGTTTATTTACCTTTGAACTTCTCTAAAAATTGCATGAATCTTAACACTAATTGGGTCTTAAATTTGGTGAAAGATGCCAAATCACTATACACTTCTTGACGTTATTTCTCAATTGTCTCAGAATTCAGACAGAGGAATGCATGCTATTCATTGGCTCCTTATTAGCTACATCTCAAAACTTTAAGGAATATTAATTTATCTTCACCTCAATGTTCTCATATGCAAACAAAAATTTATTACTATTTGCCAGATACTATATCATGTGGTCTACATATTTTAGCAAATGTAATCCCTCATAGCATCACCATGAGGGAACTAAAGAAATGAAAAATTTAAACAATTGACTTGGGGGTCACATGGCTAGTAAGTAGAAAAGTCGGGATTGGAAACCAGGCTATCTAGTTTTAGATAAGAAACTTTTACCTAAGAAACTCTATCTCGTAGGGTTATCATAAAGCTTAAATGAAATAATTTATGGAAAGCATTTAACACATTTTACACAGCAAAGAGTAATTGTTTCATAAATGATATGATGCTTATTTTTGTTATCAGTCCTTTTATACATCGAGTTAATCAGACATCCTCTTGGTATAAAGGGAAAAATATGTTGAGGTAAGAGAAAGCAAAATCCAAATTCCAACTTTGCAATTAGTTACACTATAATCTTCAAAAATTATTTAAACTTTGTCTTTTTCAGTTTCTTCTGCAGTAAAAAAGAGTTATAAATGTTATAGGGTTGTCATGAAGATAGACATTTCTTTAGCAAATATTTACCAACTTGGATTATGTAGCACACACTACATAATTCTAGGCACTGATGGTAGAGGAAAACGTATATTCTAGTAATATAAAATAAAACAGACAAAAATCTGTTTTTCAACATTCCAGGGGTGATAATGTATGACATACAATAAGCACTCAGATTTACCTTTTAAATATTAAAATTTTAGGTTGCCCCTCTTACCGTAATGAATAGTAAATGTCCTAGTCTGTTAAAATATAAAAGGACAATATCCATCTACCTAAGTGATGTAGTCTTTTCTGATCTGCCTTTTAATTTTATAACTTTTATCTTTCAGATAAGGAAATAACACTCTATAATAATCTTTACCAGGTAATTTTACTTACTGATATTTTATTCTTTACTTTGTTTCCCAAAGGTTTATAGTTCTTGTTTTGCATATAGTCATATTTGTAAGCTTACTGAATAATCATTTTTATTTTTTCTCAATGGAGCTATGATTTGATATAAGAACTTCTGTGATAGCTACAATCATCTTTGAATATGTATTTTACCAAATACTTGATGTGACGTTTGCTCTAGGTACCTGCCAAGTTCTAATATGTTCTCTGATCATTCTATTGTGCCTGATTAGATATGCTTTGAGTAGTGTCACTTTAAACTTTAAAAAATGCCAGCCTTATTAGCATCAGCACTGACAAACTTCTTCATTAAGCTGCCGATCCCATCAATGATTTAGTTTACAGGAGCTTAAAAAGTATAAGTTGTAAACATTTTCCTTCTACTACATTTAAAAATTTTTAAATATTATAGACTCAATTGGTTATATATACACATATATATATATATATATATAATTTATTTATTTATTTTAATTTTGAAAGTACTTAGTTCTGAAAGTGACTTTTGGATGTCCGCTAATTTCACCTTCATTTTTTGCCATTGAACCGTGAGGCTCCTTGCAAGATCACCTAGGAAATAACAGGAACCGGGACTTGATCTGAGTTCCATGCCATTTTCTCTCTACACTCTGTACACGCTGTTCTTTTGTGGAGATCTACATTTTTCTCTCTTGCTGCCCTTTTCTTCTTTATTCTCTTTTGCCCTATTTCTGTTCTGTCTATGTAATTTTATTCTATGTTTTAAACTCAAAGCTTTGTGTCTCTTTTTCCCTCTCCTTTGTTTCTCTGTCCATAAATTATATTTATTTACAGTACCGTATATGTTGTGTGACAAATTAATTGCAAGACTATTATGAAGCAAATTGATTCCTTGTATATGAGTTACCAAAGTAGCATAAAATAGCTGTACAGGAAGTTTAAAATCAAACTAAAAAGACTGGATGCTTATAAAATTAGAAAATAGGAAGAGCATGAGTTAAGTAACGACGTAGGAAAACATCTTATATACAAAAGAAAAAAAGCAAAAAATAGAGGATCTTAGCTTTCAGCTACCTTATTAGCTCTTTGCAAAAACTATTTAATCAAATCCTTTTGTAACACTGTCAGGGAATTATTATTGAGGAAAATAATCTCAGAAAAGTCAGTAATAGATTACTTAATTCCATGAAACTACTTGTCAAGGCTGAGAATTAAATTCAAGTCTATGTGTCTCCAAAAATCCACATTCTTTTTGAGCTGCTTGCCCTTTCTAATGGTGGCCCTAATCATTTCCACAGGGAGAAATATAGTAAAGTTGGTTATTTGGCTAATTATATTGCCTAAATCATTTTCATTGAAAGTGAAGAGAAAAAAATCAAATCAGTTAAATCAAGTTGATCACTTTTTTTCTTTTGATCTTGATACACTGGCTTTATACCTAATTGGCTAGTTCTTAGAACTGATTGGCAGGTGTGATAAAGCTCATTAAATCAACTCTTGTTAAAAAAGAAATGATTGCTATCTAAATATGGTATCAAGTTTAAGGATTCTCATATGTGTCACAATTTCCTCAATCTTCAGGGATGTAAGCCAACTTTGCATATAAAAATTTGCACATGTCGCATGATGTCAATTTCCAGTCATTAGGCTCTGACACACTTTATATGATACTTTCTAACATATACAACATATAATGCATTGATAATGAGAATCCTGAATTGTGCATATGATTTTTTTAAGTAACAAATTAGAGGAGATTAGAGTATTCCTATAACAAAGTCACTTGCTTTCATTTGCAGTACTGAATCTTGAGAGACAATTCTCTTGTGTTTCTGCATATCTTGTGAGCAGACGAAAGATGATCTGACTGCTCTTTGCTCTGGACTATCATTTAAAGGGTAATTGTATAGTGAACAGCCATGGAGCATTATGATAGAATCTCTCCTTTTAGCAAAGGGCAGATTTACAGCCTTGGGAAACAGAATCAATGATTCCCTCTAAAGCAATGAGAAGGCATATTCATGGTGCAGTGTAAAGGATTCAGAGTCCATGAAAGCAGAAGCCCTCTCGTGAACCCTACTTGTGAGTGCAATTGTTAACTGACAGCCTTCTTGATGTTGTTCTGTAGGAATTAGGGATCAGGGAACCAGAGCAAAAATATAATAATGTGGCTATTTCTATTCTATGAGTAGTAATGTATCCTTTGTCTCTGACCCAGGAGACTTATGTCTTTTGCCAACATCCATGAAACTGTGGCAAGCTAACATGTTAGCTTACAAGTAGAGGAAGCCCTTGCCCTTTCACAGTTATAGACTGAACAGAAGACTTGCTCCTAAAAATACTTCTAGAAAATAATAGCAAGCCCTTGACAGAGGAAGCAGCTTGGAAAGGAGATAAGCTTAAAATTTTTTGATAGGGTTGTTTTGTATAGAGCTTGTGGCCCTAGACTTGTTTTACCTTACCTTGTCTGGAGGTAACTTAAAAATGATTCATTATTTAACATGCTGTTATTGCATTTCAAACTTTCTTTGGTTTAGTATTTTAGGGCCAAATTTAAGCATAAGTCTAAATTTCTTTCTTAAAATCTTCCCTTATAATTTTTTATTTTACCAAATTTATCATAGTTTAACCAATCTACCAAAGACTGTGTAACTCCTTTTCAGTAGAAAGACTTAGAAAAGTTCAGACTTCTATAAAAATAATTATTGTGAAACAATATTATAGTATAATAAAAGTAAATTAAACCTCTTGTTTGAAACTGCTATCTTCATTTTATATTTTACAATTCAGTAAAATTTTTACATATTTTAGTTCACTATTTTTTATTAGTCATTGTTTTTAAAAAGTAATTGGCTTATTCTTTAAAAATGTGTCATTTGATGCTTAGTTTTTAAGAAATATCATGGGAAGTCAGGATATTTAGAATATAAAATATAACAGGCCTAAAAAATCAGCATAAAAATTAAAATGTTAATTTTTTAAAACTAACATTAACATGGAACAGAAAAATAAAAGTTTGATTATTTATAATGTCAGATTGCATAGAATCTATGTTTTTCCTGTTTAGATCATTAACACTTAACATTCATTGACTTATGGTAGATTGTAGTCTCCAAATAAAGTCAATTGTATAGAGAAAATGTCACTCTTTTCTCTGATGTAAAGTTTTGTTAGAATTAGAAAAATTACAGATTTAAATATCTAATACCAAAAACAGCACGTAGTTTCAATCAAAAATTACCTTTCCTCATGTTGACATTTGAAATCTCAATGTACTTATAAGGAAGAATTTAATTATCTCCTTAACACTTTAACCCTAGTTTCTGCTGCATTTTTCTGTAGAATGGTTATATAACACTAGACATTAGTGAGTGTGAGCAGAACCTTAGAAAGTGTGAATATCACTTTCATAGATTTTTCTTACAGCCTTTCTTTGCTGCCTGCTATTAAACCCACTTAATCAGCACCCTGATAAATGGTGCATCCACTTAATTGGAACAATTTCCAAGGAGGAGAATTAGTGTAGTTCATTTCAATGACTCCAAACAATGGATAAATTGCACACAGAGTCCATTTAAATAGCACCCCTGATGTTGTCTGTAGGCCTAAAACAGGTGTGAATTGGTATTTGCCAGCATGAACTTCCCACTGTATAACCTTTTTTCTGGTGTCCTGCTGCTTTCCTGTTCTACTACAGCTGTTAAATTAGGTTATCTCACTTTGGATGAGATCGTTAAAGTTGCTGAAGCTCTCATTCCCCAGTAACATGGTCACATGAGCAATATGCCAATAATAAAGGAAAGTAAGCAAATTGAGACAGAATAATTGAGTAATTATATTCTGAACAAGAGAAATGAAATGCAGTCAACATACTTTTTTTTAAGCTCACAACACCACAATATTGGAATAATTCTCAAGCTAATGTGAAAAGAATATCAGGACCCTTACATCTCAATGTATACATCTTCTGAAAGTTGTAATAGAAGCTTGGAATAGGTTTTCAAATGAGGAGCTAGGTGGGAAAATATCTTGAATTTCTGGTTTACATGTTGTTGCATATATGGGTATGACCTTTTGGTAATCAAGACAAGTGATTAATTAACACATTTATTTTTTCAGAATCTGTGCTAATTAAACATATTCTATTTTTCCGGTTTCCTTTAAAACTAAATCCATATGCAAAATGTCTCTGTCTTCCTACATGTTTGTTTATTTATCTTGTGAATCTGTTTGTTGAAATCTGTTCATAAAAGAGGTTGAGACTAGAGATCTAAGAGTAGGAGTTAGGAGAATTAAGACTAATTTCCCCTAAATCCCTGATGTACATTCTCACTGTAAACTTTGGCACCCTTCGAAGTGATGAACTTCATGAAACTCTAGAAGGAAGGGGTAGATGACATGCTAGAGATCATTTTATGCGAGTTCTTATTTTGCACATGAGAAATTTAAATCCTAGACAGATTTAGGTTTGTTTCAAGTTGTCTCAGACAGTTAGTGGTGGAGCCAGACTTCTTGGGTCTTTTTCAAGACCTTTCTCATTCTCTCCTTCCTCCATATGACAGTGTCAGTTTTATCAAACATCAAGTAGATAATAGGAATTGATGAGTATAAACTGTTTACATGTTCATTGATCTATGGTAGTATTTCTGCAGGCTTTAGCATTCTAAGTAATTATTCTTGCATTCACCTACTCATTCATTTATTCACCCTTCCAGAAAAAAATGCATGAGTTCTTGCCATATGTCAAGACAGTGATAGGCCCCAGAGATTCTAAGAATTTCCATATCCCTGCCTTCAGGGATTTCACAGTGAGATCAGCCCTAGTATTTGGAGAATTATACATTTAATTACTACCCTTTATGACTTTGCTAAATAACAGGCATTGTTTACAGCCTTTGCATATCATCTCATTTAACCCTCACTACAAACTTAGGAAATAGGTATCGTTGACTACATTATGCAGGTGAGAAAAATTAGATTCAGAGAAGGTAAGCACCACCCTTTCAAACCTGCTCAGCCAGTAAGTCACATCTGAACTCAAGGTGCAGGCTCTTTCTGCTTCCTATTCCATCTCCCATAAAGAATGACTGGAATTTAATATGTATCTACCTCATGGCATTATAGGAAAATTTGGCCGTGGAAAATGAATGTGTTGATGCTGTGAGAAGCTAACCTCACTCATTCAAGAGTGGGAGTAGTCTGCCCTAACAGTACAGCAGTGCTTTAGCTCAGGACACAGAGCTAAAAGAAAAAGGGAACTCAGGTATTTCTTTCCACTCTAATTAATAAACTAAACCTGAGTATGTGCTTCTCTCAAACCTTTCCTTTTCAATTTTGGAAAAGCTAAAAAGATGACTCTGAAAATAGAGGCTTAACATTGAAGTAGGACATTACCCTGGCCATTTTGCAGGCAGAAACTGGAGTGCAGGGGCACTGGAACTAGCCAGCCACTCTGGCGCTGGCAGGGGCGAATTCCACTCACTCAGACCCTCTGTGCTTCACCCCTCTCAGGATGGGGAGTATGCAGGTGAGTGGGTGCAGAAGCCCGGGTGAGCACTTTTGGGTGCCAGCAGGAGGAAAACTCTGTGTTGGCCCCACAGCAGCATCTAGTGGCGACTGCCTATGACCCCAGAAGTCCCAGAGGGGAGTGTTACAGTCAGTATTCTTTTAGCTTTGTTGTCTGTGGATGGCTTAAGTGTTAACAGCTCAGTGGAGGGTCAGTGTGACAGCCTTCTGCACCCACACCCAAGTTCTTGTCCAGTATCCAGGAGGAACAAGGTCACACAAATGAATTGAAGACAGTAAATGTGGGGGATTTTATTGCTGATGAAAGTGGACCTCAGAGGGAAGGGAAGCTGAAAAGGGGACAGAGCGGTTGGGAGGTAATCTTCCCCTGAAGTCAGGCTGTCGCCAGCCAGACTCTTCTCCAAAGCTATAAGGCCAAGCCATCTCTCTGAAGTCAAGCTGCTTCTCTCTGATATCCAACCGTAGTGTCTGATGCCCAGCTGCTTCCCAACTCTCTCTGCTGGCCGAGCCTGGGGTTTATATGGGCACAGGATGGGGGGTGGTGCGGGCCATGGGTGGTTTTGGAAAGGCAACATTTGAGCAGGAAAACAGAGATGTAAGTTCTCCCGTTGGGCACTGGTTCTAGGCTTGAGGGTGGGGCCCTCACCAGGGACCTGCCCTCTTCTGTCTAGAATTTCCCTGCCTTCTGTCCCTATCAATATCACATCTTTTAGCCTTTCATTTGGATGTCACAGTTATTTCTTGAAGGTGTAGAAACTGAGATAAATCATCACTACTATTGCTGAGAACATTTATTCAGGTGAAAAACAAAGGCAACAATGCAAAAGAATTGGGCTAAGGCCAGGCAAGGTGGCTAACACCTGTAATCCCAACACTTTGAGAGGCCAAGGCGGGAGGATCACTTTCAAGACCAGCCTGGGCAACCTATTGAGACCCCATCTCTATGAAAAATAGACAAAACTAGCTGGGCGTGGTGGTGCACCCCTATAGTCCTAGCTACTCGGGAGGCTGAGATAGGAGGATTGCTTGAGCCCAGGAGGCAAAGGCTGCAGGGATTCAGGATCATGCCACTGCACTCCAGCTTGAGCCACAAAGTGAGACTCTGTCTCTAAAAGAACAACAACAACTAAACAACAACAAAAGGGCAACATGTACACCTGAGCAGAAAAAGTGGGCCTGGTTATAGGAACATGGCCCATTTACATGTATATATATGAAGATGAAGCCTTTGGAGGAAGAAATTGTCAGGCCTCTGAGCCCAAGCCAAGCCATCGCATCCCCTGTGACTTGCATGTATACATCCAGATGGCCTGAAGTAACTGAAGATCCACAAAAGAAGTAAAAATAGCCTTAACTGATGACATTCCACCATTGTGATTTGTTTCTGCCCCACCCTAACTGATCAATGTACTTTGTAATCTCCCCCATCCTTAAGAAGGTACTTTGTAATTCTCCCCACCCTTGAGAATGTACTTTGTGAGATCCACCCCTGCCCGCAAAACATTGCTCTTAACTTCACCACCTATCCCAAAACCTATAAGAACTAATGATAATCCACTACCCTTTGCTGACTCTCTTTTCGGACTCAGCCCGCCTGCCGCCAGGTGAAATAAACAGCCATGTTGCTCACACAAAGCCTGTTTGGTGGTCTCTTAACACGGACGCGCATGAAATTTGGTGCCGTGACTCGGATCGGGGGACCTCCCTTGGGAGATCAATCCCCCGTCCTCCTGCTCTTTGCTCTGTGAGAAAGATCCACCTATGACCTCAGGTCCTCAGACTGACCAGCCCAAGAAACATCTCACCAATTTCAAATCCGGTAAGTGGCCTCTTTTTACTCTCTCCTCTAACTTCCCTTACTATCCCTCAACCTCTTTCTCCTTTCAGTCTTGGCGCCACACTTCACTCTCTCCCTTCTCTTAATTTCAGTTCCTTTCATTTTCTGGTAGAGACAAAGGAGACACGTTTTATCCGTGGACCCAAAACTCCAGCGCCAGTCACAGACTGGGAAGGCAGCCTTCCCTTGGTGTTTAATCTTTTCAGGAATGCCTCTCTGATTATTCACTCACATTTCAAAGGTGTCAGACCACACAGGGACGCCTGCCTTGGTCCTTCACCCTTAGTGGCAAGTCCCACTTTTCTGGGGGAGGGGCAAGTACCCCAACCCCTTCTCTCCATGTCTCTACCCCTTCTCTGCTTTTCTGGGGGAGGGACAAGTACCCCTCAACCCCTTCTCCTTCACCCTTAGTGGCAAGTCCCGCTTTTGTAGTGGGCAAGAACCCCCGATCCCTTATTTCCACACCCCAACCTCTTATCTCTGCACCCTAATCCCTTATTTCCACACCCTGACCCCTTTCCCACTTTTCTGGAGGGTAAGAACCCCCGAACTACTTCCCTCCATGTCTCTACTCTTCCTTTTCTTTAAACTTGCCCCCTTCACTATGGGCAACCTTCCACCCTCCATTCCTCCTTCTTCTCCCTTAGCCTGTGTTCTCAAGAACTTAAAACCTCTTCAACTCACACCTGACCTAAAACCTAAATGCCTTATTTTCTTCTGCAATGCCGCTTGACCCCAATACAAACTTGACAGTAGTTCCAAATAGCCGGAAAACGGCACTTTCAATGTTTCCATCCTACAAGATCTAAATAATTCTTGTCGTAAAATGGGCAAATGGTCTGAGGTGCTTGATGTCCAGGCATTCTTTTACATGTTGGTCCCTTCCTAGTCTCTGTGCCCAATGCAACTCATCCCAAATCTTCCTTCTTTCCCTCCCGCCTGTCCCCTCAATCCCAACCCCAAGCGTCACTGAGTCTTTCTAATCTTCCTCTTCTACAGACCCATCTGACCTCTCCCCTCCTCGCCAGGCTGAGCTAGGTCCCAATTCTTCCTCAGCCTCTGCTCCTCCACCCTATAATCCTTTTATCACCTCCCCTCCTCACACTCCGTCCGGCTTACAGTTCTGTGACTAGCCCTCCCCCACCTGCCCAGCAATTTACTCTTAAAAAGGTGGCTACAGATAAAGGCGTAGTCATGGTTAATGCTCCTTTTCTTTATCCCAAATCAGATAGCGTTTAGGCTCTTTTTCATCAAATATAAAAACCCAGCCCAGTTCGTGGCTCGTTTGGCAGCAACCCTGAGACGCTTTACAGCCCTAGACCCTAAAAGGTCAAAAGGCCGTCTTATTCTCAATATACATTTTATTACCCAATCTGCTCCCGACATTAAATAAAACTCCAAAAATTGGAAGCTGGCCCTCAAACCCCACAACAGGACTTAATTAACCTCACCTTCCAGGTGTACAATAATAGAAAAAAGTTGCAATTCCTTGCCTCCACTGTGAGACAAACCCCAGCCACATCTCCAGCACACAAGAACTTCCAAACGCCTGAACCACAGCAGCCAGGCGTTCCTCCAGAACCTCCTCCCCCAGGAGCTTGCTACACATGCTGGAAATCTGGCCACTGGGCCAAGGAATGCCCGCAGCCCAGGATTCCTCCTAAGCCATGTCCCATCTGTGTGGGACCCCAATGAAAATCGGACTGTTCAACTCACCTGGCAGCCACTCCCAGAGCCCCTGGAACTCCGGCCCAAGGCTCTCTGACTGACTCCTTCTCGGCTTAGCAGCTGAAGACTGATGCTGCCCGATCGCCTCAGAAGCCCTGTAGCCCATCACAGATGCCGAGCTTCGGGTAACTATCACAGTGGAAGGTAAGTCTGTCCCCTTAATCAATATGGAGGCCACCCACTCCACAGTACCTTCTTTTCAAGGGCCTGTTTCCCTTGCCTCCATGCCTCCATAACTGTTGTGGGTATTGATGGCCAGGCTTCTAAACCTCTTAAAATTCCCCAACTCTGGTGCCAACTTAGACAATACTCTTTTAAGCACTCCTTTTTTAGTTATCCCCACCTGCCCAGTTCCCTTATTAGACTGAGACACTTTAACTAAATTATCTGCTTCCCTCACTATTCCTGGACTACAGCTACATCTCATTGCTGCCCTTCTTCCCAATCCAAAGCCTGTTATCACTCGCCTGCTACAGAATGGCCTTTTAAAGCCTATAAACTCTCCTTACAATTCCCCCATTTTACCTGTCCTAAAATCAGACAAGCCTTACAAATTAGTTCAGGATCTGCGCCTTATCAACCAAATTGTTTTGCCTATCCACCCTGTAGTGCCAAACCCATATACTCTCCTATCCTCAATACCTCCCTCTACAACCCATTATTCTGTTCTAGATCTCAAATATGCTTTCTTTACTATTCCTTTGCACCCTTCATTCCAGCGTCACTTCGCTTTCACTTGGACTGACCCTGACACCCATCAAGCTCAGCAAATTACCTAGGCTGTACTGCCGCAAACCTTCACAGACAGCCCCCATTACTTCAGTCAAGCCCAAATTTCATCCTCATCTGTTACCTATCTTGGCATAATTCTCATAAAAACACACGTGCTCTCCCTGCTGATCGTGTCCCATTAATCTCCCAAACCTCAATCCCTTACAAAACAACAACTCCTTTCCTTCCTAGGCATGGTTAGTGCAGTCAGAATTCTTACACAAGAGCCAGGACCACACCCTGTAGCCTTTCTGTCCAAACAACTTGACCTTACTGTTTTAGCCTAGCCCTCATGTCTGCATGCAGCGGCTGTCGCTGCTTTAATACTTTTAGAGGCCCTAAAAATCACAAACAATGCTCAACTCACTCTCTACATTTCTCATAACTTCCAAAATCTACTTTCTTCCTCATACCTGACGCATATACTTTCCACTCCCTGGCTCCTTCAGCTGTACTCACTCTTTGTTAAGTCCCACAATTACCATTGTTCCTGGCCCGGACTTCAATCTGACCTCCCACATTATTCCTGATACCACACCTGACCCCCATGACTGTATCTCTCTGATCCACCTGATATTCACCTCATTTCCCCATATTTCCTTCTTTCCTGTTCCTCACCCTGATCACGCTTGATTTATTGACGGCAGTTCCACCAGGCCTAATCGCCACCTACCAGCAAAGGCAGGCTATGCTATAGAACAAGCCACTAGCCCGTCTCTTAGAACCTCTCATTTCCTTTCCATCATGGAAATCTATCCTCAAGGAAGTAACTTCTCAGTGTTCCATCTGCTATTCTACTACTCCTCAGGGATTATTCAGGCCCCCTCCCTTCCCTACACATCAAGCTTGAAGATTTGCCCCCACCCAGGACTGGCAAATTAGCTTTACTCAACATGCCCCGAGTCAGATAACTAAAATGCCTCTTAGTCTAAGTAGACACTTTCGCTAGATAAGTAGAGGCCTTTCCTACAGGGTCTGAGAAGGCCACCGCAGTCATTTCTTCCCTTCTGTCAGACATAGTTCCTCAGTTTAGCCTTCCCACCTCTATACAGTCTGAAAACAGACCAGCCTTTATTAGTCAAATCAGCCAAGCAGTTTTTCAGGCTCTTAGTATTCAGTGAAACCTTTATATCCCTTACGGTCCTCCGTCTTCAAGAAAAGTAGAATGGACTAAAGGTCTTTTAACAACACACCTCACCAAGCTCAGCTACCAACTTAAAAAGGACTGGACAATACTTCTACCACTTTCCCTTCTCAGAAGTCAGACCTGTCCTCAGAATGCTATAAGGTACAGCCCATTTAAGCTCCTGTATAGACGCTCCTTTTTATTAGGCACCAGTCTCATTCCAGACACCAGACCAACTTAGTTAGACTGTGCCCCAAAAAAACTTGTCATCCCTATTATCTTCTGTCTAGTCATACTCCTATTCACCGTTCTCAACTACTCATACATGCCCTGCTCTTGTTTACACTGTTTCTCCAAGCCATCACAGATGATATCTCCTGGTGCTATCCCCAAAATGCAGCTCTAAACTCCTGAAGTAAATAAATAATCTTTGCTGGCAGGACTATGCGGAACCTCCTTAGGCACTCTCTAATTAGATGTCCTAGGTCCTCCCAATTCTTAGACCTTTTATACCTGTTTTTCTCCTTCTCTTATTCCATTTAGTTTCTCAATTCATACAAAACCATATCCAGGCCATCACCAATCATTCTATACGACAAATGCTTCTTCTAACATCCCCACAATATCACCCCTTACCACAAGATCTCCCTTCAGCTTAATCTCTCCCACTCTAGGTTCCCACGCCGCCCCTAATCCCGCTTGAAGCAGCCCTGAGAAACATCGCCCACTCTCTCTCCATACCACCTCCCAAAAATTTTCGCCGCCCCAACACTTCAACACTATTTTGTTTTATTTTTCTTATAAATATAAGAAGGCAGGAATGTCAGGCCTCTGAGCCCAAGCCAAGCCATCGCATCCCCTGTGACTTGCATGTATACATCCAGATGGCCTGAAGTAACTGAAGATCCACAAAAGAAGTAAAAATAGCCTTAACTGATGACATTCCACCATTGTGATTTGTTTCTGCCCCACCCTAATTGATCAATGTGCTTTGTAATCTCCCCCACCCTTAAGAAGGTACTTTGTAATTCTCCCCACTGTTGAGAATGTACTTTGTGAGATACACCCGTGCCCGCAAAACATTGCTCTTAACTTCACCGCCTATCCCAAAACCTATAAGAACTAATGATAATCCACCACCCTTCGCTGACTCTCTTTTCGGACTCAGCCCGCCTGCACCCAGGTGAAATAAACAGCCATGTTGCTCACACAAAGCCTGTTTGATGGTCTCTTAACACGGATGTGCATGAAAGAAATCACAAAATCTCAAGAAGTCACTGCATATCACCTAGAATGTGGCACAAGGTATAGGGGGCATGAAGTAAGAACTTGAGAGTCAGGACCCAAATAACACTTCTGATTGGCATTTTAAATGTAAACATGGAAACAACATTGTGGGTTTAATCATACAATCTATGGAACTGAACAAATATTTAATGCGTATAACATTGCACATGCCATCACCAAATCTAAATTTACACCCCTGGAACATATCCCTCCAAATTATACTTTATCTACTTTAAATATTGCCCCAAAGTATGCTGTATTGCCTTACAATATTTCCATTCTGATTCCTTAACTGTATATTATAATTTTGGTACACAAAGTGTATCTATAGTTTTAAAAAAGTGAAATAATAAAAAAGTATTAGGATTAAAAAGAAATTGTAAAAAACATCTAATGTAATGGTGTCTTTTTTGAACAGATGGCAAATCTTAACTTTTATTTTTGCAACGCACATATTGTTAACACTTGACCTGGTATGTTCCCTTTGGATGATTATAACATGTTAAAGCAAAGAAAAAACAACTAAAACTGTTATCCCGTTAGCAACTAAGATTCATTTGATATAGCCAAGCATTGCTAAATTATCTGGCAAAACGAGGTATTTTGTATATCTATTTTAGGAACATAAACTAGTCATTACAAAGGATAGTGACAAGCAGGTATGTTGCAAATTTCAGATTAATTAAAATGCTGTTTAACAAGCCCTATTAGAATGCAAATGTTTTTCATGATTGCTGTCACAAGCTGGCTTTTTTTTTTCCCCTGGATTTCCTATCCATTTACACCTTTCTATTCCCCCATCCCCAGCCTCCATTCATTTGCATTGAAGTGAACCCAAGCAAAGCAACATTAGCCTAATGCATGAGAACAATGAGGTGAAGAAAAAAAGACAGAAGAAGTAAGTCTAATTACTCTAGTTTCATAGAATAAGCTTTTAAGGCTAAGTTCACACTAGGGCAATTACCCACCTAATTGCTCTAGTTTGAAGCTAGTTTGAATAGATGTTTTCAGCAATGTGAGGAGAAAACATGCAAATTCAGTGGATTAGTTTGATCTCTATTGCCCTTTTTATTAAAGAAAAGCCCCTTGAAGTAGTGAGATGACATTCCTTGAACATACTTCTAATGTACCACAAAGCCTTTCCTGATAGACTGCAAACCAGTGGAATCACATCTAAATCCATGTACTAACTTTAATAACCCATCAGTGAACAGAAAAACAAAAGTGTTCCTAAAAATACATTGCCTCCATTTGCAGAGATGTATCTAGCAATGTGAAATGTAACAAATGCATTATTTTATATTTCAAAACACTTTTATTGTTTGTTTAAAAGAATTCTCAAAAGTGATGTCCTAATATAACTGGTTATAACATGAGCCCCTTAACTGCAAGCTTGATGTATTTATGAGTTAAAATTGATTGATAAAATATTCAATGAGATGCAGTTCTTAAATAACAGCTGATGAAAGAGTCTTTCATTAAAAGGCAGGAAGGGGGAAGGAAGGAAGGGAGGGAGGGAAGGAGGGAGAGACACAGGGAGGAAGGAGGGAGAATGGGTAAAGTGGGTTGAGTAAAGAGAAAATTAAAAATGGTGAGGGGAAGTGAGTCCTGAAGACAATAAAGTTCAGGCTTCTGGCAAAGCATATGCTGCTGCTATGGGTTGAAATCTCTTTCAGAAACTTCTTGGATGTGAAGGTAGAGAAAGATACAAAGAGAATCATTCAAAGCTTGAATTAAATTGTCTAAGCAAACGTCCTCATTGTAATAATAAGAAAACTACATTTCAGAGAACTGTCGGAGTCACAGAAATAATTAATTGTACCGCCTGCTCTTAAAGCTAGGTCTTCTGAATGCCAGTCTGTCTAGTAGAGGTTAACACATGGGAAGATCAAGTAGAAGCCCACCCAGATCAGTTTACCGGGCTAGGAAGAGAGCAGGGATGCCTCTTAACTGCAGCCTACCTTTAGGGGACCAGAAAGTGAATATCAAAAAAATAAAGCAGGGAACCTGAGTCCTATAAGTCAACAAGCAAGAAATGCTGAAGAAGACCTACAGAAGCAATGTTCCAGAGAATGAAGAAAGTATCAGGGGGTCCGTGATAGAGGGTTGAAGGATTCTGTTCTTGTCTAATGCTGCAGTTCTATTTTGTTTTGTTTTTTTGCACATTCTCAATACAAGGTTATCTGGATGTATTGGATGCTTTTAAAACGGTAAAGACAGGATGTTTAAAATATATACTTAATTCCACTCTGTCATGTTATCACTTTTCTTCCAATGTCCACCTCTGTAAGAAGTGGGAGAAAAAAAATAGATTGTGGCACCAGACAGACAGGAAAAGAAGTGTTTGGCTCTTTAATTCATAAAGCCATGTCTTTATAAAAAGTAACTAGAAAGGCATTTTGCTCAAATTTTAGAGTAAGGAGGAAACACATCTATCATTTATGGTTCATGGTAGTCAAGAAATCATGAGAAAGGCAACAAATTGATTTTTTTGTCCTAATTATATTATTTTAAAATGTGTCACTATGCTTAGCTCTTTCAAAGATTTAAGGAAAAGGAAATTAACTGACCTATTTTCTTTGACTCAGTTTGTAATTATTAAGGAAATACTATTTTTTTAGACAAAGGATGGCAAATATCTAGCCTAAATGTCCCCATAGCCTATTATTTCACCCATCACAGACATCATTAGTCACTGTAATAATGACATTCAATTGATTGCTGTTAGCTTATCATCCCTGCTTTAGACCAGCAGTCAGAAAACTTTCCTCTAAAAAGTCAGATATTATACATTTTAGACTTTGAAGGCCATAAGATGTCTGTTGCGATTACTCAATTCTGTTGCTGTAGCTCCAACACAGCCATAGATGCTATATAAAAGAATCCTATTTTATTGCCACAGAACTCGTTTACAAAAACAGGTGTTGGGCCAGATTTGGCCTGTAGCTCATAGTTTGTGGACCCTTGATTCAGAGGTATTAAGTATTACTATTCACCTGATAGAAGCAATATGTTCATTTCCATTAAAAAACTTATGAGAAAACCATCATAAAAACCAGATTCTATGAGGTGACTACAGCCTATCAGTTTCTCCTAATCAGCAGCCCAAAATTTAATGTGGTTAATGAGAGTGATGGAAATACTTCACCTATGACAATGTACCTATCCAATAAGCAGGGCCACATATGACTTGTAAACCGTAGCCACTTTTATCTTTGTGGGCTCTTTATCTGACTATCATATTCAAACTCATAAGAGAATCAGAAAGAGAACTGTCTTTCAGAGAACTAAAAGAGAGAAGTAGAAATGAAAAATAATCACCAATAAGATACATTCTTTGGAGACCTTTAAATCATTAGAGAAATAAATGGAATAACTGCTTTCCTTTCTTCTCAAGTAACCCTCACTGCAAATCAACTCACCTCACATATCATTAATTCAGCAGCTGATCATAATCCTGAAAGACACAGTCTCGATTACCATAATTATAAATGTTGAAATCCTGAAAGATCGAAATCCCAAAAATGTAATTCCGGAAGAAATAATTTTAAAATAGATACAAAGATACTTTTAAGAGGTGATTTATTTGACAGTTGTATAAAAATGACAGAACATGGACGGGCGCCATGGCTCACGCCTGTAATCCCAGCACTTTGGGAGGCCGAGGCAGGCGGATCACAAGGTCAGGAGATCGAGACCATCCTTGCTAACACGGTGAAACCCCATCTCTACTAAAAATACAAAAAATTAGTCGGGTGTGGTGGTGGGCGCCTGTAGTCCCAGCTACTCGGGAGGCTAAGGCAGGTGAATGGCGTGAACCCGGGAGGCAGAGCTTGCAGTGAGCCGAGACCGTGCCACTGCACTCCAGCCTGGGCGACAGAGGGAGACTCTGTCTCAAAAAACAAACATTAAAAAAAAAAATGACAGAACACTTTATAGGCTACTTTACACAATAAAATGGACGATAATAATATACATATTTTTGCAAACAAATGCTCAGGTATACTAAAAACAATCTCATGGGTGTGATGGTTATAAACAGACAAATCATATTCATAAAGAAATAGGTCAGCAAGTAAATGTATAAACATGTATCTCTATGATTGGTAATTTTGTGCTCCCAGCTTTATAACTGCAGTCGTCTGAAACACCATGACAGACAACCTAAGTCTTTTGATGAGATTGATCCAAAACCCACAATGAGTCACCGCCACATATGCCATCACTCAAAGGGCAGAGATCTTCAGAAATCATATCTTCACAAATGTAGATGTACGAAAAGAACATCTCTTTGTTTACTGAGGAAGTTTTAGCTTTTTACCTACATGCACAATGCTTACACACAAAGTCAACATTGTGATAATGCACTTTTGTGGAGTCAAATTCCTGATGTCTAAGGGAGCAGAAGAAAACTCCATTTCAGCTCTGAGAGAGAGACAAATTATCTTTCTGCATCTGTTCTCTCCATGTCCCTGGCCGATTGGATGGTGCCAGCCAACAATAAGGACACGTCTTCCTTCCTAGTCCACTCAGACTCACACGCTAATCTCCTCTGGAAATACCCTCATAGACCCAAAATGACACTTTATCAGTTTTCTAGGCATCCCTTAATCCAGTCAAGTTTTCATTTAAAATTTAGTCCACAAGTCCACTCGTTGTCAACTAGGCACTCAAATGCATCTCCTTAAACAATACTCAATTTCTAAATAAAGATAATAGTTGTTTTTTGGCTTTTTCCTCCAAAATGGTAGATTGGAAGCACCGTTAGCATGTTTCCCTACTTGGAAAAACAAAACAGTGTATAGTGATTCACACTGTGAACTTTTTTCCAAGAAGCAACACAGGAACTTAACACGGAAACTGAAAGAAACTGCAGACCCTTTGAAATAAGCAGCGGGCTACAGCCTACACTGTGATACAGGTGGAAAACTGAAAGTCCCAGAGTGTGAGAGGAGAATAACTGCCTCTGGCACATACACTCCCGCTGGGAAAACTGGCAATTCAATCCACAGGGAAAGGTCTTAACCGTACTCAGCATTGAAGCTGATTTAGTAAGCAGTGGCGAGGATATGAGAAGGGGACAATATGAGAAGGAGAAGCTCTGGATATGCTTTGCACGCACTCCTCCCCACCTCCAGTAGGGATGCAGAGAAGCCATTCCTGATCCTACCTCACAGAGGACCTCAGGGAAGTCTGCCAGCTTACTCAGACAGCAGTCACAGGTTGAGAGAAGCTCCCAAATGAGATTCACAATATAATCTTGCATGGGGATGAACCCCCTTGGCCAGAACAAAGGAGTAAGTAGGAACTGCACAATAGCCATTGGTGCAAGAGGTAGGCACCGTTGTTCTGCAGGCACACGGGGAGAAGCGTGGCCTAAAAGTTGTGGTTTCTGTCTCCATGGGGCAGTTTTGAGTTCTGAGTGCAAACTATTTGGAACCTAGCTAGCTGCAGCCCGTAGAACACTGTGGGTAAGAGGCCTGCCTTGACAAGTGCCTGGGAGCTGGGTGGGGCTCATTGCTGCCTACTAATCCCTACTTCCTGTATAGACTCTTCTGGGCATCAGAGGCAGCTGCACTCCTCCTTGGAGCATTACCTCAGCAACCAGAGAACTGCCCTCTGATGACCACTGAGGCCACTGCTTGCACCCACAAATAGAGAACCAGAGTGCAAATGGGCCTGAACCAGCCCACACTTGACTTTGCCTCTCTAACCACTCTGGTAGCTTAACACAAAGAACAGAAACTTTTGGGAGCTTTATGGCCCTGCCCATTGCCTGAAACAGCAGAGTACCTCCACTGGGTAACATAAGGCAAGCACAAATCCCACCACTACCACTGCAGCTGATGCTCCTTTGCAAATGCTGCCTCCTGGTTGGAGGCCAACTGACACAGCCTATTACAGCATCTGCAGATATAATAATACAGTGCCCAGGAAGGAGAAACCTCGTGGGGTGACCTCAGCTGTCACCATTGCCTATAGCACCCTGGATAATCAGGAGGTCCTGACTCTGTTCCTGTGACCAGTTCATTAATACTACAAATGGCATCTGATAAAGACAACCCACTAAGGCTATGTATAACCAAGGAATTTCACAGAGTCTGTCACTCCCCTGCCACACCCATCAGAGCTGGTACTGGTTAACCACTGCTGGGGGACTTGCAGACAGGTCACATCACTGGATCCCACACAGACATTCCCCAGCACCAGCCTGGAGAGTGACACTCACTGGATGGCTGGATCAAAGGAGTAGCAGGATTCACAGGAGTCTGGCCTTCAAGGACTCCTACTCCAAGGGTAAGGAGGAGCGCACCCACATCAAGGGAGTAAGTGACCCTTGGGATAAAAAAATTCAGCCCCAGAACTTTCTTGGTGGGAAGTTTCTTTCAGTAGAGGCACAGATGCAGCACTGTGCTTAGCAAAGTTCATGGCTATACCCTAACAGTCAAGCAGCCCTGGTGCTCATGAAGGATCTTGGAAAATGGTACTTCTTTTTCCATTTGCTGACCACTGCAGACATAGTTGGGGATTTTCCCATGGGCCCTTGGCATGGGTGCATCTATGGACAGCCCTTGTGGAGCACTTCAGGGTGACTATATCCTCACAGGAGGAGTGGCCTCCAGGTTCAGGCTTCCATAAGGGGTAGAACCACAACTCCTCAACATGAACATCAGAATTTCTGCAGATGAAAAACAGGGGCCTGTCTGAGCTGAACAGCCAGAACACTGGGTCAAGAGAGTAACTGGAAGATGCAATTCCTTTCCTCCCGGCCTGGCAGAGGAGCTGAAGTGGCTCCCTCACTTACCTCTGAAAAGACTTCAGTGCATTTCACCGAGAGCTCCCCCAGCTACTCTGTCAAGGCTGGGATCTCTGTCCACCCTTGGGTATTGCATTCACCCACCTACTTTAGCCACAGTTAGTTTTTACCCTAGGACACCTTCTCTACAGCCTGAAGCCTGAACTGTTCTATCCAGTAAATAAAATACTGGGGAAAAAGTAAATAAATAAAAAATGCAAACCAATGAGGAACAAGATAAGCTTCAAGAGACTTCTGGCATTACAACTCCACAGAAGACAGAGAAGCTGCACACACACCAAGCACATTGCTACCACAATCAGCATCTGAGAAAGTCATCATACAGAGAACATAATCAAGGAACTCTTAATGACTCTTCACCCCTAATAGCAACCAGAGCTAAATTAGGTTACAATAAACTATAATTATTAAATTCACATCTTTGAGGGGGAAAAATAAATCTTTTTAAAACACAGTTGAACAAAAATAAATTTAAAAATATTTTTTAAAAAATAGTCAACCAAAGTGAGAATAAACCAGAAAAATAATTCTGGCAGTAAGACAAAACAGGGTTCTCTAATACTCAAAAGAACACATAGCTCTCTAGCAATGGATCCAAACCAAGATTAAATCTTTGAAATACCAGATAAAGAATTTAAAAGTTGATTATTAAGTCAGTCAAAAAGATACAAAAGAAAGGTGAAAACTAATATAGAGAAATGAAAAAAAATCAGTATATGAACGCACACTTTCTATAGAGATAGATATTTTCAAGGAAAATCAATAAAAACTTCTGGAAATGAAAAATAACATTTAGGTAATTACAAAATGCAGCAGATAGCTTTAACAATAGATCAGACCAAGTAGAAGAAAGCTTTTTAAAGTTCAAAGGCAAAACTTTTGAATTAACCCAATCAGGCAAAAATAAAGAAAAAAGAATTGAAAGAAATAAAGTCTCCAAGAAATATGAGATTATGTAAAATAGCCAGACATATAAATCATTGTTGTTCCTGAGGGAGAAGAAAAATCAAAAAGTGTGGAAAACTCATTTGAGGAAATAATTGAGGAAAACTTCTCTGCCTTTGCTAGAGATGTAGACATCTAAGTACAACAGAAATCCTGGGTGATTCATTGCAAAAAGGACATCACCAAGGCATATAGCCATTAAGCTATCTAAAGCCAATGTGAAGAACTTCAAGAGCAGTGAGATAAAAAGCATCAGGTTACCTATAAAGAAAACCTATCAGATTAACAGCAGTCTTCTCAGTAGAAACCTTACAAGCCAGAAGGGACTAGGGTCATGTCTTTAGCCTCCCTAAACAGAATAACTATCAGCAAAGAATTCTGTATCCAACAAAACTAAGTTTCATAAATGAAAGATAAATAGTCTTTCAGATGAACACATGCTGAGGGAATTTGTCACTACCAAACAAGCACTATAGGAAATGATAAAAAAAAAAAAACCTAAATCTTGAAACAAAAGATTGATATGCACCAGAATAAAACTTCATGAAAGCATAAAATTCCCAAGCCTTATAAAACAATAACACAGCTGCTCTGCCTATGGAGTAGTTATTCTTTTATTCCTTTACATTCCCAATAAACTTACTTTCCCTTTACTCTAAAAAACAAACAAAAACCAGTAACACAATGAAGAAAACAAAGTATCTGGGTAACAATCAACATGATGACTGGAACCTCATATCTCATTAATAACATTGAATTTAAATGGGTCTAAATGTTCCACTGAAAAGACAGGGATTGGCAGAATGGATTAAAAATTTACAAACCAATATCTACTGTCTTCAAGAGTCACCTAACATGTAATGATTTTAATAGACTCAAGGTAAAGGAGTGGAAAAAGATATTTCATGAAAATGGAAACCAAAAACCAGCAGGAGTAGCTATTCTTATATCAGATAAAACAGACTTTAAAGCAACAGCAGTAAAAAGAGACAAAGAAGGTCATTATATAATGATAAAAGGATCAATCCAACAACAAGGTATTACAATCCTAAATATACATGCACCTAACTCTGGAGCTCCCAAATTTATAAAACAATTACTACTATACCTAGAAAAGAAATAGCAACACAGTCATAATAGGGAACTTCAATCCTCCACCGATAGCACTAGACAGATTATCGAGGCAGAAAGTAAGCAGGGAAACACTGGACTTAAACTGCACTCTAGAATAAATGTACCTAACAAAATTTACAGAATGTTCGACCCAAGAACTGCAGAATATACATTTTTCTCATTAGCATATGGAACACTCTCTAAGATAGATCCTATTATAGGCTGCAAAACAAGTCAATAAATTTTTTTTAAAAATCAAAATCATATCAAGTGTCTTTGCAGACCACAGTGGAGTATAAAACTATAAATAAATTCCATAAGGGATCTTTAAAACTACACAAATACATGCGAATTAAACAATCTGTTCCTGAGTGGTTTTGGAGTTTACAATAAAATCAAGATTGAAATTTTAAAATTCTTTGAAATGAATTATAATAGTGACACAAGTTGTCAAAACCCCTGAGATACAGCAAGAGCAGTGTTAAGAGAAAAGTTTATAGCACAAAATGCCTGCATCAAAAAGTCTGAAAGATCACGAATAAACAACCTAATGTCACACCTCAAGGAACTAGAGAAACAAGAACAAACCAAACCCAAAGCTAGCAGAAGAAAAGAAATAACAAAGATCAGAGCAGAACTAAATGAAATTGAAACACACAAATAATACAAAGGATCAATAAAACAAAAAGCTGGTTCTTTGAAAAGATAAACAAAATTGATCAACATTCACTAGATCAATCAAGAAAATAGGAGAGAAGATTCAAATAAACTAAAATAGAAATAAAAATGGAAACATTACTCCCAACACCACGGAAATGCAAAAGATTATTTGAAACTATTAGTACTTTTTCTTTTGAAACTACTAGTACTTTTTCCATTTGAAACTACTAGTACTTTCTCTTTTGTACTACTGGTAGGACCTAGTAGAACAAAAGATTATTTTAAACTACTGGTATAATTTGGCTGTGAATCCATCTTCCGTTCTTTTTTATTTTTGTTGTTGGTGGTGGTGATAATTTTTTTTATATTACTGATTGAATTTTTCTCATTCTATGAAGCTAGCATCACCCTGATACCAAAGCCAGAAAAGAACAAAACAAAAAAAAAGAAAACTGCTGACAAATATCCTTGATGAATATAGATGCAAAAATCCTCAACAAAAATCCTAGCAAACTGAATCCAACAGCTTATCAAAAAGATAACTCACCATGATCAAGTGGGTTTCATCCCAGGGATGCAGGGATGGTTCTGTGTCCGGAATTGGTGGGTTCTTGGTCTCACTGACTTCAAGAAAGAAGCCGCTGACCCTCGCAGTGAGTGTTACAGTTCTTAAGGTTGGCGTGTCCGGAGTTTGTTCCTTTTGATGTTTGGATGTGTTCAGAGTTTCTTCCTTCTTGTGGGTTCATAGTCTCGCTGGCTCAGGAGTGAAGCTGCAGACCTTCCAGGTGAGTGTTACAGCTCATAAAGACAGTGCAGACCCAAAGAGTGAGCAGCAACAAGATTTACTGCAAAGAGCAAAAGAACCACCCATCCACAGTGTGGAAAGGGACCCAAGCGGGTTGCCATTCCTGGCTGGGGCAGCCTGCTTTTATTCCCTTATCTGGCCCCACCCACATCCTGCTGATTTGTCCATTTTACAGAGAGCTGACTGGTCTGTTTTACAGAAAGCTGATTGGTCCGTTTTGACAGGGTGCTGACTGGTGCATTTACAATCCCTGAGCTAGACACAGAGTGCTGATTCCTGTATTTACAATCCCTTAGCTAGACATAAAGGTTCTCCTAGTCCCCACCAGACTCAGGAGCCCAGCTGGATTCACCCAGTGGATCCCAGTGGTATCTCTTCAAAGGAAAGGAAATTATATAAAAAAGACACCTGCACACATATGTTTGTTGCAACACAATTCACAATTGCAAAGAAATGGAACCAACCTAAGTGCCCATAAGCTGATGGGTAGATAAAGAAAATGTGTTTATACACACACACACACACACACACACACACACACACAGACACCCGCACACAGACACACACATACAATGGAATACTAATCAGCCATAACTAAGAATGAAATAATATCTTTTGCATCAACTTGGATGGAGCTGGAGGCCATTATTCTAAGTGAAATAACTCAAGATGAGAAAACCAAATACTGTATGTTCCCACTTAGAAGAGGGAGCTAAGCTATGGGTATGTAAAGGCATACAGAGTGGTATAACGGACACTGGAGAATCAGTAGGTGGGGAGGGGAGAAGAGGATAAAGGATAAAAAAAACTACATATTGAATAAATGTACACTACTACTCAGGTCATGGGAGCATTGAAATCTCAGACCTCTCCACTATACAATTTATTTAAGTAATCAAAAACCATTTGTACCACAAAAGCTATTGAAATAAAAAAAGAAACATTAAAAACAAAAACAAATAAAGACAATAATAATTTAATAGTTGTGCCTAACATGATGCAACTAACCTGAATACAACCTTAACCATCCGAACCTCTTTCCTGGAATTCAGTTTTCAGGATTTCAACATTTGGGATTTTAATCTTTTGGGATAGTAATTTTTGAGATTTTAGATGTTAGGAACTTTAGACTTTAGGGATTTTGACTGTTGGGAATTTCGACCTTTTGAGATTTCAACATTCAGGATTATGGTGTTTGGGGTTGTGTCTTTTAAGATTATGATCCAAATCCCATTCATTTATATTAATATAATGAAAGCATGTAATCTTTATCTCTAGCCAATATGGTGTCAAGTAAATGGCAAAAAGTTGTGAGCTGTTTCTATAATTCTGTGGATAATAGCTAAGGATTATTTAGATATACTCAGACTTGATTGAATTAATTGAATCACCTATTAAGCTGCAACATGCTAAATAAAAATATTATTTCATTATAACTCTGATTTGTTAATAGCAGCATGTTGTGGGCGGTGCACAGCTCACTAACAAGGCTCAAAGAAGCCAATCACTATATGCAATAACAAAAAAATAAGTTAGCACAAATGATAGTTGCTACTTTCACCAATACCTGGTTTACATTGTAGATAGCAGAAACAGTGATATTCCCTAACAGGTACCTTTGGAAGATCGGTACAAACTTGATGATCAGGCTGTATGTCTCTTAGGTTATTAGTGGTATATGAAGGAAAGTCAGCCACCACAGTGGGATTGACAAGAAAAAAATATAACAAGTAAAATAAAAAGAATCTTTCGGGAAATTTAGAGCAATGTATAGCCAAGAAATGAAGTGATGCTTGGCAATTATTAGCAGACTAACCTTAACTGATATCAGGTTAAACATACTAACTGCTTTTTTTGGTGTGTAGGAAGCTTACAGAAAGAGGAAGCATTTTTTTACCCATGCTTACTTTGAAAGCTGTTATGACATACCGTAGTCCTTGTATATTTCTGAAAAAAGCTAATTTTGTAATCAGTGGTCTGAAAAGCAAAAATTAGATAAATAAAAGGATAAAAATATAAGATTCTTTTATATTTAATAGAAGATCAATTCTATAAAACAAGAAACTAAAATAAAGCACAAGAATTAAAAAGGAAGAAAAATAGTCATTTACCAAAGAGAATAAAGTTGTTTCTGCAGAAAACTAAAGAAAAGCTAAGGACATAATGAGAACTAGTAAGAGAGTTCAGCAAGATTGCAAATGCAATATTAACATAACAAAGTTCCATTATAGAAACTGTGTAATGAAAAATGTAACTCCCTGTTACATTTTGTTCTTGGCAATCCCACTGAAGTGGTTGATTTTCCTTCAAATACCACTAATATACTAAGAGACATATAGCCTGATCATCAAGGTTATGTATATCATCAATAATGTTGCCGTGCAGAAAGCAATTATAAAGTAGCAAGTAGAATAATTATTTTTAAACCATCCAAAGAATAAAAATGATGTTATCTAAGAATAAATCTGAAAAATAAAGTTCAAAATTATATGAATAAAATTACAAAATTTTATTCAATATTATGAACAACACCTAAATAAATGGGGAGTTATACTATAGTCATATATGGGGTGCTTAGCGTTAGAAAATATCAATTCCCGCAAAAATAATCTGTAAATACAAGTAAAAATCCCATCAAAATGCCACCAGGGCTCTCCATAAAACATAAAATTTGATTAAAATTCACACAAGTTGAACACTGGACCAAGAATAGTAAAGAATATTTTGAAAAACAAGAATAAGATGGTGTGTCTGGAATTGGTGGGTTCTTGGTCTCACTGACTTCAAGAATGAAGCCGCCCACCCTCGCCATGAGTGTTACAGTTCTTAAAGGCGGCATATCCTGAGTTTGTTCCGTCTGATGTTCAGATGTGTTCGGAGCTTCTTCCTTCTGGTGGGCTCGTGGGCTCGCTGGCTTCAGGAGTGAAGCTGCAGACCTTCGTGGTGAGTGTTACAGCTCATAAAGGCAGTGTGGACCCAAAGAGTGAGCAGCAGCAAGATTTATTGCAAAGAGCTAAAGAACAAAGCTTCCACACTGTGCAAGGAGACCCCAGCGGATTGCCACTGCCGGCTTGGGCAGCCTGCTTTTATTCTCTTTTCTGGCCCCACCCACATCCTGCTGATTGGTAGAGCCCAGTGGTCTGTTTTGACAGGGCGCTGATTGGTGCGTTTACAATCCCTGAGCTAGACACAAAGGTTCTCCACCTCCCCACTAGATTAGCTAGATACAGAGTGTGGACACAAAGGTTCTCCAAGGCCCCACCAGAGTAGCTAGATACAGAGTGTCGATTGGTGCATTCACAAACCCTGTGCTAGACACAAGGTGCTGATTGTTGTGTTTACAAACCTTGAGCTAGATACAGAGTGCCAATTGGTGTACTTACAATCCCTGGGCTAGACATAAAGGTTCTCCACGTCCCCACCAGACTCAGGAGCCCAGCTGGCTTCACCCAGTGGATCCCGCACTGGGGCTACAGGTGGAGCTGCCTGTCAGTCCCGCGCCCTGCGCCCGCACTCCTCAGCCCTTGGGTGGTCGATGGGACTGGGCGCTGTGGAGCAGGCGGTGGCGCTCATCGGGGAGGCTCCGGCCGCTCCGGAGCCCACGGAGGGGGTGGGAGGCTCAGGCATGGCGGGCTGCAGGTCCCGAGCCCTGCCCCGCGGGAAGGCAGCTAAGGCCCGGTGAGAAACCGAGCACAGCGCCGGCGGGCTGGCACTGCTGGGGGACCCAGTACACCTACCGCAGCCGCTGGCCCAGGTGCTAAGCCCCTTATTGCTCCGGGCCGGCAGGGCCAGCTGGCTGCTCCGAGTGCGGGGCCGCCAAGCCCACGCCCACCCGGAAGTCCAGCTAGCCCTCAAGGGCCCTGCGCAGCCTCAGTTCCCGCTCGCGCCTCTCCCTCCACACCTCCATGCAAGCTGAGGGAGCCTGCTCCGGCCTTGGCCAGCCCAAAAACGGGCTCCCACAGTGCAGCGGTGGGCTGAAGGGCTCCTTAAGTGCCGCCAAAGTGGGAGCCCAGGCAGAGGAGGCGCCGAGAGCGAGCCAGGGCTGTGAGGACTGCCAGCACGCTGTCACCTCTCAATGGGAAGAAATGTTCTGTAGGTATTGAAAGTTATTGTAATTCTAAAGAAATTAGAGGTGATTAATAGTAAGAATAAGTAAAAATATGAAACATGATAGAAAATTCCGGAAGAGAGTCACGTAAATACTACATAGAAACTGGTGTAAGTTATACAGTGTTATAAAAAATGAGAAAGAAAAACAGACATTTTATAAGCCCTTAAATACTCATTCAGGAAAAATATAGACTTATGAATAAATTGCTATATCTATGAAAAGTAAACAAATGAATAAATTAGATTATCACAAATAGTTACAAATAGTAATTATTACAAATAGTTCTAACTAAAACTATTTAAAAATAAATTACAAATAAAGTAAAGGTAGATGTGGAGAACAGGAAAAAGAATAAATGAAATTAAGAAGAAAATTGTTTTTATGGCATAGAATTGCTCATTTTTAAAAAAAATCCATAAAAGAAAAATTGATTATATAACATTTTAAATTTCTGAAAGACAAACATATAAGAATATGTAAAAATTTACCATACACTGAGTTTATTAATAGAGCATATAATCCACAGAGGATTAGTACTCAGGATACACCATTAGTAAAATCAAAGCAAACAATAACCAAATGAGGAGATGATTTGACTTGGCAGTTCATGAGAGGTGAACATGAATAGTCTATAAATGTACAGAGATAATTACAAATTTATTAGAACTTAAAAATACAAATTGAAAAAATAATGAAGACTTTTAACACCCATTGGGTTAGCAAATGTGAAAGTCTCCTGATGTCAACAGTCTAAAGGTATATGAAAAAATGGAAATGTTCTGAGTAAGTAAATTGTTAAAAATCTATAGAGATCCATTACGCAAGATTTATTAAAGCTAAAAATGTATAAAAATCTAAAACTCAGGAAGCACATTGCTAGATATATAATCTAGGAAAAGATCTTGCTATGTACAAGAATGTTGGTTTTAATGGTGAAATCATGGAATTGACTTAATGTAGAATTATAGGGAAATGACGTATTCACACAACTGAATACAATACACTCAGCAAAAATGAAGTAGATTTACATTAATCAACAAGATAGATACTTATTGAAAAAATCCTAGGTAAATAAACTGCAGAATTATATGCTCTCTTTAGGTAATTTTAAAGCATAGATAGTAAAAATATGAAAAAAAAAGTTAAGATGATGGCTTCTGCCCAACAGAAACAGTGGGAAATCAGACAGTGGGGAATAAATGTATGTTTTAATTTCATCTATTGTGCTTTGTTATGGAAGGAAGAAATGAAGGAAGGCAGAGAGACTGGAATGAAGCAAAAGAAAATTATCTGTGTCATAGATACAGGAGTGCATATAATATTTTTTACATGTTTGAAGTATATCATTACTTTAAAAATCTTATACATAAGCCCTGTGTTCACAGTATTCACATACTAAAAGTGTAGTTAAGACAATGATGCAATAAACTGATACAAGTATTGGGGCTCAGAAAACAATATACCAAATTGAAGGACTCAAAAGCAAAAGTTTTCTCTGACCTTCTCCTGTCCCACTGTCTCTGTCACATTCCTTCTCAAGGCTAATCATAGAAGCTGGAATCTTTCTTGCCCAATACAGGTCATAGAAACCAGAACTCATTTTCCCCAAAGCTAGCCATTAATCCTAAAACTGTAACATTTTTATTTTCTATTTTTTCCTCCACCTTTCTGTGTAAAAACAGGCCATTAAAACTTATCTGACCAACTTTGTTTGACTGTAGGTCAAAAAACTCCATTCTGGAGAGGGTCCTGCCTCATACCCAGAAGGAAGAAATGCTGCACAGACAGACCTCACGGGGTTTCCCCACTCAGTCTATTGCATTAGACCACGCCCTTTTATTCCAATCATCTTTCTATATGGCTGTCCACGATTCATTGAACCTAAGCATACAAATGAACAATTTCCCCAGTATCTTTGAGTCTTCATTCTGAAGGTTCCCGTGCATGCAAATTAAATAAATTTATATGCTTTTTCTCTAATTAATCTGCCTTTTGCAACTTGATTTTTCAATGAAACTTTGGAGGGTCAAGGGGAACTTCCACTTTCCCCCTACACGATTGTATATTCAACATACCTACAAATGTGCTGGGAACGACAATATAAACCCAGACGGTAGACTGGTCCAGGCTTATTCAGGAATAAGAGCAAGAAGATCACAGGTTTTTCTCTAGGTTTTAAGGAAGTAAAAAAGTTTAAGTTGGTAGTAGAAAGATGTTCATCCTATAAATATTGAGATCAAAATGTCTAGCTTGGAAGAGTGATTATGGATGAACTGAATTATTAAGAGACACATTATAATAAAGGGTTTAATCGTATTATAATGTGTAGGTATTTATAAATAAAATGTGCTAGAAAATGTGTTAGAGGCTTTTTTCTTACCATAAATTTAGATTTTTTTCCTAGTAAATTTTAAAGAGCTCAAATCCTATTGCCAAGTGAATAGTATATTAAAAGTAGTTGTTACACTTTTTCTGTGTATTTTGAAACAAAGTAAAGAACTTGCATTATATGTAATTGGCATAGCTCATTACAAAAATATGCTTTACCTCTCAGGTACTATTGCCACTCGATTATTTATTTAAAACTTTATATTCTTTTTGTGGTATTTTTTATTCACTTTGTCATACTTTCTAACATTAAAATATTTTGAAATAAGAATCATTCCTACATTATCTGGAAATTTTTGATTCTGCAAAAGCAGGTGTTTTCAAGTAAATAATCATTTATGTTACATTGGTATGAATACTACAAATCTTGCACTTAAGATTATTCTGTTTATGGCTTAAATTATAAGCTTTATCTCAATACAATTTTGCTAAAAATTTGATTCATATTTTTATTTTGTCTTAATTCTAATGTATAAAGGAGAAAAGTTTTCCAAAGCTCTGAGTAAACTGTTTTTTTTTATTATTTTTATTTTATTTTATTTTATTTATTTTATTATTATTATACTTTAAGTTTTAGGGTACATGTGCACATTGTGCAGGTTAGTTACATATGTATACATGTCTCATGCTGGTGTGCTGCAACCATTAACTCGTCATTTAGCATTAGGTAAATCTCCTAATGCTATCCCTCGCCCCTTCCCCCACCCCACAACAGTCCCCAGAGTGTGATGTTCCCCTTCCTGTCTCTATGTGTTCTCATTGTTCAATTCCCACCTATGAGTGAGAACATGCGGTGTTTGGTTTTTTGTCCTTGCGATAGTTTACTGAGAATGATGATTTCCAATTTCATCCATGTCCCTACAAAGGACATGAACTCATCATTTTTTATGGCTGCATAGTATTCCATGGTGTATATGTGCCACATTTTATTAATCCAGTCTATCATTGTTGGACATTTGGGTTGGTTCCAAGTCTTTGCTATTGTGAATAGTGCCGCAATAAACATATGTGTGCATGTGTCTTTATAGCAGCATGATTTATAGTCCTTTGGGTATGTACCCAGTAATGGGATGGCTGGGTCAAATGGTATTTCTAGTTCTAGATCCCTGAGGAATCGCCACACTGACTTCCACAATGGTTGAACTAGTTTACAGTCCCACCAACAGTGTAAAAGTGTTCTGATTTCTCCACATCCTCTCCATCACCTGTTGTTTCCTGACTTTTTAATGATTGCCATTCTAACTGGTGTGAGATGGTATCTCATCGTGGTTTTGATTTGCATTTCTCTGATGGCCAGTGATGATGAGCATTTTTTCATGTGTTTTTTGGCTGCATAAATGTCTTCTTTTGAGAAGTGTCTGTTCATGTCCTTTGCCCACTTTTTGATGGGGTTCTTTGTTTTTTTCTTGTAAATTTGTTTGAGTTCATTGTAGATTCTGGATATCAGCCCTTTGTCAGATGAGTAGGTTGCGAAAATTTTCTCCCATTCTGTAGGTTGCCTGTTCACTCTGATGGTAGTTTCTTTTGCTGTGCAGAAGATCTTTAGTTTAATTAGATCCAATTTGTCAATTTTGTCTTTTGTTGCCATTGCTTTTAGTGTTTTAGACATGAAGTCCTTGCCTATGCCTATGTCCTGAATGGTAATGCCTAGGTTTTCTTCTAGGGTTTTTATGGTTTTAGGTCTAATGTTTAAGTCTTTAATCCATCTTGAATTAATTTTTGTATAAGGTGTCAGGAAGGGATCCAGTTTCAGCTTTCTACATATGGCTAGCCACTTTTCCCAGCACCATTTATTAAATAGGGAATCTTTCTCCATTGCTTGTTTTTCTCAGGTTTGTCAAAGATCAGATAGATGTAGATATGTGGCATTATTTCTGAGGGCTCTGTTCTGTTCCATTGATCTATATCTCTGTTTTGGTACCAGTACCATGCTGTTTTGGTTACTGTAGCCTAGTAGTATAGTTTGAAGTCAGGTAGCATGATGCCTCCAGCTTTCTTCTTTTGGCTTAGGATTGACTTGGCGATGCGGGCTCTTTTTTGGTTCCATATGAACTTTAAAGTAGTTTTTTCCAATTCTGTGAAGAAAGTCATTGGTAGCTTGATGGGGATGGCATTGAATCTATAAATTACCTTGGGCAATATGGCCATTTTCAAGATATTGATTCTTCCTACCTATGAGCATGGAATGTTCTTCCATTTGTTTGTATCCTCTTTTATTTCATTGAGCAGTGGTTTGTAGTTCTCCTTAAAGAGGTCCTTCACATCCCTTGCAAGTTGGATTCCTAGGTATTTTATTCTCTTTGAAGCAATTGTGAATGGGAGTTTACTCATGATTTGGCTCTCTGTTTGTCTGTTATTGGTGTATAAGAATGCTTGTGATTTTTGTACATTGATTTTGTATCCTGAGACTTTGCTGAAGTTGTTTATAAGCTTAAGGAGATTTTGGGCTGAGACAATGGGGTTTTCTAGATATGCAATCATGTCATCTGCAAACAGGGACAATTTGACTTTCTCTTTTCCTAATTGAATACCCTTTATTTCCTTCTACTGCCTACTTGCCCTGGCCAGAACTTCCAACACTATATTGAATAGGAGTGGTGAGAGAGGTCATCCCTGTCTTGTGCCAGTTTTCAAAGGGAATGCTTCCAGTTTTTGCCCATTCAGTATGATATTGGCTGTGGGTTTGTCATAGATAGCTCTTATTATTTTGAGATACGTCCCATCAATACCTAATTTATTGAGAGTTTTTAGCATGAAGGGCTGTTGAATTTTGTCAAAGGCCTTTTCTGCATCTATTGAGATAATCATGTGGTTTTTGTCTTTGGTTCTGTTTATACACTGGATTACATTTATTGATTTGCATATATTGCACCAGCCTTGCATCCCAGGGATGAAGCCCACTTGATCATGGTGGATAAGCTTTTTGATGTGCTGCTGGATTCGGTTTGCCAGTATTTTATTGAGGATTTTTGCATCAATGTTCATCGAGGATATTGGTCTAAAATTCTCTTTTTTGGTTGTGTCTCTGCCCGGCTTTGGTATCAGGATGATGCTGGTATCATAAAAGGAGTTAGGGAGGATTCCCTCTTTTTCTATTGTTTGGAATAGTTTCAGAAGGAATGGTACCAGTTCCTCCTTGTACCTGTGGTAGAATTCGGCTGTGAATCCATCTAGTCCTGGACTCTTTTTGATTGGTAAGCTATTGATTATTGCCACAATTTCAGAGCCTGTTATTGGTCTATTCAGAGATTCAACCTCTTCCCGTTTTAGTCTTAGGAGGGTGTATGTGTCGAGGAATTTATCCATTTCTTCTAGATTTTCTAATTTATTTGCGTAGAGGTGTTTGTAGTATTCTCTGATGGTAGTTTGTATTTCTGTGGGATCAGTGGTGATATCCCCTTTATCATTTTTTATTGCATCTATTTGATTCTTCTCTCTTTTCTTCTTTATTAGTCTTGCTAGCAGTCTATCAATTTTGTTGATCCTTTCAAAAAACCAGCTCCTGGATTCATTAATTTTTTGAAGGGTTTTTTGTGTCTCTATCTCCTTCAGTTCTGCTCTGATTTTAGTTATTTCTTGCCTTCTGCTAGCTGTTGAATGTGTTTGCTCTTGTTGCTTTTCTAGTTCTTTTAATTGTGATGTTAGGGTGCCAATTTTGGATCTTTCCTGCTTTCTCTTGTGGGCATTTAGTGCTATAAATTTCCCTCTACACACTGCTTTGAATGTGTCCCAGAGATTCTGGTATGTTGTGTCTTTGTTCTCATTGGTTTCAAAGAACATCTTTATTTCTGCCTTCATTTCATTATGTAACCAGTAGTCATTCAGGAGCAGGTTGTTCAGTTTCCATGTAGTTGAGCGGTTTTGAGTGAGTTTCTTAATCCTGAGTTCTAGTTTGATTACACTGTGGTCTGAGAGACGGTTTGTTATAATTTCTGTTGTTTTACATTTGCTGAGGAGAGCTTTACTTCCAAGTATGTGGTCAATTTTGGAATAGGTGTGGTGTGGTGCTGAAAAAAATGTATATTCTCTTGATTTGGGGTGGAGAGTTCTGTAGATGTCTACTAGGTCTGCTTGGTGCAGAGCTGAGTTCAATTCCTGGGTATCCTTGTTGACTTTCTGTCTCGTTGATCTGTCTAATGTTGACAGTGAGGTGTTAAAGTCTCCCATTATTAATGTGTGGGAGTCTAAGTCTCTTTGTAGGTCACTCAGGACTTGCTTTATGAATCTGGGTGCTCCTGTATTGGGTGCATATATATTTAGGATAGTTAGCTCTTCTTGTTGAATTGATCCCTTTACCATTATGTAATGGCCTTCTTTGTCTCTTTTGACTTTGTTGGTTTAAAGTCTGTTTTATCAGAGACTGGGATTGCAACCCCTGCCTTTTTTTGTTTTCCATTTGCTTGGTAGATCTTCCTCCATCCTTTTATTTTGAGCCTGTGTGCGTCTCTGCACATGAGATGGGTTTCCTGAATACAGCACACTGATGGGTCTTGACTCTTTATCCAATTTTCCAGTCTGTGTCTTTTAGTTGGAGAATTTAGTCCATTTACATTTAAAGTTAATATTGTTATGTGTGAATTTGATCCTGTCATTATGATGTTAGCTGGTTATTTTGCCTGTTAGTTGATGCAGTTTCTCCCTAGTCTTGATGGTGTTTACATTTTGGCATGATTTTGCAGTGGCTGGTACCGGTTGTTCCTTTCCATGTTTAGTGCTTCCTTCAGGAGCTCTTGTAGGGCAGGCCTGGTGGTGACAAAATCTCTCAGCATTTGCTTGTCTGTAAAGTATTTTATTTCTCCTTCGCTTATGAAGCTTAGTTTGGCTGGATATGAAATTCTGGGTTGAAAATTCTTTTCTTTAAGAATGTTGAAAATTGGCCCCCACTGTCTTCTGGCTTGTAGAGTTTCTTCCGAGAGATCCGCTGTTAGTCTGGTGGGCTTCCCTTTGTGGATAACCCGACCTTTCTCTCTGGCTACCCTTAACATTTTTTCCTTCATTTCAACTTTGGTGAATCTGACAATTATGTGTCTTGGAGTTGCTCTTCTTGAGGAGTATCTTTGTGGCGTTCTCTGTATTTCCTGAATCTGAATGTTGGCCTGCCTTGCTAGATTGGGGAAGTTCTCCTGGGTAATATCCTGCAGAGTGTTTTTCAACTTGGTTCCATTCTTCCCATCACTTTCAGGTACACTAATCAGACGTAGATTTGGTCTTTTCACATAGTCCATATTTCTTGGAGACTTTGTTCATTTCCTTTTATTCTTTTTTCTCTAAACTTCCCTTCTCACTTCATTTCATTCATTTCATCTTCCATCACTGATACCCTTTCTTCCAATTGATCGCATTTGCTCCTGAGGCTTCTGCATTCTTCACGTAGTTCTCGAGCCTTGGCTTTCAGCTCCATCAGCTCCTTTAAGCACGTCTTTGTATTGGTTATTCTAGTTATACATTCGTCTAAATTTTTTTCAAAGTTTTTAACTTCTTTGCCTTTGGTTTGAATTTCCTCCTGTAGCTCGGTGTAGTTTGATCGTCTGAAGCCTTCTTCTCTCAACTCGTCAAAGTCATTCTCCGTCCAGCTTTGTTCCGTTGCTGGTGAGAGACTGCGTTCCTTTGGAGAAGGAGAGGCACTCTGCTTTTTAGAGTTTCCAGTTTTTCTGCTCTGTTTTTTCCCCATCTTTGTGGTTTTTTCTACTTTTGGTCTTTGATGATGGTGATGTACAGATGGGTTTTTGGTGTGGATGTCCTTTCTGTTTGTTAGTTTTCCTTCTAACAGACAGGACCCTCAGCTGCAGGTCTGTTGGAGTTTGCTAGAGGTCCACTCCAGACGCTGTTTGCCTGGGTATCAGCAGCAGTGGCTGCAGAAGAGTGGATTTTTGTGAACCGCGAATGCTGCTGTCTGATCGTTCCTCTGGAAGTTTTGTCTTAGAGGAGTACCCGGCCATGTGAGGTGTCAGTCTGCCCCTACTGGGGGGTGCCTCCCAGTTAGGCTGCTCAGGAGTCAGGGGTCAGGGACCCACTTGAGGAGGCAGTCTGCTCGTTCTCAGATCTCCAGCTGCATGCTGGGAGAACCACTGCTCTCTTCAAAGCTGTCAGACAGGGACATTTAAGTCTGCAGAGGTTACTGCTGTCTTTTTGTTTGTCTGTGTCCTGCCCCCAGAGGTGGAGCCTACAGAGGCCGACAGGCCTCCTTGAGCTATGGTGGGCTCCACCCAGTTCGAGCTTCCAGGCTGCTTTGTTTACCGAAGCAAGCCTGGGCAATGGCGGGCGCCCCTCCCCCAGCCTCGCTGCTGCCTTGCAGTTTGATCTCAGACTGCTCTGCTAGCAATCAGTGAGACTCCGTGGGCGTAGGACCCTCCGAGCCAGGTGCGGGATATAATCTCCTGGCACGCCGCTTTTTAAGCCTGTTGGAAAATCGCAGTATTAGCGTGGGAGTGACCTGACTTTCCAGGTGCTGTCTGTCACCCCTTCCTTTGACTAGGAAAGGGAACTCCCTGACCCCTTGTGCTCCCCAACTAAGGCAATGCCTCACCCTACTTTGGCTCGCGCACGGTGCGCTGCACCCACTGTCCTGCGCCCACTATCTGGCAGTCCCTAGTGAGATGAACCCGGTACCTCAGATGGAAATGCAGAAATCACCCATCTTCTGCGTCGCTCGTGCTAGGAGCTGTAGACCAGAGCTGTTCCTATTCAGCCACCTTGGCTGCCCTGTAAACTGGTTATTTTAACAACTGTGTAACCTGTATAAAGTTTTTGGTTATTAAACTACCTAGTTGTATAATCCATTCTAGTAAATGTTTAATGACAAGATTTTAAAAAAATCATATTATATATAATTATTATTATAAAAATATATCTCTATATAAATACCTCTAGGTTTTATATACATGTCATTCTATGCACACATATATGCTTAAATATACACATATAATTTATGTATATGCTTTATTATAAATGTTAGTAATATTAAGAAATTATAAATAGCAATGTATATACACAATACAGCTGCCTTAAATTCCATATAGAAAATTAATTTTCATAGAATGTTTTCATCATTTTTTCTGAACTTTCATATGCCTAACCAGCCTATAATTACAACTGATAAATGTTGATTAATGTTATTGTTTCCATTCATGAGTAAGACAAACACGAATCAATAAAGGCATATGTCAAAACTACACTTTTGTCAATGATGCCAACAATTTCTTTGCTGAATCAGATAATAGTTTCAAATGCTGGAAGAATACTTACTCCGTTTTTTTGTGTTGTTGACAATGGAATGGCTATATCCACAGCACACTTTTAAATTTAGTCTGCATTATTAACATTTTCCCCATTACTTTAAGTTTAGTCAGTCAACAAAACTATTCCCCTAGTTTAGCATTTGCCTGTTTCCATGATGTATTTGTATTCTGTCCAGTTTCAAGCTATCAACTCAACTATACTGAAAATGGAGTTAGAAAGAGGTATGCCTTACCATTCCATAGTACTCCCACAATGCAATAAACAAATACCAAAAAATCTCAAGAGCATAGATAACCGTAAAATGTAGTAAAACATTTTGAGTACTTGTAATTACTTTGTTTTTACTTTATTTAATTAAAAACTTGTATGGTTTCATTTTTAATTGTACCTGAGTTTAATAACCACATTGCCAGATTCCTAAATACTTACCAATGAGTTCTTGCTAGATGGTATAAATTGGCTTTGTATGTATACCACACACACACACAGACACACACACACACACACACACACACACTCATGTATGTTTGCAGGAGCCTACAAACACACACATACAATATTGTGCTCATATAATATCATGGTCAGTAGTTACTGCTTCAATTTGTCTAAAATGTTATATTGATATTATCTTATTGGTATTTCAGTGTATTTGCTAACTAGGTTTGCAATGACATGGACAAATTAATTCATGAAAAAAATTGAATTGTCAGTTACCCCAGTTTGATTCAGGTTGATATGGACAAATTAGAGGATGTAGACTTTATTTCACTGTATATCATTAGGTCATCTTTAAAATATCCTCAAACATTGCTTTTCCCCCTTGCAATCTGCCGAAACCTTAGACACAAAGGAATTACCCCCATTGGAAAGGTAAGTTTCCCTACAGAGATATGTCCTCTTTCTGAAGTTTCAAATTGTGCCCTGCTGAACTGAATATTCTATGAACTATTAAGTATACCGTTATGATAAAAGAGCAATAGTCATTAAGGTCATTGCACTTGAGGCTTCCATTTGAACTTCTTTTGGGTTCAAGGCAAACAAAAATCTTTTGTTTTACCTACTTTCTTCCCCAGCCCAGAGGCAATGTAAGGGAGGATGAGAAAGAAAACCCTTTCTCCCTAGATTTTTGAAAACTTTAAAATCTAATGATGGAAAAGGGCTGCAGTTTAAAACATGAAAGGTCAAGGTAGCCTACTAGAGACACAGAGAATATATAACTTCTTATGGGAATCTCCCAGGCGTGAGATTATTCTGAGATTTCAATCTTATAGTTAAATAGTAATATATCAAAAAGATGGTGAAAATAGTTGCTTTATAAAATGTTGAGGAGTCAGTCATTTACCTCTCACAAAATGTCAGCAGCTTTATTCACAAACCTTAAACTTAGGAAACTTGAGATATGAGTATTTAAGAAAACACTTCAAAAATAAACAAACCTCCCTTAAGATTAACTTGGAATGAAACATTAACTGAGTAATTTTCTCAAAGCAACCATTTGCCTATTTTTAACCTCTGATAGAAACTATACAGAAACAAACGGGTTGTCATATTCTTGCATCTGCCACCAGACAGCTACGTGTGTACAGTCTCAGGGGATGTAATAAGAAATTCATCAGAGATTCTGAGAAGTTGAAATACAAACTAAAGCATCTTGGATTCCATTCATCAATAAGCCCTGAGCCATTGGCATCACTATTGGTGTCTGATGTATCTGATGCTCTGGCCCACTATCGGGCAACCCTGGACACTTTTGCGCAGGTTCTACTCACTTTTCACTAACAATGTTTTTCCTCAACTGTTGGCATCTTAGCTTTCTGCATTGAAGTCTTTTTACACATACTTGAATAGCTTATAAGTGTGGGGGAATTGATGGGATGGCCCTCAACCAGTGGTGAACTTGAGCTCTGCCTCCTGTCCTTTGGGTGGACAGTTCTAAAAGGCATGCTATACTCTTGTTTAGAGTGAGCTCAAGCACCAGTTGCCCACACTGGTCAACTTGATGAACTTTTCTTCCTTCCTTTATTCTCATCTCTCTTTTGACTCTCCTGCTCTTTAGTGTTACCTTCTAAATGCCATCTGGAAATAAATCAGACTCTGCTTTCAGGGGAACTCAAGCTAAAATACAATCAAACCATCATCTATGCATTTGTTACACAAGGTTTATCTCCAAAGGGAATTCATTTTTTTTTCCTGCACTCTCACCCTCACTGAGGAATAAAACCGTCCTTATTTTGGTACTATATGTCATTTCTTTTTGTTCAATAGTTGCACAGATTTCAGCTACTATTATGTTGACCCCAATCTATCCATGTATGAAACTATGGATTCACCTCAACTTGCCCTATTAAGAACGCACTTCATCCTTCAAACTTTTTTGACTACTCTCCCCATCCAAGTTTTTTAAGTCTGTGTCCCTGGCCCTAGAAACTTTCTTTGTATATGACACCATGCAGATAAAGAAGTAGAATAACAGGAGATAAAACTAGACCATTGGTACTATCAAAAGTATCAGTTACATTCTGAGGGCAATGCCCTTTTCTTTATGTCAAACATAAAGGAAAAATTCTAGTTGTAGAAATATTCTAAATCTTGTAAAACTTACTTAATCATTAACTCTGGAGAATAAATTGATCCCAGTGGCAAAACTAAAACATAAATTAACTGTAGAAAACTACAAAATATTTACCAGTAGTAAGCTATTTTTGTTTTTCTTAAGAAAAACTGACAACACATTTTTTAGTGACCTGGAAGCCTGTTCTCTCTCAGAGATGCTTTATTTCACATATGTCCTTCTTTTCAAGAAAATATTTATTACCATATTGATAATAAATTTATTATTATATATTATTTGCTAGAGTTTTTTGTCTTTTAGGCTAGTTTCTTTAGAATGTTATTATTCAGTTAACAAATATTAGTTGAGTGTCAGCTATGCGCTAGTAACTGTATTATGTATTGGAAAACACATATGAAAATAAATTTTGGATCTCAAGTCCTTCATGCTTTGGTAGGGGAGGCACGTAGCAAACAGGAAATTTGAATGTAACGTTTAAGGCCTCTACAATGTATAATGAAACCACATGTAAGGATAACAGAGCTGTGAGTTAAGCCACCCTACCTCTTTTTTCTCTCTGCCTTTTGAGAGATACATTCTAATAACTAGTAGCCATTAGTTATTTTTCCTGATTCTCCCTCCTCCCACCCTCCACCTTCTGAAAGGCCCCACTGTGTGTTGTTCCCCTTTATGTGTCCATATGTTCTCATCATTTCACTTCCACTTATAAGAAAAAAATGTGGTATTTGGTTTTCTGTTTCTGTGTTGTTCTTTTTTCATAAAAATAAATTTACATATTTCTAGACAATACTAAACAACTGTTTCTTTTCCATTTTGTTTACATTTGGGGTATCAGCTCAACTCAGCATACATAGTTCTATTCTTAAATGCAGTGAGGTAGACAAAATTACACATCTCCAATAGGGTAACAGTTTTCCTTGCATGGAGGAACTATGTTTCTGTTAAGCAATTATTAGAAAAGATCCTCATTAAGTACTTATGTACAAACATGGAAATATATGTGCATTTTAAACTCTTTAATTCTCATGCCAAACTGCTTGTTTATTTAGATGTATGAAAACAGATATGTTTTATTACCAAATATTATTTATTCAACACAATACATTTCTAAGTATAAAATGAAGATAATAGGACTAAAATATTTTTGAGGAGAAAATTTAAATGTTGGTGTAACTCAAAGCAATATCATACACACCTTGCTCTAAATGTAATTGACTTTGGATTTGGGATGCGGAGAGATAGTTTCTTAAAATCGCAGTAACTTTTAATAATTTTAATGCATTTTGAAAGGAGGAAATAGTATTATTATAATGGTGACAAGTATCGGATAATTTTTAGGAATAAAAATTCTCCTTAATGTTTTTGCCACTGTGAACATCTTTAAAGGTGAGGAGATAGAGAAATAGTGATGTTTAGAGAGACTCAGCAAATCTTATACAATAGTGCTGCAAATTTCTGAAAGAAGATGGTTGTAGTATCAGGTGTGCTTTGAGGGTTGGAAAAGTTTCTTTCTTGTTTCTTGCAACCCATTTCAACTACCAATTGTTCTTTTAAGACAATTTATAAAGGTAAACTGTGATATTTGATATTCCATACATAAGAAATTTGAAACATTGATAATTTTGCACAGGATATTTGTGGCTAAAAGTCAGACGTCATCTGCTGCAGGCTTGTTGGGTAGTGATCTCACATGTATACACGTATTTTGCCTTCACATTTATTTTCTAACAAGCAATCAAAGTAGAAAAATGGAAAACCAAATTAAAGAAGATTTATCTTCTACTATTCCAATAAGATAATTAAAACATTTACATTAAGGCAATGAAAGACACAGTTCATTGCCTCATTAGAGACTCAACAGAAAGCATAATGATAATGATTATTTTGATATGTATTCTTGATATAGATGAACAGAATAAATATTTACCATCTATTTTTCTATTTATTCTGTTTATATGTTGATGTAGGCATATACTTTCTTTGTTTATCTAAGTAATTGTTTTCTGTCTTGTATTGGACTGTAGTGAACACTTAATTGCTGAAGAAGGTTTTTTTTTTTTGTTTGGACCCAAGACAGAAGTCAATTTTCCTTAAAAAGAAGAAACATTTAAAAATCTCACCGTTTTGGCATATGTAGAAAATATTAACGGCAAAGGGAGGGATAAGAAAGAAATCAAGAGTAAACTGGGACAAGTAAGAGTAAAGATAATATTTGGTGGTAAGCAGATAGCTGAATGCATTACAGGCAATCAGTATCTTTCAAATAGTTAATAACTTCTCAAATAAAATATGAGTGTTGAGATATTACAGACAGATAATAGTAAAAATTTGACCTAATTTGAACAATTACCCTTTATACCAAGAAAGGATTAGTAGAAATATGGTGAGAGAGGGAGTTAGAGAAGTAAGAGAGAGAGAGAGAGAGAGAGAGAGAGAGAGAGAGAGAGGCTGAAACAGAGAGAAAGAAACATACTGATTAAAAATAGAGAATTAATTTTGAAGTCCATAAGCAAATCTTGTTAGTTCTGATTTCTTTTTTTTTCCTCTTAAACTTTGTTCTAATGGGTCTCAAAATTCTGTGACAGATTTTTCATCAAGTTGTTTCCATTAAAAAAGTACTGATTTTAGGCTGGGTGTGGTGGTTCATGCCTGTAATCCCAGCACTTTGGGAGGCCGAGGCGGGCGGATCACCAGAGGTCAGGAGTTCAAGACCAGCCTTGCCAACATGGTGAAATCCTGTCTCTACAAAAATACAAAAATTAGCTGGGCATGATGGCCGGTACCTGTAATCCCAGCTACTCAGGAGGCTGAGGCGGGAGAATCACTTGAACCTCGGAGGTGGAGGTTGCAGTGAGCTGAGATCATGCTGTTACACTCCAGCCTGGGCAACAGAGTGAGACTGTCTCAAAAAAAAAAAAAAAGTACTGATTTTAAAAACTAATAACTTAAAACTGCCACACACACACACACACACACACACACACATACACACATGGTCCACAAAACATTCTCCTCTCCTTCTGACGGTTTTACGATGCATTGTAATCATTAAACCATTCTTTTACTATTAAACTTAAATGGCCAATGGAAACAAACAGTTCTGAGACAGTTCTTTCACCACTGATTAAGACTGGGGTGGCAGGTACAAGGGATAATATTCACTAGGCTTTGGAGCTTTCTGGGCAGACTTAGTGACCTTGCCAACTCCAGCAGCCTTCCTGTCCTCTGCTTTGATGATACCCATGGCAACTGTCTGTCTCATATGACCAACAGCAAAGTGACCCAGAGGTGGATAGTCTGAGAAGCTCTCTACACACATGGGCTTGCCAGGAACCATATAAATGATGGCAGCATCACCAGACTTCAAGAATTTAGGGCCGTCTTCCAGCTTTTTACCAGAACAGCGATCAATCTTTTCCTTCAGCTCAGCAAACTTGCATGCAGTGTGAGCCGTGTGACAATCCAGTACAAGGGCATAGCCAGCACTTATTTGGCCTGGATGGTTCAGGATAATCACCTGAGCAGTGAAGCCAGCTGCTTCCATTGGTGGGTCGTTTTTGCTGTCACCAGCATTGTTGCCATGACGAACATCCTTGACAGACACGTTCTTGACATTGAAGCCCACATTGTCCCCAGGAAGAGCTTCACTCAAAGCTTCATGGTGTATTTCAACAGACTTTACTTCAGTTGTAACATTGACTGGAGCACCATACAGGGTTTGAGAACACCAGTCTCTACTCAGCCAACAGAAACAGTACCAATACCACCAATTTTTGTAGATATCCTAGAGAAGCAGGTGAAAGGGCTTGTTAGTTGGATGAGTTGGTGGTAGGATGCAGTCCAGAGCCTCAAGCAGTGAGGTTCCACTGGTATTGCCATCCTTACAGGTGACTTTCAGTCCCTTAAACCAAGGCATGTTAGCACTTGGCTACAGTATGTTGTCACCATTTCAACCAGAAATAAGCACAAATGCTGCTGTGTCAAGGTTGCAGCCAATTTTCATAATGTAAGTGTTGACTTCTTTAACGATTTCCTCATATGTCTTCTGGCTGTAGGGTTGCTCAGTGGAATCCATTTTGTTAACACCAACAATTAGTTGTTTCACACCTAGTGTGTAAGCCAGAAGGGCATGCTCATGGGTCTGTCCATTCTTGGAGATACCAGCTTCAAATTCACCAACACCAGCAGCAACAATCAGGACAGCACAGTCAGCCTGAGATGTCCCTGTAATCATGTTTTTGATGAAGTCTCTGTGTCCTGGGGCATCAATGATACTCACGTAGTACTTACTGGTCTCAAATTTCTACAGGGAGATACCAATGGTGATACCAGGTTCATGTTTAGCTTTCAGTTTATCCAAGACCCAAGCATACTTGAAGGAGCCCTTTCCCATCTAAGCAGCCTCCTTCTCAAATTTTTGAATGGTTCTTTTGTCGACGTCAATGCATTTGTAGATCAGATGGCCAGTAGTGGTGGACTTGCCTGAACCTACTTGTCCAGTGATGACAATGTTGATATTAGTCTTTTCCTTTCCCATTTTGGCTTTTAGAGGTAGTTTTCTCTCCCTCTTTTTTTTTTCCATAGGTGAAGTGTCTTTTTAATTGAAAAGCTAACAAACTGTCCAGTTACATTTCCCCAAAAAAACCATAAACTGGGTAGTAACTGAGTCTCTAGGCAATATATTTAAAGCCAAGAGGATTAAAAATAAAATTAAAGAAAGAGAAAACAAGTCCTCAGATGCAATGAAGGGAGCCCTGCTACATACAGGTTAATCAATACAGTGGTTCTCCTTGACTGCAGGAGGTTGGAAGACATTCTAGTAACTCCACTCAGAACATTTACTTCAAGAAGCCTTTTTCCAGTTTCCAACTCATGAATAAAAATAACATTTTGTTAATTCTAGTCCAGAAAACTTTTTTTGCAAGCTGGTTTATTTACAGTGCCAACTTTTAAAAGGTCACTAAAGTTAACTGGACAATAAACTAGGCAGACATTGCTTTACAAAAAAGAGGGAAAGGCCAAAATTCCACTTACAGAGAACCTACAGTTCAGTTTTATTCAAAGAAACTTTTGATCATACTGGAAGAAACTCAGCCATAGGTTTGGAATCTGTACTCAAACTACACATGCAACGAGGACAATATTCCGCTAATACCATTGACTTGCTGCTGCATTTGTCTACTGTTTGTCTAATACTAACAACTATAAATAGAGCAGTGCAACTAGTATTTGGAACAATCCTTACAGTGTTACAGTGTCAGGCATAACATTTCACTTCTCTTCACACTGCTGGTTCTCTTGGTGTACCTGGGCTTCCCACTCTTCAGTAAAGTAATTTTTTTTTTTTTTTTTTATTTTTAGACAGAGTCTCACTCTGTGGCCCAGGCCGGAGTGCAGTGGCGCCATCTTGGCTCCCTGCAAGCTCCCCCTCCCGGATTCACACCATTCTCCTGCCTCAGCTTCCCGAGTAGCTGGGACTACAGGCACCCGCCACCACGCCCGGCTAAATTTTTTGTATTTATTTAGTAGAGACGGAGTTTCACCGTGTTAGCCAGGATAGTCTCAATCTACTGACCTCGTGATCCGCCTGCCTCAGCCTCCCAAAGTGCTGGGATTACAGGCGTGAGCCACAGCTCCTGGCCCAGTAAAGTCATTTTTTAAATTGAAGGTCTTGTGAATCTCCTCAGGAGTTTTCCTGTTGACCATATTGGCAACAGTCTTGCATGTAACATCAAGCAAACCTTTGATGTCTAAGTAGTTTGCAGCCAGAATGAGTTCAAAAAGTGTTCCTTGGTCAACTTTCAGAAATTCTTGGTCCCAAACAGGGATATCGTCTGTTCGCTTTTCTTTGTTTTCATAAACTTTGGGAGGAGGTGAGTCATCCTCATGGTGGGTGCACCACTGAATGACCTTTTTTAATATTGCTGCATTAACATTTGGTAGAGGAACTGGGTCATGATCTCCTTCATCATTCATTCCCAAATCTTCCAACATGGTCTTGATAGTCACAGATTGTTTGACAATTTCCACATCAACTTCAAATATCTCTCCACCAGAACTCTGCAACTTAATTGAAGGCATGGTGTTCTGTGTTAAGGAGACGGCCGGCCGGAGGCTGACTAGAGTTGGGAGGCGACAGCGGAGGAAGAGAAAGGCAGAGGAAGAAGCCACTACAGTGGCGCGACACAGCATCTTTAGAGATAGTTTTCAAGACACCTGTGTTCTGCCAGCAACCTGTTGCAGAAAAAGTAGTTCTGTTTCCATATCTCACTGTTCTAGTCTTACTAGTTTTTCTTTCCAAAAATACTGCAATAGCATCCTAACTGGTCTTGTTGATTTATCACTTATTCTCCTGTGGTCTTTTATTTTCATTGTAACCAAAGGAATCTACTTACAACATAAATATATTGGCTACATCTAAATGCAAGGGTGGCTGAATATTAATGAGCACTGGTATTCTGATTCCATGTTCTCTTATCTCCTGGGAAATTATTTCGGGTTCTGTGTACCCATTCTCATAGCTTCTGTGTGCTTTCCACTTACGACCTTCTTCAGAGCGCTACCTTGTGTTCAGAAGTGCCAATGCCTGACTGCTGCAGAAGTGTGAAAGCTCATCTCTCTTACCTTAAAGCGGTACAGAATTTGCAATGTAATTTATATTACAGAACACCCAAAGAATTAGGATGAGGTGTTGATTTCCCCTGAACTTGCACTTTTGTTTAGCTTTTCTGCTTCCCCGTCCTCCTTATCAGCTTCTTAATAAATCGTTTGCACAAGAATCCACAGCTCAGGGGAATCGCACCTAAAGATGCACCCCTCTTTCCCCTCTTTCCTGATGCGTGAGTTTCCCTGCTCTTCCTTGAACCTGTGCCATGCCCCAACTTCCAGGACTTGTAGATGGTTTTCTTTCTGTCTGGAATGCCATTTTCCCACATGTCCACACAGTTCACATCTTTCCTCCTTCGTGTCTCCACTCAAATACCACTTTTGCAGGGATGTCTTTCATGACCACTCTGTTTTTTACCCTATCCCAGTCCAACATTCATCTTCATATATTTATGTTTGAGAACTAAGTGTTTTCCACACTTGAGTATACATCCCATGTGTCTTCATTCCCCAGCTGCATTCTAGCACACAGTGCAAGAGGCTGATTACATAAAAGGCATTCAGCACATGTTTTAAAATGAAATGTACAAATGAGTAACTATGCAAAACTTAACTACACAGTAAACTGAATAAAATTTTTATTCTATAATTAAGCATTATGTTGCCTGTCTAATGTCCAAAATTAAAGAAATCCTAAATGAACGATCACTGATAAATATCTGGACTAGTTGTGCCTTAACAATTTATTGCAGAAATAATTGTCATCTTCATTGTAGACCTGATAAGCACCACATGCTATAGAATGTTGCCTTAACTAAGCTTACATGGGAGCTGTGACAAATGTACTGCATAACAGTTTATGAAATCACAACTTCTGATAACAGTACTGAACATTAGTTAAATACTCTGCCTGAAACATGCCAATAAGTTGAATATATTTGCTGAAGATAAAATACATGGTATATGGGTCCTCTCACAGAGCTTTGCACTATTAAGAAAATAAAAACCTTTGTGACATAGAATAACCTTGAGAATTAAATTACAATACAAGGAATTGAAAGACAGTAAAACTTTCTCAATAGTTTTATGGGAATGAGCAAGCTTGGAAGGGAATGAGCTGTAAAGATAATGCTGAGGTAGTAAACGCATTAATAAATTAAAAGAGAAAGAGAATCAAAACATGAAATCAAGAGTGAATTTTAAAGGTAACTTGATCAGAACATCAGGAAAAGCTGATGGAGACAGGAGGCTGCTAGAGAATGCTCTGCAGTCAGACTGCAGCTCTAGGTATATATTATCCTTTCTTTCAATTTTGTTTTGTCCTGAAGAGACAGACGTCCTTTGTTACTGGTTTGACTGTCTCTTGGGAACACTAAAAACTGTATGGTAACCTGCAGTAAAGTTAAGTCAAGTTCTCTCTGAGTGACACAGAGTGACAGGGAGTCAGGCTGTCTGTCCATTATTATCCACAATGTGAGTGCCTAAGTTTTAATCTGAACAAGGGACTTATGACTGAACGTATATCACTATATTGGCATATCATATTGACTTTCTGATAATGTTCTAAAGCCAGTTGAGTAAGAGAGAGAAAATGCCACTGGGTACAAATTGTGGCATCAATTCTCTGCCAGACCGATCAATTGGATTTATATATTACCTCCAGCTACAATCTTAAAATCTATAGTTTTACTCTCTCTTCAGTGCACAGCTCACAGCTTAAATAATTGCAGATTCAAATGAATTTTAAAAGGATCGAACAGTCTTAAATTAAAAATGTGTGAACATTGTTGTTTTAACCACTCTTAATTATTTACTAATCTAACTCAATGGATTCACCTTTTCTCCCTTTCTCTCTCTCTCTCTCTTCATTCTTCTTTCTTCCTTTCATTCTCTAATTCCTCTAAGAGCAAAGATTCCATATTCATCCTTCAAATAATTTATAATGATTTTAATCAATAAAATTAATATAATATATACACAGATTTATAGATACTTTAAACTGGCTTATCAAAAACTATCAGAAGTTCTGAATTACAAATTGTTTGCCCTCAGACCTAACTGCCTCTCTCTTGTAATTATAATATTTGAAAATCCATTCATTAGACATCAAAGTTGTATAAGAAAAATTAAAAATACATTTACTGAAAAATGCTTCCAGCAGAATAGAACACTGTAGCCTTTTTTGCATGAAATCTTTGTACAAAATTGCAAAGCTCAGACAGTAACCCAAAACATAATGCCACTTGCAGGAAATTCAACATATATTAGAAAACTTAGGCAAAAGCAAATAACATAAAGGCAATTTTAATGTGTCTCAGAATTTTCCTCCACATTTTTGGATGTTAGGAAACTTTACATGAGAAACAATCTTTTGTTAGAAAAAATATAAAACGTGAATAATTTCAAATTGCTTCAAATGGTGAGTTTTGATAGCTTCATATGTCATAATTTAAACGGATGTTTTTTTAGAATTATATTAATGATTAATATTTACTGAATATTTATGATTCACCAGGAAATATGCTAAGTCATTAATATATGTTAATGTAAACTGCTTTCATGAACATCCAGTACATTAGGGATTCTTATCTCCATTTTACAGATCTATAAACAGAGACCTAAAGATATTAAATAGATTTCTACACTATATGGGACATTGGACTAACATGGAAGACTCTACTCCTTAATAAATGCTTAGAAATCCACAATTTTCAGAAACTAAACAGAATCTCACTAATGCCATGAGTCAATGACGAAACAAAAACAGCTCAATGGAGTCAATGGCTCTATGTTTATGAAATAGATTTCCTCCTCTTTAGAGATTAAGGATGAAATCCCTAAGGTCTATATCTGGTCAGAGATACAGACATAAAGCCTATTTTAATGTGTCTTAAAATTTTTCTCCACATTTTGGACATTAAGAAACATTACATGAGAAACAATCTTTAATTAGAAGATTGTTCCTCTATATCTAGTCAGAGCCAGCTGTAGACCTTAGGGGTTTCATCCTAAATCTCTAATCAGGAGGAAATCTATGTCATAAACCTGTAGGATTATGAACTCGATCTATTTACATTCAGTAGGCAATTATGAAGAGCTATGTTATTCATAAAAGGACAACTAGGAAAATTAAAAGAAAAATATCTGTCAATTTCCTTTGGCCAAATATAAATTGACAAAACAGAAATCTATTTCATAAACCTGTAGGATTATAAACTCGATCTATTTACATTAAGTAGATCATTAAGAAGACCTACCTTATTCATAAAAGGAGAACTAGGAAAATTAAAAGAAAATATCTGTCAATTTCCTTTGGCCACGAAAATACAAATAGGCAAAATGAAAAAATAAAATAGAACCCTCGGGTTAGTCCACTTCCTGTGTGGGATTCAAATTTACACAGACATATACTGCCTAGAGAGAAAGCAGGAAGGACAGTGAAGCCTCCCAGAATGAGTGCTTCCTAACCCAAGGAATGCAGGTTTCCTAAACCAAAACCAAAACCAAAACAAAATCTTCACAAGATAAACTCATACCAATAAAGTATATGAAGAAATGAACCATTATGAGAGAAAGTAAAATGATAAAAGAATCATAATATTTTCACACAACGAATAGAAATAACAATAAAAAGGGATCAAAATATCATGTAGAAAACACAGGACAATGTCAAATTAGACTAGAATGGTTTAAAAAAGAAGCAAAAAATAGTCATAGAAATTACAGAGTTTATTAGTCTGCTCAGGTTACCATGACAAAATACTACTGAATGGGTGGCTTAAGCAACAAACACTTACTTTATCGCAGTTATGAGTGCTGCCTGTCTACGACTATGTTGCCAACATGGTTGGTTTCTGGTGAGGCCTCTCTTTTCAGCTTTTAAATGGCACCTCCCATCTGTCATCACATGACCTTTCTGCGTTTGTGTCCAGAGAGAGAGAGAGCACTCTGGTTTCTCTTCCTCTTCTTATAAGGACACTAGCCTTATTGAGTTAGAAACCCACCCTCTAACCTCATTCAACATTAATTACCTCCTCACAAGTCCTATCTCTGAATATGGTTATATTGAGGAGTAAGGCTTCAAGATTAATTTTGAGGGCATGTAATTAAATTTTTAATAGTTCTCAAAATAAAAAAAAACAAACAAATATGTGACTTGAAACATAGATCTGAGTAAATCATCAACCATGCAGCATCAAATGATAAGTGATAGGTTATATGTAAAGAAGTCATAAAAAAGACATAAAATTACTCTTAAGATTTTGTTATTCCCTTTAATGTTCTGCATTTCCACTGCTTTGTGAAGTCTTTATTTCAAAAGTATCTTTACCTCATTCTCTCCAGTAATTCCTATGAAAATATATTGGTAAAATTATGCCCTCTGGGTTTCTTGTCCAAAAGCCAATTGAAGAAATGTCTGAATAAATAAGCAAATTTGCAGAGAATCATGGTGGCCCATGTCTTAGTAGCATAACTAAGCTAGAATTAGAATTAATATTATTACAATATTGATCTAAAAATGCTTAAAAACCAATACTATTACAACCTTGGTCAAAAATGCTTAAAAACCAAAAATTATTTTAAAGGATTAACTTGCCCAACAAGTATTTTCTTTTTTGTTTGTTTGTTTGTTTTTGTTTTGTTTTTTATTTATTATTATTATACTTTAAGTTTTAGGGTACATGTGCACAATGTGCAGGTTAGTTACGTATGTATACATGTGCCATGCTGGTTTCTAAAAAAGAAAATTCAATGTTATACAAAGAAAGACAAAATCTGAATGCATAATAATGTAATATTCATTATGTATTAGCCCATTTTTATTTTCATGTGAAGAAATACTTGACACTGGGTAATTTATAAAGAAAAAGAGGTTTAATGGATTCACAGATCCACATGGTTGGGGAGGCCTCACAATCATGGCGGAAGGCAAAGGAGGAGCAAAGGCACATCTTATGTGGCAACGGGCAAGAGAGCGTGTGCAGGGGAACTGCCCTTTAGAAAACCATCAGCTCTCATGAGACTTATTTACTATCATGAGAACAGCACGGGAAAAACCCTCCTCCATGATTCAATTACTTACCACTGGGTCCCTCCCACAACACATGGGGATTATGGAAGCTATAATTCAAGATAAGATTTGGGTAGGGATACAGACAAACCATATCACATTACATACAATATCAAGTCAAAAAATAGTAGAAATAAGAGACGATTCTGTGAAGATAGTGGAATTAAAGATACCAGTAATCTCTCTCCACTTAGATAACAGCTGCATGGCCAGAAGCTGTCTGACTAGACTCTGGAGTCTCATGAAGCTTCGCAACTTCCAGAGGAAGACTTAAATGGTAAATCGCCATTACTTTTGGTCAAATTCAGCTCCTTTCTCAGCAGCAGCTACGCATTCCTCACCCTCCAACCTCTTGGCAGACAGTCCTACGCGTGTTCCAGAGCAATTTTCACACAGTTAGCAGGAACCAAGGTGGGTGTGATGGTTAATTTTATGTGTCAAGTGGATGGGTCATGGGGTGTTCAGATATTTGGTCCAGCATTATTCTGGGTGTTTCTATGGAATGTTTGGAATTAGATTAACAATTAAGCTGGTAAAATAAGTAAAGCAGATTTCCCTCTTTAATGTGGGTGAGTCTTATTCAATAAGATCAGGGCTTAAGTACAACAGAAAGGCTGATGCTACTCCAATGAGAAAGAATTATACCTGCCTTACCATCTTCAAAGTAAAACATTGGACCTTCCTGGGTCTTGAACTTGCTGACTCACCCTTCAGATGTTAGGACTTGTCAGACTCTATAACTGTGAGCCAATTATATAGATAGGTAGATAGGTAGATAGACTATATATGTGTGTGTGTGTGTGTATATATATATATATATATACACACACATACATACACACCATAATATATTAGTTTAATATATGCTACATATTGTATATGTAATATTGCATATATACAGCATATAATTATATATAAAACTGATTCTGACTAATTCCATGGGCAATAAGTATTCTGCCTTCCATCTATCAGTGATTCTAACCTCATATCTGTATTCTAACCTCATGTTTCTGATCGTGGAGGTACAGATACAGAGGCAGGTAGACATTTTGTACCCCGTAACCTTGTTGTAAGCCTCTCTCCTTAAGCTGAAGTAATTTTCAGGGATTTAAAAGGCTAATGCATTATCCACTCTCCTTTCAGTTTTTTTTTTCTTTTTTCTTCTTTTGGGAATCAGTCATTTAATACTAGGATATTAAAAAAAAAACAGCATATAGGGAAAATGAGAAGGTCTCCATGCATGCCCAGGGAAAGGTGCAGGCTCAGAAAACACCTCAGAAGATTTCAGGTTTACACTTCAGATTGATCCTCAGTATAAAGACAGTTGATAACAATAAAAAACATAATACAATGAAAACAAAACCAAACAAAAAACATGAAAAAGGGGAAAAATCTGATTACCAGAGTTACATTATTAGATGGAACGTACTATTTTTATCAAAAATATTACAGAGCATGCAAAAAATGAGAAACTAAGGCCCATTCAAAGGAAAAATACAAAACCTACAGAAACTGTACCTTAGAAAGACCAGCTGGCAGAACTACAAGACAGACTTTAAAATAAGTGTCTTAAAGATGCTCAAAGGTCTAAAGGATAATGTAGAGAAAGTTAAGAAAATGATGTATGGGCAAAATGAAAATATAAATAAAATGATTGGAAACCTTAAAAAAATCAAAGAGAAATTTCAGAGCTAAAATATAAAAGTACTGAAATGAAAATTTCACTAGAGGGATTCAAGGGCATATATGAACAGAAGAAAGAATCAGTGAATTTGAAGATAGGACAATTGGAAATAATAGTCTTAAGATAACAGAAAGAAAAATAATTGAATAAAAGTGAACAAAGCCTAAGCTAGCTGAGGACATCATGAAATGGACAAACAGCCACAACCCAGTAGTTGCAGAAAAGAGAAAGAGAGAGAGAAGTAGTGTCGAGGTTATTTAAAGAAATAATGGTTAAAAACTTTGAAAGTTTGATGAAAGACATGAATATAAACATTCGAGAAACTTAATGAACTCTAGGTAGAATGAATACAGAGAACCACACTGAGAAACATTACAATCAAACTATTGAAAGACAAAAAAAGAGAGAGCCTTGAAAGCAAGAAGATGAATGACTTAATAACAAACAGGATTTTCGATGAGATCATCAGCAGATTTATCACCAGAAATTTTGGAGGATGAAAGGGAGTGGGCTAATATTTTCAAAGTGCTGAAACAAAAGAAAACCCTGTGGACAAAGAATCTTATATCCAGAAAAACTATCTTTCAAAATTGACAAAAAAAAAAAACCACTAAGAAAGTTTGCTAAAGAAAACAGCTATAGAAGTTAGCTAAAGAAGTTTGTTACCACTAGATCTGTCCTGTGAGAAATGCTAAAGGGATTACTGAAGGTTGAAATAAAAATAATGCTAAACAGTAACTCAAAGTCATGTGAAGAAATAAAGATCTCAGTAAAGGTAAATGCACAGGAAACTATAAAATCTAATATTATTTTAATAATGGTTTATAACTCAATCTTTTTGGTGTGTGATTTAGGAGACTAACACATTTTAAAAATTATTAGTCTAAAAGATAGTATTATTTTACCTTTGGTTTTTAATACCACATTTTGTTTTCCACGTAATTTAAGAGACTAATGCACTAAAAATGGCAGTTTCTGTTTCTGGACACAGAGTATATGAGGATGTAATATTGTGACATTAATAACTCAAAGGAGTGAGGAGAGGGCTGTGAAGCAGAAGAAAATTTGTATGTTATTGAAGTCAAATTGGTATACATTCAAATTAGAGTGCTTTAACTTTATGATAATAAATGTTGTCTCCAGGGCAACCACAAAAAAAAATCCTTATACAACATACACAAAAGGCAATGAGAAGGAAATTAAAATCTTTTCCTATGAAAAATCAGTTAAGCAAACAGAAAAGAAGATAGTAATGCAGAAGATGCAGGACAAAAAGCTATATGGCCTGCAAGAATCAAACAGCACAATAACAGCAGTAAGACCTTTCTTATCAGTAATTACTTTGAATAGAAATAGATTCAACTCTCCAATCAAAAGAAAGTTGATAGAATTGATTTTTTAAAAACATAATCACTAGATGCTACTGTATATGGTGTCTATAAGTGATTCATTTTAGATCCAAAGGCCACAATTAAAGTGGAAGGATGTAAAAAGTTATTTCATGCCAATAGGAACTAAAGGTGAACAGAGGTGGTCATGCTAATATCAGACAGAATGGGCTTTAAATTTAAAAAGTTACAAGAGACTGAAAAAGATATCATATATTAATAAAATATTTGATACAGCAGGAAAATACAAAAATTATACACACATATATAACTAATAACAGACCATCAAAATATATGAAGAATAATTGAAAAAAAATTGAATGGAGAAATAAAACATTCTAATAAATAGTTCTAATAATAATAGTCAAAGACTTCAATCATGGACAGAATAATAATACAGATGAATAGCTCAATAAATGAACTATACCTAAGATGTAGAGACATATACAAACACTCTACCAAACAGCAACAGAAAACACATTCTTTTCAGGTGCATAAGGTATATTTTCTGATTGGATATTAGACCACAAATTCAGTCTCTATGGATTTTATTTATTTATTTATTCATTTGAGACAGAATCTCAAAAAAGACAGAGTCTATCACTCAGGCTGGAGTGCAGTGGCACCATCTCGGCTCACTGCAGCCTCTGCCTCATGGTTGTAGTGATCCTCGCCTCAGTCACTGTAATAGCTGGGATTACAGGCTTGAGCCACCACATCCATCCAATTTTTGTATTTTTAGTAGAGACAGTGTTTTGCCATATTGCCTAGGCTGGTTTCAAACTCCTGATCTCAAATGATCTGCCCGCCTCAGCCTCCCAAAGGATTGGAATTACAGGCGTGAGTCACTGCACTTGGCCTCTATAGATTTTAAAAGATTAATGTTGTACGAACTATCTACTTTTACAACTATAGGATGAAATTAGAACTGAATAATAGAAGAAAAAAATGGAAAATTTACACGTTTGGGGAAATTAAACCATAAATTTTTAAACAATCAATGGATAAAATAAATAACAAGAGAAATGAGAAAATGTTTAGATGAATGATAATGAAAACGTAACATACCAAAACTTATGAGATGCAACACAAGCAGTGCTAAGGGGGAAATTTATAGCTATACATGCTTACATTTAAAAAAGAGAACGACTGCCAACAACCTAATGTTACAACATAAGGAACTAGGAAAATAACAAAATAATCCAAAGCTAGCAAAAAAAATGAGATAACAATGATTAGAGAAAACGTAAATTAAATAGGAGATAGAAAAAATTGAAGGCAGTCAATTACTAAAATCAGAAATAAAAGTATGTAAAATAAAATATTAAAATTGTAAAAATCAGTACAAATTCTACTGAAATAAAAAAGTATTATGAAAGAGTACCATAAACAACTTATGATAAAATGTTGGATAACTTAGACAAATTGCACAAACTTCTACACATACGAAACCTACAAAAACTGAACCATGAAGAAATGGAAAACCTAAATAGACATACCTAACAGGGAGATTGAATCTGTAATTTAAAAAAATGAACCATGAAGAAATGGACCTAAACAGACATACCTAACAGGGAGATTGAATCTGTAATTTAAAAAAATGAACAGTTCTGATAATTTCACTCATGAATCCTATCAAATATTTAAAAATTAAAAAGAAGGAAATAGTAATTCATTCCATGAGGCCAACACTGTTTACATATGAGAGCCAGATAAGAACACTGCAAGAATAGAAAGAAACAAACACAAAAACAGACCAATATACCACATTAACATTGATGCAAAATTCCTCAATAAGATACTAGCAAACGAAATTCAGCAGCATATTAAAGCAATTATACATTATAGCCAAGTATGATTTATTCCTGGAATGCTGCCAGATGATTCAACATCAAAAAATCAATTATTCTAATATATCACATTAACAGGATGAATGGGAAAAACACATGGTTTTCTTAATTTATGCAGGAAAAAATTCAAAATGCTTTCATCATAAAACCTCTCAACAATCTAGGAACAGAAGGAAATTTCATCCATATAATAAAATCCATGTATAAACAACCCACAGTGATCCTCATACTCAATGATTGAAGACAAAATCATTTTCTCTAAAATCAAGAGCAAGGCAAGGATGCCTGCTTTCATCATTTCTATTTAACAGATACTGAAAATCCTAGCTAGAGCAATAATGCAAGGAAAAGAAATAAAAGTCATACAAATTAGAAATAAAGAAGTAAAATTATTTTTATTCACAGATAATATAATATGTAGAAACCCTAAATATTGCACAAAAAATTGTTAGAACTAATAAATGAATTCAGCAAAGTAGCAGAGTACAAAGCCCAAATCAATGGCATTTCTACACACTAACAATTAAAAATCTAAACAGAAAATTATGAGAACAATTTCATTCATAATCACCTTAAAAAGAATGCAATACTTGGGAATAACCAAGGACGTGAAAGACTTGTATAATAAAAACTAAAAAACACTGTTGAAAAAAAATTTTTTAAATAAGAACTGGAAATATAGCACTTTTTCATAGATTGTAAGGCTTAATATTGTTAAAGATGCCAATACTACCCAGTTATCTACAGATACAATGAAATCCCTATTAATATCCCAACAATGTTCTTTAGTTCAAAACTTAATTAAAACAGTGATACCAGAATTACAGACAGACAGATGGACTAATGGATTAGAATAAGGAGCCCAGAAATAAGTCCTCACATAACATGGTCAAAGGATTTTTAACAAGAATGCTAAGGCCATTCAATGGGGGAAAGGCCAGTTTTTTTCAGCTAATGGTGCTATAAAATTGAATATTATCTCAAAAAAATAAAGTTGGATCCTTACCTGCAACCATATACAAAATTAACTAGAAATGTATTAAACATTTAAACATAAAAGCTAAAACTAAAAATCCTAGAAAAAAACAGAAAAAATATTCATGATATTAGATGTGGCAGTGATTTCTTGATTATGACACCCAAGGCACAGGCAAGAAAAGAAAAAAAAAGTTTAAAAAGCTACATTTGTGTATCAAAGAACATGTCTATCCACAGACTGAAAAGGCAGCCTAGAGAATGGGAGAAAATATTTGCAAACCATGTATCCAATAAGGAAACAATATCTAGAATATTTAGAGAATTTCTAAAATTCAACAACAAAAAATGAAACAACCCAATTAAGAAAAGAACAAAGGACTTGACTGACATTTCTCCAAAGGTGATATACAATTTTAGTATATGTACTGCCGAAGCGAGCACCAAAGGGGATATACATATAGTCTTTTTGACACAAGAAAATATGCTCAATATCACTAATCATTAGGGAAATACATATCAATACCACAAGATACCATCTCACAGTTATTAGAATAGCTAGTATTAAAAAAAAGAAACAAAATAATAAATATTGGTGTGGATGTGGAGAAATTGGAACTCTTGTGCACTGTTAATTGGAAGGTATAATGGCTTAGAAATAACAGATGATGAAATTATAAACACTAAATAATAAACATTAAAATAACAATTTTAAAGACCCTCAATAATGTAAAGAAAACAAAATACGTGATGAAAAATTAAAGACCAAAAATTTAAACTTCAAGAGATTAAAAAACACAAAATCTGAAGTGATCAGTTCACTAGACAGACAAGGATAGATTAGATATTCAGAAATAAAGATGAATGAAGTTAAAGAATTAATGTTAGAAACTGTTTTAAATAAAGAACAGAGAGCACAAAGACTAGGAAAAAAGTCTCTATGATCTGTGAACAATTTAGGCAATTGCACCAATGTGTAATATGTATTCTAGAAAAGGACTAAGGATCATATATTTGATGATACAACTGCCAAATTGTTTGAAAACCCATATTCCTAAGAAGCTCAACAAACCCCAAGCAGAATAAAACAACAACAAAATACCAAAATATATTACAATGAAATTGCTGAAAACCAATATTTAATTGAAAAATTATAAGCACACTCAAAGAAAACATATATTTATGAATAGCAGCAATTTTCTCAACAGAAATTATGCAAACAAGAAGACAAATCATATCAACAGTGCTGAAAAAATACTGTAGATCTACAATTGCATATCTAGCCAAAATATCTTTCAAAAATAAAGGAAAATGAAAACTTTTTAAAAGGAAGGCTGGAATAATTAATGATGCAGTCTTACCTTATAAGACACGCTAAAAGAAGTGGAAATAGTGATACTAGTGGAAAATTGAATTTACACAAAGAAAGAAAAGTCCTGGAAATGGTGAAAATGGGGTTAATGTGGCATATTTAAAATCATTTTTAAATTATTTAAAGGATAATTAACTGTGCAAAGCAAAACACAGTGGTAACATTTTGCAGGATTTATAAAGAATGAAACAATACAAGGCATTAAAATGACAGCATAAATGATGAGATGGGGAAATTTCAGTATAATGTAGGGTGATATGTGAACTTGTATAATGCTATTGAAAGATGTACTCTCATAAATTAAAGGTATATGTTATAATCCCAACAGTATCCATTAAACAAAACAAGCAAAGAAAATAAAAACAAGGAGAGATAGCAAATAAGCCAATAGAGGAGATAAAATAAAATGCATAAAAATATTAATAATTTAAAAAGGGGAAAATTTACAAAAACAGATGAGAAAAACAGATGAGAAACAGCAAGATGAGATATTTAAATAAAACAGATTTATATTATATTAAATAGAGTCCAAACAAAAAAATTAAAAGAAATAAATTGTTAAACTGAATAGAAAGCAAGGCCCAATTACATGCTGTCTACAAGAAACTTGGCTTGACTACTGACAAAAATAAATTAAGAGAAAAAGAATAAAAATATTTTATTATGCAATATTTGCTCACAAGAAATGTGGAATAATTATATTGACATCTAAATAAACTTCAGAAAAAGAGATATTACCAAAGATAAGGAGGAAAATTTCATAATGATAAGGAGTCAATGCTTTGAAAGAGATAATTCTAAAAGTGTATATATTAAACAACTGAGCTCAAAAAATAGTGCAAAAATAAATAGAAATTAAAAGAGAAATAGATAAATCACAATCAGATTTGGAGAATTGAAACATCTCTCTTTCTCTCTGGAATTTTTTTTAAGTAGAAAGAAAATTACTAAGATTATAAAAACCTAGATAGCATTATAATATAACTTGATCTAATTGACATATTCAAAATACTATACCCAAAAGTAAGAGAATACTCATGTTTTCCAACTTTACATGAAACATTTACTAAGATATATTCTAAAACAGTACATAAGTCTCAAACAATATAGAAAAATTGAAAATATATAAAGTATATTCACTTATCATAATGAAATAAAAAAAAACAGTAAGGGAAAATGTTTGAAAAATCCCAGATTTACAGAACAGTCTTCTAAATATTCCATGGTGAAAGCCCCAAGAGAATAAGAAAATACTTTGTATTGACTGATAAAGAAAACACAATGTATCTCTAATTGAAGAATGCACCTAAAGTTTAGGAAAAAAATATGGCTATAAATGATTATATGGGAAAAAAGAAATTTAAATATTAATGAATTGTCTACCAAACAATTAAAGAAGAAATAATACCAATTATACACAAATTCTTCCAGGTTAAATTGGAGGGGATATTTCCCAAATTATTCTATAAGGTCCTAATTATCCTGATGCCAAAAACCAACAGTACTAAAATTAAAAAAAAAAAAAATCCCTTATACACCTAGATGTAAAATAACCTTGACAATGATTTAGCAAATTAAACTCAATAATATACAAAAAGGATAAAGACCAGGCGTGGTGGCACACGCCTGTAATCCCAGCACTTTGGGAGGCCGAGGCGAGCGGATCACCTGAGGTCGGGAGTTTGAGACCACCCTGAGCAACGTGGAGAAACCCTGTCTCTACTACAAATACAAAATTAGCCAGGCATTGTGGCTCATGCCTGTAATTCCAGCTACTCCGCAGGCTGAGGCAAGAGAATTGCTTGAACCTGGGAGGTGGAGGTTGCGGTGAGCTGAGGTTGCGGTGAGCTGAGATCGCGCCATTGCACTCCAGCCTGGGCAACAAGAGAAAAACTCCGTCTCTCAAAAAAAAAAAAAAAAAAAGGATAAAATATAAATAAGTGGGAGATTATCTCATTAATGCATGGGTGATAGCATTTAAAAATCAATCAGTGAAATTCTTCCTACTAAAAGACTAAAAAATGACAATCATCTTCATAGACATAACAAAAGCATTTGACAAAATCCATAAGACATTTATCATAAAACTCCAGCAAAGCTGGTATGAAAAGAAGCTTTCTCAACTTGATAAAAAGGTCATCTATGAAAAAATACCGTAGATATTATCATAACTAAGAATAAAATACTAAATCTGTTTTCCCTAATATCAGGAACAAGAAAAATGTCTACTTTAAGCACTTTTTTTTCAACATTGTATCAAAAACTGAAGGGTCAAAGATTTACTCCACTTGAAAGCTACTCAGCTTCTACAATTTTATTGATGATGGCAAAAGATATGAGACTCTGGGTCAGAGACAAAGAACTTTATTCCTCAAAACACAATGACCAGAATTGTTATCATCAAGATGGCTAATTAGAAGTGTTCAATGCTCTTCTTCACAAAGATAAAACAAAACAACAAATAGATAACTTCATTTTGAATGGAGTGTTTAAGAGAGAACACTGGAATTTTGCAAAGAAGTGACAAAGACTCTCTGAAACATGGAAACATAGGGTGGCATCATAGAGAGGAAAGCAAAGCACTCAGCAGGGATTGGCCCAGAGCCATTAGGGACTCCTCATTGTGGTAAATAGGTAAATGGGAGATCTCCAGCAGTCCCCATGACTAATTATTAATACCACCACAGATGCCTGCAATTCTAACTACAGAAGAGTCATACAATTTTCACGGGCCCTGAGCTTACTATACAGGGGGCCACCTGGGGCCCATATGATGAATTGCTCCAGACAGAAAACAGCTGGTTCCCCCTACTCCCCAGGACCCAAGCTGCTGTAGCATGGTATCATTTGGAGAATGGAGCCACTGCTGAAAAGCATGCTGTCCTGGGGGCTAGTAGCCCCCGCATCTCTATATCTGTGGGGCCCAGCCATCATCCCACCATGTGCACACAATAAGCTGTAACACCATGACTCCAGCTGGATCCAGCAGTATAGCTATATTCCTTGTACCTCAGCCTGTGCAACACGCTGTGTCCCCCAAACCAGGTGATCTAACATAGCAGAGAGCTGCCTCCAAAACCATAAAAACTGAAATGTGTGCTTTCCAAGGCCTCGGAGCTGGCTTCCTGGCATCTACCACCGCTAGCTAACCTACATGATTAGCTAGTGGAGCTATTTAGCAACATGCACACACTGCCTAGGGCTCAAGAACTGGCCTGTCAGGCACCTACTGTCAGTGACTTCATCTCCAGAAAAGTCACACCACTGCCTCCATAAACACCTTCAGTCTAGTCCACTAAAGTACTTGCAAATATCAATGACACTGATTACAGATGAAAAAATTACACAAAGATTACACTACTGAATCCACATAGAAGCAAATCTTAAGGAACTCACCCAACTGACACTATAGGTCACATATAGGAAAAAGTATTTCCCTACAAAGGCTGCTTCCTAAAATTGAAAGAAGCAACTGTTTCACCGGAGGCACAGATTTTAATGTTGTGACACAAGAAACATGAAAAAGCAAGGAAACAACACCCCAAAAGAACACAATAATTCCTCAGTAGTAGACCCTAAAGAAAATAATTATGAAATGCTTAAAAGAAATTCAAAATAATAATCTTAAGAAAACTCAGCAAGATATAAGAGAGTATAGATAGATAATTCACTGAAATCAGGAACACAATTCATTATCTGAATGAGATTCAACAGAGATAGATATAAAAGGAAACAAACAGAAATCTTGGAGCTGAATAATTCAATGAATGAAATTTTAAAATATAATAGTGATCTTCAACAATAGTCTAGATCAAGAAGAAAAATTTCTGACCTTGAAGGCAAGTATTCTAAAATACTCCAGTAGCCAAAAAGCAAAAAAAAAAAGAATAAAAGAAAAGTGTTCAGGACTTATGGGACATCATTAAGCCAGCAAATACTAGCATTATGAAAGGTTCAGAAAAAGAAAAGATGGAAAAAGCATAAAGAAAGTATTTAATGAGATAATAGCTAAAAAAATTCCAAAGTCTTGGGAGAAATATAGACACCTAGATCCAGAAATCTCAAAGATCCCGAAGAGATTCAACAGAAAAAGGTCCTTTCCAATGCACACTATAGTCAAACTGTCAAAAGTCAAGGAAAAAGACAGAATTCTAAAAATAGCATGAGAAAAGCATCAAGTAACACATAAGGAAATACCCACTAGATTGACAGTACATTCCTCAGCAGAAACCTTCCTGTCCAGGAGAGAAAAGGAAAATATATTAAAAGAGCTGAAAGGATAAAAAAAAAAAAGAAAAAGAAAAAGAAAAAAAACAGCCTACCAAGATTATTAGTCTCAGCAAAACTACACTTCAGAAATGAAGGAGAAATAGTCTTTTCCACACAAGCAAAATCTGAGGGTATTCATCACCACTAGACTAATCTTACAATAAATGCTTAAGGGAGTCTTAGATCTGAAAGCAAATGAAAGATAACTATCACAATTTAAACATGTGAAAATATAAAACTCACTAGTAGAGCAAATACACAAATGAGAATGAGAAATGATGCAAATGTAATTATGACAGAAAACCACCAAACCACAAAGATAAGCAATAAAAGGAGGAAAGATAAAAACAACAAGAAGACATTTTTTTAAAATTACAGCAGTAAATCCTCACCTATTAATAATAACCTTGAATGTGCATGAATTATTTTCCTCATTTAACGGTTAGGCTTACTGAATGAATTAAAAAAGCTAGATCCAACTGTATGCCTACAAGAAACTCACTTTACCTGGAAAGACAAACATAGATTTAAAGAGACAAAATGGAAAAAGCTATTCCACACAAACATAAATTTAAAATGAGCAGGATTAGTTATATTTACATGAGATAAAATAGACTTCAAGTTAAAAACTGTAAAAAGAAACAAGGAGCATCATTATATAATAATAAATGGATTAATTTAGCAAAAGTATATAGTAATTATAAATATATATATATATACACACCAAACACTGGAACACCCAGATATATAAAGCAAATAATATTCAATTAAAACAAAGAGATAGATTCCAATACAATAACAGCTAAGAACTTCAACACCCCACTCTCAGCATTGGCCAGATCATACAAACAAGAAATCAACAAAGAAATATTATATTTAAACTGCAATATAGACCAAATGGACCCAACAAACATTAACAAAATACTTCACCCAACTGCTCTAGAATACACATTCTTCTCATCAGCAAGTTAAACATTATTCAGGATAGGCCGTATATTCAGCCACAAATCAAGTCTCAACAAATTTTAAAAATTAAAAATCATATCTAGTATTTTTTTCCTGACCATAATGGAATAAGACTAAAAATCAATAACCAAGAGAAACTTTGGAAACTTTACAAACACATGGAAATTAAACCAAATACTCTGAATGACCAATGGGTCAAAGAAGAAATCAAGAAGGAAATTAAATATTTTTTGAAAAACTGAAAAGAGAAACACAGCACACCAAAACCTATGAGACACAGCAAAAGAAGTATTATGAGAGAAGTTAAAAGAGATAAATGCGTACATAAAACGGTAGAAAGACTTCAAATAAACAACCTAACAATTCACACCAAGGAAACTAGAAAATAAAAAACAAATTAAACACAAAATTAGTAGAAGAAAAGAAATAATACTGACGAGAGCAGAAATAAAATTGATACAAAAAACAGAAAAATCAATGAAATAAAAGTTGGTTTGTTGAAAAACAAAATAAAAACCTTAGCTAGACTAAGAAAGAAAAGGAAAATACTCAAAGTTAGAAATGAAGAAGGAAGCATTACATTTGAAACCACAGTAATACAAAGAATTATTAGAGACTGCTATAAACAATTATATACAACCAAATTGAAAAACCTAGAGGAAATGGGTAAGTTCCTGGGCACATAAAAACCTACTAAGATTGAATTCATTTTTGGTTTGTTTTGTTTTTCTATTTCAGGAAAATAGAAAACCTAAACAAAACAAAAAATGAGTTAGGCCACAAATCAAGTTGTCTAATGAGTATTGAGATTGAAACAACAATAAAAAGTCCCCCAACAAAGAAAAACCCAGTACTGGATGGCTTCACTGATGAAGAAAGAGGTTTAATTGACTCAGAGCTCTGCATGGCTGGGGAGGCCTCAGGAAACTTACAATCATGGCAGAAGGGGAAGCAGGCATGTCTTACATGGTGGCAGGTGAGAGAGAGCATGAGAGAGGGGACCTTCCAAACACTTATAAACCATCAGATGTCGTGAGAACTCACTCACTATCATGAGAACAACATGGGGGGACTGCCTACATGATTCAATCACCTCTCACCAGGTCCCTCTGTTATCATGTGGGGATTATGGGGATTACAATTCAAGATGAGATTTGGGTGGGTCCCAAGAGCAAATTTTAATCCAATCGACTTTTTGCTGGAATTCCACCCATAACATGTAACCAACTAGGCTGGCCTAGAGTTAGTGTTAGGAGAAAAAAGATTCATCATTCCCGGAAAATAACAGGGTGAAATTACTAATTTAAAAAATAAATACATACAACTTTCTTCCCTCTTTTTCTTGATGCTAACACAGAAAGCAGCTGAGAGGAGATGATCCCTTTCTGGAAACATGCACATTAAGTGACCCAAATACATTACTAAGATATATCAAACAGGGTTAGTTGAAGGAGGTAGACAGATTTTTTTTATTCTAATAGGTTAGAAGGTTATTTCAGTGCTTCCCAATATCAGATTCATGTTGATGGTATGAAGTGTGAAGGATCCATTAAATATCTTAACTATCAGGTCATTGTAGATATCTCTGAAAAAAATACTATTGTCAGCCGGGCACAGTGGCTCACACCTGCAATCCCAGCACTTTGGAGGGCCGAGGCAGGCGGATCACGAGGTCAGGAGATGGAGACCATCTGGCTAACACGGTGAAACGCCGTCTCTACTAAAAATACAAAAAATTAGCCAGGCGTGGTGGTGGGCGCCTGTAGTCTCAGCTACTCAGGAGACAGGCAAGAGAATGGCATGAACCCGGGAGGCGGAGCTTGCAGTGAGCTGAGATCGAGCCACTGCCCTCCAGCCTGGGCGACAGAGCAAGACTCCGTCTCAAAAAAAAAAAAAGAAAAAAAATACCATTGTCAAACAACAATTGATCTAGAAAACAAATGCATAACACAAATTAGTTTTAAGGGCTATAAACATCTGTCTATTTAGTCTTCTATTTTACTTTATAATGTTTTATAGGTTTCAATATACACATCTTAACACAACTTTGGGTACATTTGTTTCTACGTATTTTATTTTCATTTTTAATGGGATTGGTAAATTTCTTTTTCTAATTGTTCATTACTAATATTAACATAGAACTAATTTTTGCATAGTGAACTTATATTCTGTGAGCTTACTAAATTGACTCAGCCAAGAAGATTTTATGTAGATCCTTAGTGTTTGTATGTACATAATCATGTTGCCTGAAAATATGAACAGTTATACTCTTTGCACTATAAACTTTGTACCTCTTTTTCTTTTGCTTGCCTTCTTTCACTGGCTAGGATCACTAGTATAATGTTGAGGAGAGGTAATACACCATTATTGTTGTTTTCTCTCTGGTCTTAGGTATACCACTAAGATAAAAGTGTAATTTTATCTATGGTTTTGTGGGATTTTTCCTTTCTAACAACATCCATAGTCAGTTTAAGATGTTTTCCTTCTATCCCCATATTCCTATTTTGCTGAGAGGTTATTTTATTATCCTTACTTTCCTTTTTAAAATGTGAATGGGCAGAGACTTTTATTAAAATATTTATTTGGATCTTTTAAAGTCCTCTTAGGGTTTTTCTGTTTTCTCTTTTATTTTATCATGTGATGAATCACATTGTTTGATATCTTGGACTTTAAACCAGCCTTGCATTGATAGAATAAATCCACTTGTTTATTATGTATTACCTTTTACATATATCATTGACTTAAATTGGCTTAAATTTTAAAGTGATTTTCACATCTATGATTATGACAGATTTATAATTCTCTTCTCTTGTTAATTACCTCATTTTAGTATAAGGAAATACCAGCCTTGTAAATATAGTTGAAACATGTTTCCTAATCATAGTTTCTTTTTTTTTGAGGGAGGAGGTGTTTGTATTGGTAATGCTCTCTCTTAAAAGTTTGATAGAATTCATCTGTTAATCTATATAGCATTTTCTTTATGAAAGCTATAATTTCAATTTGCTTAATAGGGAAAGGAGTTTTCAAGTTTTAAATTTTTTCATTGGTCATATTTGGTAATCTGTGTGTTTCAAGAAATTTATCAATTTTAATTTTGCCATCTAATTCATTGGAATAAAGTTGGTTTATATGTCTCTGTTTTGTTATTAAAGTCTGTAGAATCTGTAATATGACCACTCATTTTGTCCTGATATTAGTAATTTATACTTCCCCCTGTATTCTTGGCAATCTACCTACAGGCATATACATTTTATTAATCTTTTCTAAGAGCCTGCTTTAGGGTTCATTGATATTCTTTATTTTTAACTTTTTTAATCTCATTGAATTATACTCATCTTTATTATTTTCTTCCTTCTACTTACTTTAAACTTTGATTTTTTTTTCTAATTTCCTAAGGAAGAGTTTCAATCATTGATTTTAAATTGTTCTTATTTTATTTCATTTAACAGTATGTCTTGCCCTCTAGGTACTTCTTTAGCTGTGTCTCAAAAAGTCCTATATGCTGTATCTTTATTATTATTTTGTTCCCATCTTTTAAAATTTTCATATCATTCCATTTTCAGCTACTAGATTTTTAGAAGTGTGATGTTTAATTTTCAAATATTTTGGGATTTATGGTTATATTATTGTTACTGATTTCTAATTTATTTCTGGTGATTCTGAAAGTTACCTTTCTTTGCTGTTTCAATTTTATGATTGTTCTCTGCAGATGGTAATCTTAAAAGGTCTGTACATTGAATGGAAATTATAAAGTTATGAGAGATTTTTAAAGAAAATAATCTTGTAGATAGTGAAAACTAAACATCAAAAATATGAAAAGTTTTAAATCTAAAAATATTAATAGAAAGTCATTCATATGTTTTTCATATTATAAACTTCAGGTCACTAATCCAAATATACTAAATAATAACGGTTATTATTGAACTTTGGTGCCTGTATTTATTTTTTATTTTATTTTATTTATTTTTTTGAGACGGAATCTTGCTCTGTTGCCCAGGCTGGAGTGCAGTAGTGCGATCTCAGCTCACTGCAGCTCCGCCTTCCTGGTTCACGCCGTTCTCCTGCCTCAGCCTCCTGAGTAGCTGGGACTACAGGCACCTGCCACCATGCCTGGCTAATTTTTTTTATTTTTAGTAGAGATGGAGTTTCACCGTGTTAGCCAGGATGATCTCAATCTCCTGACCTCGTGATCCACCTGCCTCGGCCTCCCAAAGTGCTGGGATTACAGGCGTGAGCCATCTGGCCCGGCCTGGTGTCTGTCTTAAAGGTACTATACATTTGTTATAGAAAGTTTTCTATTAATTATTAGAAAGATTGGGAAGGATCAAAGATAGATTAAAATTTAGAAAATATAGGGCCAGGTGCAGTGGCTCATGCCTGTAATCCCAGCACTTTGGGAGGCCAAGGCGATAGATCACCTGAGGTCAGGAGTTCAAGACCAGCCTGGCCAACACTGTGAAACTCCGTCTCTACTAAAAATACAAAAATTAGCCTGGTGTGGTGGCATGCACCTGTAATCCCAGCTACTTGGGAGACTGAGAAAGGAGAGTCACTTAAACCCGGGAGGCGAGAGCTGCAGTGAGCCAAGACCACGCCACTGCACTCTAGCCTGGGCAACACAATGAGAATCTAAAAGAAAAAATAAGAAAATATCTCTTCCTCTTTTATATTTCATGTTACTGTGCCTAAATCAAATATATTCAGCTCTCCACATCTGTGGGTGTTGTACCCACAGCTTCAACCAACTGCAGATTGAAAAATTTTTTTTAAATGCGGGCTTGCATCTGTATTAAACATGCGCAGACATTTTTCTTATCATTATTCCCTAAAGAATACAATGAAACAACTATTTACATAGCATTTACATTGTATTAGGTACTATAAGTAATTTAGAGATGACAAAGCATATGGGAAGATGTACATAGGTTATGTGCAATTACTGTGCCATTTTATATAAGAGACTTGAGCATTTGCAGATATTTGTATCTGTGGGGTTTTCTAGAAACAATCCCAAGTGAATAAGGATGAAGAACTGGATTGGACTGCTATAATTTCATTTGAATAACACTTGGTAGTGGAAAAGAATAAGAAATATATTCTATGTAAATTTATTTTAGTTAAGTTGTATTTTATTAGCATTAAAGTAGCACACACATGCACACCAGATCATACAGAAAACTTCTCTGATAGTTGTGTTTTCCACCTTCTGCAACTAAATAAAACTGGCTCAGAGTTAAGAATCTTAAAAAAGAAAAACAACCTGGTGCAGGGTGATTTTGTGGTATTTTTTTTGTTTGATTTCCATTATCTGTACCCCATTACTGATTCCATAGGGTGTGCTTATGACACTTATGACATTTAAAATGCAAAATACTAAAATATTAAGATAAAAGAGCCATTGTACATTACAACTTGAATATTAGTGCCATGAACCAAAATACAATTTTAGTTTCTACTGGTAGTCAAATTGTGTGTAAGCAATTTTTGAAATTTCTCTTTTCTGTCTTAATTAATATAGTGTAATAAATGTGCCTTTTTATGATTTAACAACTTTGTGTTCTGAGAACATATTATAAACAAAAATGCTTCTTTTCTGCTTTATTATAAAAAGAGAAATATACTAGATTTCTCTGTTTTATAAAGTTTTAATTTTTTTAACTTTTATTTTAAGTTTAGGTGTACAAGTGCAGATTTGTTACATAGGTAAACTTGTGTCATAGGGGTTTGTTGTACAGATTATTTCATTGTCCAGGTATTAAACCTAGTAGGTAAAATACTAATAGGTATTTACCTAATAGGTAAAAACCCATTAGGTGTTTTTCCTGATTCTCCCTCCTCCCACCCTCTACCCTCTGAAAGACCCCACTGTGTGTTGTTCCCCTCTATGTGTCCATGTTTTCTCATCATTTAGCTCCCACTTATAAGTGAGAACATGTGGTATTTACTTTTCTGTGTCTGTGTTAGTTTACGAAGGATCATGGCCTCCAACTCCATCCATGTCCCTGCAAAGGACATAATCTCGTTTTTTCATGGCTGCCTAGTATTCTCTGGTGTATACATACCATATTTTTTTTTTATCCAGTCTATCATTGATGGGTATTTAGGTGGATTCCATGCCTTTGCTATTGTGAATAGTGCTGCAGTGAACATGCACGTGCATGGAACTTTAGAACAGAATGGTTTATATTCCTTTGGGTACATAACCAGTAATGGGATTGCTGGACCAAATGATATTTCTGTCTTTAGGTCTTTGAGGAATTGGCACACTGTCTTCCACAATGGTTGAACTAATTTACCCTCCCACCAACAGTGTGAAAGCATTCTTTTTTCTCCACAACCTTGCCAGTAATTGTTATTTGTTTACTTTTTAATAGTAGCCATTCTGACTGGTGTTAGATAGTATCTAATTGTGATTTTGATTTGCATTTCTCTAGTGATCAGTGATGTCAGGCTTTTTTTTCACATGATTGTTGGCCACATGTATGTCTTCTTTTGAAAAGTGTCTGTTCAAGAATTCCCCCTGAAAACCAGCACAAGGCAAGGATGCCCTCTCTCATCACTCCTGTTTCTTTAGTATTGGAAGTTCTGGCCAGGGCAATCAGGCAAAAGAAAGAAATAAAGGGCAAACAAATAGGAAGAAAGGAAGTCAAACTATCTCTGTTTGCAGGTGACATTATGTTATATCTAGAAAACCCCATTGTCTGAGCTTCTTAAGCTGATAAGTAACTTCGTCAAAGTCTCAGGATACAAAATCGATGTGGAAAAATCACAAGCATACCTATGTGCCAAGAACAGGCAAGGGGAGAGCCAAATCATGAATAAACTCCCGTTCACAAGTGCCGCAAAAGAATAAAATACCTAGGAATACAGCTAAATGGGGAGGCAAAAGATCTCTACCAGGAGAGCTACAAACAACTGCTCAAAGAAATCAGAGATGACACAAACAAATGGAAAAAACATTTCATGCTCATGGATAGGAAGAATATCATTCAAATGGCCATACCACCCAAAGCAATGTATAGATGCAATGCTAGTCCCATTAAACTACCACTGACTTTCATCACAGAACTAAAAAAAAAAGACTATTTTAACATTTAAGTGGAACCAAAAATAAGCCTGAATATCCAAGGCTATCCTAAGCCAAAAGAACAAAGCTGGAGGCATAATGCTACCTGACTTCAAACTATACTACAGGGCTACAGTAACCAAAACAACATGGTACTAGTACAAAAATAGGCACATACAGCAATGGAATAGAGTAGAGAACACAGAAATAATACCACACACCCTACAACTATCTGATCTTTAACAAAGATCAAAACCTGACAAAAACAAGCAATGGATAAAGGATTCTCTGTTCAATAAGTGGCACTGAGATAACTGGCTAGCCACATGCAGAAGATTGAAACTGGACCCCTTCCTTACACTATATACAAAAATTAACTCAAGATGGATTAAAGACTTAAATGTAAACCCCAAACTATGAAAACCCTGGAAGACAACCTAGGCAGTACCATTTAGGACATAGGCATGTGCAAAGATTTCATGATGAAGATACCAAAAGTAATTGAAACAAAAGCAAAAATTGATGAGTGGGATCTAATTAAACTAAACAGTTTTTGCACATCAAAAGAAACTATCAACAGAATAAATGGACAACCCATAGATGGGAGAAAATTTTTGCAAACTATGCATCTGACCAAGGTCTAATATCCAGAATCTATAAGGAACTTAAACAAATTTACAAGAAAAAAAAACCTCATAATATGTTTTTTACATATTTTATCATATTATTGGCTTCTTTCTTTTAACATGAAATATACAAAATTTTGTTCATCACTTATGGTTAGCACAGTGCTCAAGTGGGATTAATTTTGTCTTTCAGGGGACATTTGGCAATGTCAAGACACTTTTGGTTGTCACAACTGGCAAAGTGCTATACTGGCTTCTAGTGGTTAGAGGTTATGAATGCTGCTAAACATTTTATAATGTGCAGGAGCGCTCCTCACAACAAATTGTCGCCAAAAATGTCAATAGTGCTGCTGATGAAAAACAAGTAAATTCTGGTTGTTATTATTTCTAACATAAGACATATTATGATGTAAAACTTGTTGGTGTAATATGGTCCTCCTGTGATATATGAGTAGACAAAATTATTTCAAAAAGTTAATTATTTTCCTAGGTTTAATGAGAAGGTATTCAAATACTGATCAAATTTATTAATCAAATTATAATATATTATGAAACAACAATATTTTCTTCATCAAAAGGATAAAGAAATATTTACATTTACAATGACAACTTCATTGTCTGCCTTAGTTAACTTAGGGACACAATTTTCAGTAAATAAATTTTAATAATATTACAAAAAATATGGGGGTTCTTTTTTATACGTAGTATTTTCAATACCTGATTCATAAACATATTGTTGCTTTTGTATTATTTTTACAGGAAAATCATTCATTTATAGAAGGTTGTAGTATTTCATTAGCCTATTCTCTAAAATGAAACTCAAGAAATAGAAACCTTGCTGATTAAAGGACAGAAAATAATGTCACAAAATAAATGGTTCATTAAAGTTCATGAGGTACTTCAAACTCTCATAACAGATTATTACACAATTACTACAAGTTTCTAGATGTGTCTTATTTGTAAATTTGGGAGCTGTCTTTCCTCCGTCTTCTTTTATTCCTCTAATGCCCATATTTTCATACGCCTCTTTGAAATCTATAAATTTTATATTCCAAGCCCATCAACAAAGCTCTTTGTAGCTATCAGAATTTTTGTTTGTATTTCCTGAACTATTACCGATCGTCTGAAGCCTACTCCTGTCAACTCGTCATGTGTTTCCTGAACTATATATAAAAATATTTAATAAGTAATAGTGGACTATCATATCTAATAATTTAAAATCTTAGTGATGGAATTGATAGAATTTTGATAAACATACAAATTTTAACTAGAATTTTACCTTTAGAATTTTATTTTCTTTAGCTTGGTGACCCACTTTGGATAGGATAATTGAATTGTGTGACTGCCTTCCCCATAGAAATTTTAAAAGATTATTTTTGTTTGTAATTAAATTTGAGTATTCAATGTGGAAGATTCTGAGGATGCTGACATTTCAGTAATTATACATTATAGGACATCCTTGTAGATTTACTTTAATTATAGGCTTTCAGACTTAGTTAATAATAAGTCATTTGACCATAAAAACATCAAATTTATAATTAACTATATACTAATTAAGATGAATACCTCTTGACACAAGACTTTGAAAAACATTAATTCAGATTATTTTATGTGAATAACATTTTGTTCATAAAAAATCATATTTTGTATGAATAATATTTTGTTATATTCAAATTTAATAGCAAGAAGTAAGCCAATAATATGTTTATTTCATGTTGATTTTGCCATAGAATGATATAGTGAGTATAATTTTTGCTTCAAAAATTGATAATATGTATTTTATTTATCTACTTTTGTACCTGAAATATTTTTCCAAATATATTATTTCTAACAATAATGATTTTATAAATCCTGTTTTTAGAGAAATTTTGATATTTTACTCTTCCACAGAAATTAACTGTAATTTCAAATTATGTTTTGGGAGACATGAATATATATATATATATATAGTAAACTGTTTAATATAGTAAACATTAATCATCAGTGTATATAACCCCCATTCATAGTACCCAGTTCAGACAAGTTAATCTATAATATATGAAAAAATTCTGTGAAATAGTAAGAATAATGGTTTCATGTGTATTTCAAAGTGAAAACAATGAATCACTAGCAAAAATTCTGCATGAACAAATAGCATTTGCTGCTCTTTCTGAATTAAAAGTCTCTGATAACTATAAAAAATATTGGCACTAAAGTCAATTATTTTTTTTAAAAAGAAAGCAATTTAAATCTTTCATAGTTAATCCACGTAGCAGGAAAGGTTCGTGCTTAGGGAGGGGCCATCTGGCCTTCCTACAAATGGGAAGATTTGTACATATGGGCTATAACGTATGCATAGCTAGCTGAACCAACCCCTGCAACTAAATAGTAATTAGCATGGGGCAGGTTTTTATGGCTACTAACACACTAGCAAGTCCTTCCTGACCTACATCCAACTGGACATATGATTTCATAAAATGGGTAGTTTCTCTCTCAAGCATTTATTTATGTGTAAAAATGTAGGATTTGTTTAACTGCCGCCAACTAAAGAACTGAGACCCATATGTTACCCCATAAACTTACCGGTTAGCAATTTGTTATAAGCAAGATGCAAATATTATGGTAAGCATTCAGAACATTTATTCAATGAACCTTATGTTGTAAATGGAAACAACAGTATGTCGGAAAATTTTGTAATCACAATTTCACCACTGGTCCCATTTTATGTGTAATTCAATGTTTCTGAATTCTACAGTTTTCAATTCAAGATGTAAAGGTCAACAGAGTTTTAAATATACAGTAATACATGATCCAATTTTGGGGGAGGGCCATAAATAGTAAAAAATATTCTGAGAGTCTGAGTGTACAATTTTAAGTAGCTCGTAGTAGACGTATTAGGTATGGCAGACAAAATACATTCTTGAATATGTGGTCAACTTTTGTTTGGATCTGCAAGGGATTTAATGAGGCACTAACATACAGGTGAGCTTTAGACTATAGACAGGCCAGAGAATTGTAGAACTTAATATTAAATCAAAGTTTTAACCATGTGTATGTATCTAAAAGTAGTTAATTTAGGCAACAATATTTTACAGGTGTAATTTGAATCTCGCTATTTTATTCTAGGTGCAAAGATATGGAAAGGTGGATGACTTTTAAATTTTTAAGAGCTTTAATTTTGCCAACACAAACCACAGATTTAGAATAAATAATCGGAAATTGTACAACGCAACAGGAATTTAAACACTGAAGTTTATTATAATTTTGAGTGGTTAAATTCTAGTTTGACGAATTGTTCCTCTTGCTTATAAATAGTCGAAAGAAATTTCCAATGCTTTTCACTCAATTTTCACATGTGAAAATGAAAATAAAATATAGTTGATTTCTAAATATATTCTTATTCCATGAATAGTTATTTTTATTATTATAAATATTAACACAAATAATATAGATGAACTTTTCTCATAAACTCAGACATCAACAAGATGTTGATCAACATTTTCATCTGTATCTTAAAATTTAAAAAATATTTCCGCAGAAATTAAGATTCTTTCACTTACAAGTGTTAGAAAACCTAGTTTGTAATAGCCTAAAAATGAAATTTCCTGACTCACATATCTTCAAGAATAATTCCAGCTTTAGCCACAGCTTAATTTAGAATATCAGAAAATGCCGTAAGTTTTTCTTTTTTGGTTTGTCTGTTTTCACCTGAATTTTTTAGCTCTGTCTTCTTTCTTCCATATTTTCCTTATTACTGGGCTAGCTCCTTCCATGATTGTAAGATGGCTGATGAAGCTCCAGTCTTCACATCTCAACACTTTAAAATCCAGTGGAAGAATCTCTCTTACTCATATACTCCATCAAACATCACCTTTTACCTTGCAAGCTCTTATCACCCATGGGGAAAGAGATAGGGCTTTTTTTCATCTGCCATTCATTTCTATATCTTCTGATTGTATAACACTGCCTGGCACCTGTAAATCGCTCAGTAATTCTTAAATGGGTGAATAAATTGTGTCCAAACAGTGTGGCTAAGAATAAGGATGAATGACGTCCCAAAGAAAATTTTGCTCTATTTTTAGAACTAGTGGAAATGAATACAGAAGCCAAATCAGCAAATACTAGACATCCAGTCTAGTATGTCCAATCTGTAGTTTGTAAAATCTGCCTTTCCTGGGTTATATTTGAAATTAACTCTATGTTTCTAAAACTTTATTTTATTATTGCTATAGTGGTCACTGGCAATGTTTCTTGGAAAAAAATTATTGATTCAATTTTTAAGAGAAAACGTGAAATGCTAAATTTTCAATCTATTAAACAAAACATGGGAATATTTTATGCCAAAACACTAAAAAATGAGGTTTATTTTATTTTATTCCATTTTCCTAGGATTATACTTCCATATGCCTGATAGAAATAATTTTGCAGCTATGTATTATCCAACCAACACACGGCTGGAGTTCTTAACCTACATCAGTATTTAGCTGATTTTTGTGTTCGTTCCTAAAAGCATTCTATGAAACTCATTGATAAAATATTTTTGAACTTTTCATGGCTCTATCAAGGTATCATGGGTTACATGGAGCTTTGGAGATCAATTCAAGAACAGAGTTCGTGAATCTGTCCCTGCTACCAAAGCAAAAGACCCTATTTACTCTGTTATATTAAATAAATGAGCACTTTATACAAACATCTGATGCTTAAATTAGCTTTAGAGCCTACCACAGTGAAAGCTGAGTAGAGTTATACTGACATTTTTGAAATAAGTAAATAAGACCTTGAACCTGATCAAGGGAATTTGATTTTCTTTTAAGTTTCTCTTATGTAATGATTACAGATACTAGAAATCTGTAAACATGTTCGCTCTCCACTTAGAAGAAATTGTACTATATATGCTTGTAATTTCAAAAAAAAAAAACCCTTTGCATAAACGTTTGTGAGATGTGTCTGCTTATTTTTAGAATATATGGAAACTCTCAGAATAATTATTGTTACATAGAAAATGATGAATAATTGATGTCCATGTTAATATATAGTATTATTACTATGTGACAAATATTATTTGTAGAAAGGGGAATATAGCTTGTTTAAACTTACAGAGAAAATGATCAGTGCAATCTACTGGCCCAAAATATTTAACACATTTCACCAAAGGGTGACCGTTTTGCTGTTCTACCTGAAGGAGTAGACAGTTGTCAATAAAGTTTTTGATCGCCATCAACATGACATCTACTCAATAGTCTGAAAGTTAAGCCTATAATGGTATTTTAACAATCTCAATTTCTCATGCTAATAATAAAAATATTACCCCTATAATATTTGTATTATATTTATCATTGCTATTTTCTATATTCTATTTTAAAAAAAAACTTTACCCGTCTATGAAGTGGTTCATACTTGTCCTAGTCACATATTTAATTTAGTAACCAATATTATGAAAATGTTGTCTTTGTCTGCTTGTGCTGCTATAATAAAATATTAATACCATAGACTGGGTATTAATAACTGGGTAAATTACTGACATGTATTTCTCACAGTTCCAGAGGCTGGGAGGTCCAAGATCAAGTTGCTAGAAAAACTTAGGTTCTAATGAAGGCCCTTCTGACTTGCCAGCCATCTTCTTACTGTGTACTCAGGGGCATGGCCTTTCCTTGGTGCATGTAGATAGAAAGAGAGAGATCTCAGATTTCTTCTTCTTTTGATAAGGGCGTTAATCTAATCATAAGGACTTCACTCTCATAATCTAATCTAATCCTATTTATCTCCCGAAGACCTCACTTCCAAATCACACTGGGTATGAGGACTTCAACTACAAAATTTGGGGGAATACAAACATCCAGTCCATAGTAGGTATTCAGAAATTAGCAGACTTCAATAATGAAAAAAGATAATGTTGAAAAAAGGAAACAAGGAAGGAAGGGAGGGCAGGCAGGCAAGAGGAAGGAAAGGGGAAGAAAAATGGAAAGAGAAAAAAGGAGGGAGATATGAGAGAAGGAGAGAAGTGGGGAAAGATAAAAGCAGATAAATAAAGAAAAAGGAGGCTGGGCATGGTGGCTTATGTATGTAATCCCAGCACTTTAGGAAGCCGAGGCAGGCAGATCACGAGGTCAGGAGTTCGAGACCAGCCTGGTCAACGTAGTGAAGCCTCATCTCTTCAAAAAATACAAAAATTAGCTGGGCCTGGTGGCACGTGCCTATAGTCCCAACTACTCAGACGGCTGAGGCAGGAGAGCTTGAACCCCGGAGATGGAGGTTGCAGTGAACCGAGATTGTGCCACTGCACTCCAGCCTTGGCAACAGAGCTAGACTCTGTCTCAAAAAAAAAAAAAAAAAGAAAAAAAGAAACAGGAAGAATGAAGGAAAGAAAGAAATGAAGGAAGTGAAAAAGGAAGGAAGGAAAGGGTGGGCTGCTCAACTACATATTGTACTAGGGGAGTAAAGGTACAAAGCCCTTCATAATTATGATGATTTTAAAAGTGTCATTTTTTTATAACTAAAGAATGTCTCATAGTATAATTTCCTATATATAAAATAGTGGTTTAAAAAAGTCTTGCATGAAATAACATTGTGTTTTATTTCTATTTGTTATCTTATTATTGGAATTACTTCTGACTATGGTTCTCTATCCCTACTTTTGGTAAGCATGACACTGGTTTGAAATTGAGCCATCATATCCTAGGGTTGCTACCTGCCTACCTGCAAGCAGTGTCTCTTTTCCTGTTTGTTGAAAATGCTAATCACAAAATGGCTAGCAAACCACTAAATTAATGTAAGCTTGTAAATGCAATTTACGTTAATGGACATCATACAGTTTAAAAGCAAAGATTCAAGGTTTTCAGACAAATCTCATTCTTGAGCACAAGCTATTACTTTTCAGAAAAAACATTTGTGATATAATTCAGCAAAATGCAATAAATGCATTTGGGTTTTGGAATAAATAAGTTTTTTTTTTTTTACATTGTACTCTAACCAGAAGATTATTTTTTCTCATCTGAGTCTGCAGAAATCTATAGTATCCTTCTCCATCTACCTCTTCCCTTTTCCACCATGTGGGAGAGTGTTTGTACTTAAAAGAAACATATCGTAAAGAACATATTTCATTTTCAGTTCCTGCTTGCTTGGATTTGTGCATTAGTGTTTAGGAATTTAGGTAAACATGAGAACAAGAGAAAAGTATATGCTAACAACGCAGTGAGGTAGAGGTAGAAAGTCTAGTGGTAAAGTGATGAAAACTATAATCAGAAAAGCGAAGAACTAGTTAAATTAGCCTTACCTTTGGTGATTCCAGAAAATGGGGACTGCAGAAACATGAACTATGTTTAGTAATATGAAAATGAGATAACAAAAGAAAGATGATATCTGGGCTTAGATCAGGATGAATTCAGGAACTCTATCATAGTTATTCCTAATTAAAGAGGGCCTATAGATTTTATTCCATATGATGCAACTATTTGTCCTTAAAGTACATATTTTTAAACTTGGTATCATTTATTTCAGAATATGGGCTTCATTTTTTTTTAAATTTTCTTAACTCTCATTTACTACTGAACTCACTCTGATTATGACATTTTCTTCTCTACTTTTTTCTTGTATATATCAGCACTTCCTCACTAAAACTATGCTCAAAATGGCCCAAAACAATACACTGTTACTAAATCCGATAAGTAATTTTAAGTCCATATTTTATTTGGAGTCCTGCATCATTTAGGTTCTGTCTGCTTTCTCAGGGACCAGTCTCCTGTGGTTTTCCTACTCTCTGGTGCTCCTTTTCAGTCTCTTTTGTAATTTATTTTATCCTTAGCTAGTCACTTAATGTTGGAATTACTCAACACTTCTTCATATGACTCACCCTCCCTAGACAGTCTTATTCACCCTGTAGTTTTCAGTCACTATCTTTATAGATCAACTCTGAAACATACATAGCTCCTCAATGATTAACAGCCTCCAACAAAGTGGTACATTTGTTACAATTCATGAACCTACAATGACATATCATCATCCAGAGTCCAGAGTTTACAACAGGGCTCGCTCTTGATATTGTACATTTTATAGGTTTGTGCAAACGTGTAATGACATATATTCACCACGATAGCATCATACAGAGTAGTTCCACTGCCGTAAAATTTCTCTGTGCTCAACCTATCCATCCTTCCCATACTTCCCACTAACACTTGGCACTCACTGATCTTTTTACTGTCTCCATAGATTTGCTTTTCCCAAGTTGCCATATAGTTGGAATCATGTAGTGTGTAGCCTTTACCGTTTGCCCTCTTTAAATTAGTAATATGCATTTATGTTTCCTTTATGTGTTTTCCTGCCTTGATAGATCATTTCTTTATAGCACTGAATAACATGCCGTTGTCTGCATGTACCACAGTTTATTTATGCATTCTCTTACTGAAGAACATCTAGGTTGCTTTTATGTTTTGGCAATTATAAATAACACTATAAACATTGTGTGCAGGTTTTTGTGTGGGCATAAGTTTTCAACTTTTGGAGGTAAATACCAAGGAGCACCATTGCTGGATGTTACGGTAAAAGTACATTTACTTTTGTAAGAAACTGCCAAACTGTCCTGTTGGACATAAAATTGGTTGTACCATTTTGTTTTTCTATAAGTAGTGAATCAAAGTACCTGTTTCTGCACATCCTCACTAGCATTTGGTGTTGTAAGTGTTCTGATTTGGGCCATTCTAATAAGTATATGGTAGTATCTTGTTTTTGTTTTCATTTGCATTTTCCTGATGACATATGATCTGGAGTATCTTTTCATATGCCTATTTGCCATCTTTACATCTTCTTTGGTGAGGTATCTTTTAAGGTGTTTGGCCTACATTTTAATCGAGTTCTTTTCTTACTGTTGAGTTTTAAGAATGTTTTCTATATTTCGAATACTAGTCCTTAATCAGATAGGTCTTTTGTAAATATTTTCTGTCAGAGTGTGTCTTGTCTTTATTATCTTGGCAGTGTCTTTCACAGAGTAGAAAATTTTAATTTTAATAAAGTCCAACTTCTCATTTTTTGGGATCATGGATTAATGCAAGGATGTCCAATCTTTTGGCTTCCCTGGGTCACATGGGAAGAAGAACTGTCCTGGGCCACACATAAAATACACTAACAATAGCTGACGACCAAAAAAAAAAAAAAAATCACACAAAAAAAATCAATGTTTTTAAAAAGTTTACGAATTTGTGCTGGGCTGCATTCAAAGCCCTCCTGGGCTGCCTGGGGCCCATGGGCCACAGGTTGGATAAGCTTATATTAATACCTTTGGTGTCACATCTAAAAAGTCACCACCAAACCCAAGACCATCCAGGTTTTTCTCTTATGTGATCTTCTGGGAGTTTTACAGGTTTATTTATTTACGTATTTAGGTCTGCAATACAATTTGAGTTAATTTTTGTGAAGGAGGTAAGGTCTGTGTTTATATTCATTTTCTTAATGTGGATGTCCAGTTGTTCCAGCACCATTTGTTGAAAAATCTGTCTTTTCTCCATTGTATTGCCTTTGCTTCTTTGTCAAAGGTCAGGTGATTATATTTATGTGGATCTATTTCTGGGCTCTGTATTTTGTTCCAATTATCTATTTTTCCATTCTTTTACTAACACCACACTACCTTGACTGCTATGACTTTACTGTAAATCTCGAAATCTGGTAGTGTCATTCCTCCAACTTTGTCCTAATTTTTCAATATCGTGTTCGCTATTCTGTATGTTTTGCTTCTCCATACAAACTTTAGAATCATTTTGTTGCTATTTACAAAATAACTTGCTGGTATTGTAGTTTTAATTTCAAATCCCTCTTGTTCATTTTTGGTATATCAAAAAGCAACTGGCTTTTGTATATTAACTTTGTATCCTGCAACCTTGCTATAATTACTCATTCAGATTTCCTCTTTTGAGATTCAGACTTACATATATAACTGCTTACTGAATGTTTTGAATGGTATTACACAAAGACTTCAAACTTAATCTAAGACATAATTATTATCTCACCCACATATTTTTGCCCAACACACCCTTTTTCCTATTTATTTCCTGATTCAGCAAGATAAATAACCACCCACTTATATAATCCATATAAAAAAAAACCTAAAAATCCTGTTTGCTCTCTGTAGCAGACATTGTCAGTGCTCTGCTGAGATCTTTAAATTAGGTTTCTGGCTTTGTTTCTTTGTGTCCCCTTCCAGGATCTTTGTACTTTTGTGTCCAATAGCCCACACCCCAATTTTTAAGAGAGCTGTCCTTGGACTACTAAAGCTGTTTTGCCTGAAATTTAGAGTTACCTGGGAATAATTCTGGGCCTATAGTCAATGCTTGGTTATACAGAAATATGATATTTTCACTAGATTTAGTTGACCTGTTATATGATTCCATAATACTTCAGATTTCTCTTTTGATAGTACTGTCACAAATATTTGTGCAATGGCTTTCTTTTTTCTTTTCTTTCCTTTTTTTTTTTTTTTTTTTTTGATGGAGTCTCACTCTGTTGCCCGTGCTGGAGTGCAGTGCCGCCATCTCAGCTCACTGCAACCTCCACCTCCCGGGTTCAACCGATTCCCCTGCCTCAGTCTTCCGAGTAGCTGGAATTATAGGTGCGCACCACCAGGTCCAGCTAATTTTTTGTATTTTAGTAGAGACGCGGCCATGTTGGTCAGGATGGTCTCAACCTCCTGACCTCGTGATCTGCCCGCTTTGGCCTCCCAAAGTGCTGGGATTACAGGCATGAGACACCGCGCCTGGCCGCAATGGCTTTCTTTTTCATTAGACTCTGAGTCTATGAGAGCAGGAGACACGTGTGTGTTTTCTTTTTCATCTTTGTGGTCTCAGCAAGTGACATAATATCTGACATATAATAGGTGCCTTATAAATATTTGTTCAATTAATAAGTTAAGAATTCCTTTAACTATCAACTATTGAAGGATTTTCTGAGAGATACCTAAATTGGACAGGTACAATTAGAATAAATAATTGTATTCCTTTGTTGTCAGGATCAGATAATTCTGTATAGGTGGGGGCATGTATGCACATGTACACAAATATCTACAGCCATCAGATATGCTGAGTTCTATTTTATATACGTATAAATGGAAGAGTTCTAGACAGATGGTTTATAAAATACCAAATGGCACTAAGTATTGTCTTGTGTAATTTTATAAAGAAAATCCTAAATTTGAAGCATTTAAAAGTATGATATTACATATGTCACTTCTTCCCATGTGTCTTACTTCCACAATCTTTCCCAACAAAAACAACAACAACTCAATTCAGATCACACTCATTTTTAATTTAGCAAACACACAAACTTCTACCTCTAACACACATTTCAAAAAGCATAATGTTAGGTTATAAAAGAAAACTATCATACATTAACTATACTAGATGTCTTTTAGAGTTTTATCATTGTGTTCATAAAAACCACAAAGAAGTAATACTGTTTCTACCATCTTTTTTTCTAAAAGATTTAACATCTTTAAAACTTTCCTGAAAATATATTCATTGTTTTTAGCATTGCTTCTTTGATTTCATACCAAACTTATGTTTATCACATGATTGCTCACCCAATTATACAACAAAATAAAAAGCATCATCAAATAGTTTAATAGGAATAGGAAAATGTAGTTTGGTTCATCAAATGATGCAGAAAATAATGTAACAACAAAAAAATCTGATTGCAAGTAAGATATTAGTTGTACTAGAATCTGTATCCCCACACTTGCTAAGAAAAGAAAATACTGGGCCTTGAGAATATAGATGATATATTATATATTGAGAATATAGATTACAATATAGACTAGAAGTGTGGGAACACAGTGAAATCATCAAGTTTTTTGAAAAAGTACAATGGAAACATAAAGTATTAATGGCAAAATGTTTAATGTGACATATTCTAGGTCATGTGAAGAGAAGACTATACCTTGTTCACATTGGTGGTTATGATATCATTTTGCGAAATTTTGTGTTCATATTAATTTCCACATGATTTTAAGGAAAAATTTGGTGCATAAGGAGAGGAAATAACCAATCTAAGGTCACTGCCTTCCTAAAAAAAAAAATAAGAAAAATATACCTTCACATGTGTATGAAAACATATGTATGCATACATGTATCTAAAATTTCTGCAAAGTTTCTGATTCTGAACTTTCATCTAATAAATTCTATCCCTAAATTATTTTGTTAGTGTTTATCATTGAAACCACATAGTTATAACATGATTTTTTAAACAATGTAGACATCCCTAGCTGAATCCTTCAAACAAAATTTAACGTATTTTCTTATGTTAGCACAGATAGTTAAGTATGCTGTTTCTTGGTGAACTTGAAGCATATGCTTTCAAAAATAGGATCAGAAATCTTTACTTTTTCTCTTCTATTTATGGAGCCAAGCAGGCCAGCAAACTATCCCTCAGTCTAATTAGGTCTCTTTAAGGCAAGACAAAATGCAAACTGGGGGAAGGGTGAATACCAAGGACTGCATAGACCCTCCAAGCAGCTGGGCTGGCCCAGGGAAACAGTGATAGGCCTCCAAGCAGCACAGCAAACAAACTAACATTATGTCCACGGGTTATCATTATCATCGTTTTTTTTTTTTTAAAAAAAAACAAAAACCTGATGGGTCTCTCCCTACTGCAATGATGCTTCAGGGCATGTCTCTCACTGCTGGGGAGTGATTGACCATCAGGTATCATTAAAGATGGTAGGCAGAAAGGAGGTGGGGAGAGGAGAGTGGGGAGATGGGAGAAGGGAGACAGGAAAGGCAGGGTCGGAGGCAGCCACAAGCTCTAGCTCCTCCTGGTGTCTTTTCCTCCCTCCTGGACTCTACTGACCTTTCACTCCAGAGCCAGCTGGAGCCGAGAGGGATTTAATTGAATGGATTCCTCAGATGTGTTTGGAGTGTGGGTGATGAAGAAAGGAGGAGGAGGGAAGGAAGGCTGGATACTGTGGTGAAAAGAGAGAAGGGAGGAGGGAACTTACCATGACCTTCAAAGGCTAATTGCCTGGCTTTTCCTAGGCCCTTATTGGAGCTAGACTTGCACAGGGCTCCTGTTGTCTGGTTTAGCCAAAGCTCTCCAGCCCCCTCCCTGAACCCCAGCTTCAGAAATGCAGCAGTACTCCCCCGTGACCTCCAGTCCAATCAATAGCAGGCCAGCCAAAGTGGCTGCGGCTCCCCTCTGCCCCTCTTGGGCAGAGCTACATTAATAGGCTCTGCTCATCCTAGTTTACAAAACCTCCCTCATTAATCTGAGCCCAAGAAAAATACAACAACAACCAAAAACAACAGAGGGGTACAGATTGACCACAAGCACTGACGTATGTGTTTGTGTGTGTATGTGTGTTTGTTTCGGTCTTCTTCAGTGTTAGTTTAATGGAATAAAATCAAAGCCAGCAAGAGAAATCCAGCCTCTCCTCTGGCACTTTCTCTCTATCTTGTTTCTGTTGTTTGTTTCTGAAATTATAAATCATGGATTAACCAGATTAAGAGTTTATCCACGAACACTGTCCCTCCCTACTTCTCCCAGCTCTCTAAACCCTGTCTTTATGGGGCTTTTGTGTGTGTGCATATGGGTTTTTTTTCTTTCTTTTTTTTTTTTGAACATAAGTAAAAAGGAGTCAGTGAATGTCAGCTGAGTTAAATGGGTGACAAGGGAGATGGAAACAAGAAAATTCATCCCTTCTTGTCTTTGAGAGCAATTTAATTAGGCCTGAGCCCCATGTGAGTGGGTAAGAAAAGGCTGGGGGTAGCTTGTCTAGGCTTCCTCTGAAGGCAGAAGCAGCCTTGGATGCTGCATAGATGCCTGTATACACACACAAAGGGTTTTTAAAGGATCATGTAGGAAGATCAACTGATAAGCAGCTAATTTTGTGTACTTAGGGAGCAAACGAGCGGGCACACTCCCACTGGAATACCTAGGGTAACAGGATTAAAAAAAAAAAAAAAGAAAGGAGGAAAGATCTTAAGTACTTTACTATTAACGCTGATCACTAAAATTAAAGATTTACACCACATGACAGGGTGGCTAGCTGTAGCTATTTGGAAGCCTGTGTGTGTGTGTGTGTGTGTGTGTGTGTGTGTGTATGTAAGTGCATGTATAGGGGCATGTATATATGAAATATGAGTTGATATAGTCAAATACATAAAAATATAAAGTTGTTTTTCATGAACTGCTCAGTTATTTTGAAAATTTTCATCAGAAACCACTTTTAAACTAATTGGAGTCTGCAGAAATGAAACCTCATTTTTGGTTCAAGTGAATTTTCTGAAATGTCATTTGATTCGGGAAATATGACTGATCTGCCCGATTTCTTGATAAGAAATGAAATGAGCCGTTGTCCTTCAGGATATCATAGACTTGAAATGGGGGATTTTATGGCTAATGCCATCAGATAGAAGTGTCCTACTTTGAAAGGAGAAGTCCATCAGCCTCAGGGAAAGGCTGAAGTCTGAATTCATCTTTAAATCCGCAACTGCAGTTAAAGCAGTATGGAGCAATAATAGATATTTTTTTCTTAAGTAATTATTGCAAAATAAATGGCAATAAATAATGAGATGGTTGGTATCAAAAAGTTAATAGTTTTGTACTTTCACATTTTCTATTCCACTTTTAGATCATAATGTTGGTGCCTGATATGGAAGTCAGGAGTGAACATAGAGGCTAAATTAGTATATTTGGGCCACAGTATAAGATATTAAATTTTTAGTGGTATGATTAATATAGTCATTCTTATAAAATGCTAATGTCACAATGGAGAGGGAAAACAATAAGAGAATAAAATTGGTAACAGTATACATGAAAAAGTACACATAGCCAGAAGCAAGAAGAAGAATATCTGGGTCATTGACCTCAGGCACAGATGAATAAAAAAGTATGTAGCCATGCTTAAGAAAAAGAAAGCAATGGAATAGACAGTCATCCCACATTGAGGTGGGTGTTTTAAATAGATTGCAACAGACAGGAGAAAACCATTGCAATAAATTTATCCCATATGAAGAAAACTCCTTGTGAACAAAGCTTGTATCTGCTAGCTCACAAAACTACTGACCACTATCTTTACTTTTACCAATCCCACTCTGCACTCCTGGACTGGGTGTTGATATCTTCTCTGTATATGCTTATACGGAGAGACTGGATACCATAAACAGGTATATTTAGAGTTCGGCAACAAATAAAGATTCCCATGAAACTTAGTCAAAATGCAATAGAAAAGGGCTGTGAGAAAGAAAAGATAAAATATAAGATAAGAACAAGCTATGTTTCAAAGTAGTATACTTCAATGCAGAGGGAAAGAGTGGGGGAGATAAGGGAAGAAAAACGTAAAGAGAGCCAGTAGGGATGCAAAATGAAAGAATAAAGAGAATGAAAGCAGCAAAATACACTTGAGAGAAAGGAGAGTGGGGATGGGGATAATGTATTTAACATGTTTTATATTACCTAACTCTTTATTTTTTTAAAAATACTAGCCTAATTACCACCTAGAAATGTGAACACTTTACTCTGAAAATCATATATCAATGTGTTAATGCTAGTCAGTATTTGCTTACATGTGAAAAACAAAATGCTTTACATTTTATCAATAAAATTGACATGCACATAGTTATGATATCAAATTTTATGCACTGACTATTTGTAAATGCTCGCATGTCACAGCTTTCTCATCACTTTCTTAGATATAAAATCTACTTTCTTCAAGGAAAATTACTTTTGGAAACTCAAAACTTCCTTGAAAACAGGCAATCAAAATTCTCAAATATTTAGGAGAGTCACTTATAGTCTAATCCTATATAAACCTAGAATAAGAGTTTTGCAGTTGGTTTGCTGATTAAGATGTGGCTATTCCACAAAATGAAAATATAGGCAAAATTTCAGCACCTCTGTGATGGCTAGATTCTTTTTTAAATGCAATCCCTCTTTTCCTGACTAATAATTTGTATATAGTTAAGACTTAACTACATCTGAGTTTTTTTTGTAATATTTATTCCCTGGCATGTATTTTTATGCCAAAAGCATACATATAAAAGAATGCTAGAAAAGAAGAGTACACAGGTGATTTGTAAATGATTTATTGTGGAAAAGAGATGATTTTTCCATTTTAAAATGTTTAATGTTAATAAGAAGGCATTAACTTCATGAATTTCAATTCCTTAAGCTAAATCAGCAAGTATGTATAAAACATAATAGGAGTGAATTTATTTGCCTTAATTTAAACCAGCCAAAAATGAAAATTGCATTTAGGACTTATATGTAAAGAGACATGCTGTACATTTTCTTTTTTTAACTCTTGGTAAATACATATGACATACAGTAGTCTTAGAGCATGACATACATTTATTTTGTCCCCCATTTTGTACAGCAACCACTGAATAAAGAGTAGCCCAGGAAGAATTACAATCTCATAGGCACTGATATAGCAGTGCTAAGAAGAGATGACATAACTCAGCTTTAGATTGCACCCTCAAGAAATCATGCTGAATTTCACAACAGGTAAGCATCTTGACAAATCCTTCTGAGTATGATGAAAGCAGCTTGCAAAAATAGCATGAGAGTACATCCTGGATAACATCTCAGATACATCAATTTTGTTCCAGGGACCTTTACAGCCCTGCACTTAACTAGAGGTACAGCAAGGTACTTCTTCAACCACATCATTGATCCTACTAAGCCCAGGCAAATAATCTTTTTTTATGCCCAATTTAACTTTTGTTTAAAGGTTTAATATTACACTTTTTTACTTTGGAAATTTTGTCAACTGTATATTGATTTACATGGAAAAATTATTCTGACTTTCACAAATACTGCACATCAGCTAAACCATAGAGGCTCCTTAGAGAGACACTATTTTCAAATTTAGATATTCTGTATGGTTTTTCTTCTAAGTATGATTATTTAAGTGTGCTTATTTGGAGCAGAACAGAAACTTGTTTTATTCCACAAATACCATTATCAAATATTCTAAAGTCTGCACTGAGTTATTCATTTATTTATTTTTTCCATTCAACATCTATTAAGTGAACCTTTTCTATATGCCTAATTGTGTGTAGTTTCTTCACTATTATATTACCAGCAGTTAGCATAATCCCTGACATATAGTAGGCACACAGCAAATGTATTAAATTATTGATTCAAATTTTGGGTACTGTTAAGTAATAGCAGCACAAAAATTGTACTTAAAAAACTAAAATTCTGTATGTTCTTTTTTTTTACTTTTTTGTTTGTACAAATTTATAGGATACATGTGCAATTTTGTTACATGTATAGATTTCATAGTCGTTAAGTCAGGGTTTTAGGTAGAAATTCCATATGTGTCTTATCTGAATTCTAACAGGAAATTATCACTCAAGCAAAGACACAATTATGTGGATAATAAGCACATATATTTACCATACACTGGATGAAAATGTATATTATCCTGTTGCTGAACTAAGCCTCAGGTGGACAAAATTATATATAATAGGGTTTAGAAATACGGCAAAATCCCAGATGTAACCCAGATCAAGAGATTACTCCATCGTTTTACAAAGAGTAGGGGAGGAAAATTAAAGAGTCCTGGTCAGAGAGAATGACAGAGACTAGAAAAGATGGTTCTAAGGACAGAGGCAGCACTGTTTGCTGAGCAAAGATCCTCTTATAGATGGAAGAAACAACTTTGGAGAACCACTAGGAGATATGAAATACTAACAACAGGCAAGTAGCTCATTAATTTCTACATCCTATGTCCTTGGATTAGGAAACAGTGGTTAAAGAATTCAATTGAGATGGCCCCCTCCATATATGTGCTGTTCAAACCTGCTGGTGTCAGAATGTCCACACTTATCAGGAGTACTCTCTGCACAAACCATCAGTATCTACCATAAAGGAGCAAGCAGCCCATTGAGTCTGTAACATAGACAGTGCTTGTTGACATTTCTACTACCATAACTCAGTCTCGACACTACTTCTGACCACTACAAATTCATGGTTAGAAATAAGGAAGTTTAAGGAAATTAAGGTAACTGGAAGGCCATATCACCCCCAAATTTTTCAACATTCTCTGAAGCCGATGAAGGCAGAAATCAGATTTATCCATGTAGATAGAAGTGGGAGAAATAGACCTTTACATTCTTTTCACTATTTTCAAATTATGGAGGCCACAATGATCATTTAAGACACTAACCAATTTAAAGTGAAAAAAAAGATGTGATATAATTTAAATTGATATTATATTTTCTTACATTTTTCTCTAGGACTATATACAAAAATAGTAGTTGGAAAAATGAATATGTAAGTGAATGAATGTGAATAAAAATACATCTGTTTATAAGAGACAATTTTGTGAAAAAACGAATTACTATTGAATGCTAAATATATTATTTCCTATAACATTACATATTTCATAATTTAAAAATTCTAATGTGATGATCCCTATATCTACGCTAATACTTTTTAAAATCAGGGCGAGAATGTTTACTGACCAGAGAACTTTTAAAGTATCAAACTACAGCTTTAAGAGACTCTTCACAATTTATTGATTACATAAATTAGGTTTTTAAATCATTAGAAAATGTACTGCACAAGACAATCCAAATAACTTGTGACCGTAAGTTGCAAAATCAAGTTATTTGTACTTATTTGCATAAGTGTTGCTCTCCCTAGATAAATCTGGCAGTGCTAATATAACCTAAGAATGTTGCATCAAATATAAATATTACAGTCATTTATTCTTATTATTGTGAATAATGTACAGGAAAAATAAACCTGAAAAATATAATTACAAAAAAAACGTTCAAAATTATTTGTGGCTTCAGCTTCTAAATATGGTAGAGTAACAGACTGAATTTATTTTCCCATCTTCAACACCTAGAAAATAAAATAAAATATATCAAATGATAATTTTCAAACGCTGGAAATAAAGAGAATGAGATTGAGAGAAGAAAAACAAATGAGTTGAGCCTTCTTATTGTGCCAGTGTATTGCCTGAAAGCAATTTCCAATCTAAGGGGTGGGAAAGGAGATTCCAAACAGCCCAGGACCCTTTGTGTTGTTGAGATAAAATGGAATTTGGGAAGAGCAAAGTGGCTGTAATTTGTAACAATAATGAAGAATATGTACTGAGAGAGAGAGAGAGAGAAAGAGAGAATGTCCAGAAAGCTTCAGTTTAATCCTTCCCTGGACATTTATTAGAAAAATCATGAATTTACCTAAAGTTGCAAAAGAAAACTACTGGGAAAGGGGGGCTGAACAATTATTATAGTTCACAGAAGCCTATATATTTGTTTGCTCACCAGCCAGAGAGAAAAGACCTATAATACAAGCAGCAGGAGTAGAGATTTTTAAAACGTAATGCATAAGCAGTGGGGCTAAAATAGTCCTAGATTAAAGGGTGCTCTGCATTTGTCATAAAAAACCTTAAGGGCAAGGCTCTAAAGAATGTATTAGATTTCTCATTCCACGACCAAATCAAAAAGTGTTTAAAGGAATACAACAAAATCTATCACCCTGCAATATAAAATACACATCGTACTCATCCAGTAAAAAATCAAATGTTCTATTAAATTGCATAGTTAAAATTTGCTTAAATGTTCTCAATCTAAAACAAAACAAAAAGGGTACTAGGTGAGGTGACATATTTTAACTAACTTCATAGTGGTAATCATTTCACAAAATATATGCATATATTAAATTATCATATTCCCCTTAAAACCATACAATTTGTCAGTTATACTTCAATAACGCTAATTTTTAAAATTCAAGTTTCAATACTACTTTCTGAGCAATTCAAAGAGCAATTAGAAAATCAGTAAGGTACAATAGAATCCAATAACACAATATTCTTGACCAAATAAATTGATATTTATGGAACACTACAGCAATTAGCAGCAGGTATGGATTACATTCAAGTGCAAATGCAACATACACCTAGTCTAAGCAATAAAAGTACCCACAAATTTAAAAGAAAAAAAAAAACTATGCAAAATATATTAGCTGACCCCAGTAAAATTAAACTAGAATCAATAGCAAACAATGTCTGAAAATCAAATATTTAGAAATTAAACAATGTATTTCTAAATAATCCACAGGTCAATAACAAAACCACAAGGGAAATGAGACAATACAATTGAATATAAATGAGTGCATAACATACTAATTATTGTGAGATGAAGGTAGAGCAGTTCGAAAGGGTACTTTATAGCAGACAAAGCAAGAAAGTTCTCAAATTATTGGTGTATGATTTGACTTTTAAAGACTAGAGAAAAAGGCTGGGTGCGGTGGCTCACGCCTGTAATCCCAACACTTTGGGAGGCGGAGGCAGGTGGATCACAAGGTCAAGAGTTCAAGATCAGCCTGGCCAAGATGGTGAAACCCCATTTCTACTAAAAATACAAAAATTAGCAAGGTGTGGTGGCGGGTACCTGTAATCCCAGCTACTCAGCAGGCTGAGGCAGAGAATTGCTTGAACCCGGGAGGCAGAAGTTGTAATGAGCTGAGATTGTGCTACTGCACTCCAGCCTGGGTGACAGAGCAAGACTCCATCTCAATTAAAAAAAAAAAAAAAAAAGACTAGAGAAAAAGAATAATTAAATAAAAAAACAATTAAAACAGTGAGAATAAATCAAATAGAAAACAGAAAAATAAGCCCAGGAAGCTCAAAATTGCTCTTTTTAAAGTTCAATAAAATTGCTAAATATCAAGTAGGATGGCCCCCTCCATATACATGCTGTTCAAACTTGCTGATGCCAGAATGTCCACACTTATCAGGAGTACTTTCTGCACAAACCATCAATATCTACCATGAAGAAACAGCTAAACTGTTGAGAAGAAATAAAGGGAAGACACAGATGACCAATCAGAATTTTAAAATAAAACAACAGTGCAGAACCCACAATATTTAAATGGTGAGAGAATATTATGAGCGATTTACTCAAATCAAGCAAACCACCAAAGCTCACTCATTAAAGAGCAACAAAAAAAACTAAATATTCCTATATTTAAAAGTAATTACATTTGCAGCAAAACTTTTCACAAAGAAACTCTAAGCCCATAAGATTGTAGTGGTAAATTCTAGCAAACACTTAAAAAAATACAAGTCTAGACAAGCTCTTCTGGAAAATAAAACAAGAGGGTACACATCTCTACTCCTTGTATGATGGAGTATTAATAAGATGCTTAGAATGGTTATTGCAACAAAATTACAAATAAATTACAAATATCTCTAAACATGGATTCAAAAATAATATCTCAAATTTAGCTTATTGAAGTTAGCCACATAAAAAGGTAACACATCATAACCAGGTTGAATTTGTCCTGGGAATACAAGGTGGTTTAACATTCATAAATCAATCATTGTAATTCACTCTAGTAAGAGACTAAAATATAAAAATATATAAGCATCACAATAGATTCAGAATAGATTTGTAAATGGCAATTATCAAAATTCAACACACATATTTTTGAAAAAGAAAACATTTCTTATCCAACTACATAAAGCACAACTCTATAACTTTCATCACATGTACAGGTGAATAACTAATTATTTTTCCCTAAGATCTTAAATACAGCACAATAATATCCATTATTCCCACTTCTAGAAAATATTTTAGTGGAAATCCTCATCAGAAAAATAAGAGAAAAGAAGAAAAAAGTAAAACTATAAGAAGGAAATAAAATATCTTGATTCAGATTATGAGACTGACGCGCTGCTGGCTGCACTAATAGGGCTCGTAAAATATCTTGATTGAAATGACTGACTAGACGTAGCCACAATACATCTCTTCCAGAGAGAGCAACCAAAATATCAAGTATACCTCACACTTTGAACAGATCTTTTGAGCAAAAGCATTGAAATCTGATAGGTAATGAAAGACACTGGAGATATACCTAATGTAAATGACGAGTTAATGGGTGCAGCACACCAACATGGCACATGTATACATATGTAACAAAACTGCAAGTTGTGCACATGTACCCTAGAACTTAAAGTATTTAAAAAAAAAAAAAAGAAATTGTGGTTGAAAAGGGAGGAAGAAGGGCAGCCTGTTTGGAGTCTTCAGGTGCCAGACTGGCCCCCAGACCAGGACTGGACCCAGGGTACAGATAAATGAAGAAATCCAGGGAACTACATTTCCACCGTGGACCTCTGAGATCATAGCTACAGGAGTTCCCATGAACCCTGCAGACCTCTGGACTGGCAAGAGGAGCTGCCTGGAGAACACACAGAGGTACTGCTTGAACTTGGTGGAGCCTAGAAGGCTTGGCTGTGAGAGGCAGCTGCAACAAAAGATGACTCTGGGCACTCATCCCCCAAGGCCCTACATCCTGCAATGAGTGGTTGCAGCTCATGCTGTTTTCCTTGCCAGAAAAGAGTGGGTCCAGGCATGCTCAGATGCCCCAGAAAGGACCTATAGCCATTGCCATGGGACCAAGGTGCATATGAACCAGGCACACCTTTCCCTGCCAACCCCTACCAAGGCTGCCTGCCTGGCTGTTCCCAGGGGAGTGGGGGCACCGAATTCCCTTCATTGTCCCATCTGAGTGGCCTGGGAGCAGCTTCCCCCTATCAAAGCTGGTGCTTGACCCCAATGGACAAGAGGACAAAATCGCTGGCCCAGTCCCAGTTCCTTAGGACTGGAGCACACCATCCAGGGGTATAGAGATGAGATTTATGGCCTAATCTTCAGCAAAGAAGGAGTTCCCACTGTTAGGACACAGAGAATAGTGTGACATGGGTTTGTGTGGTGGTATGGGAGCTGGGCGCCCTTCCATTAGTGAGATCAGACTGGGGACGATGTGGCTTGATAGTCCTTGTTTCTCCCCCAGGGAGTCCCATAGTCCAGAATGCCTGAAGTGGCTTAGTGATCTGGGTGTAGACAGTTTGGGACAAATCTAGCTGGTTGGGCCTGTTGCTGGGGCCAGAGGCTTGGAGAGAGACCCCTGGGTACAGGAACTGAGCTTATCACACTTCGTGGTCACCATTTAGGTTAAAAATCCCCAGGTTGCCACTCCTCCACTAAGTTAGATATGTGGCAAAGGAATAGCAACTTTGCCTCTCCTAGGAGGGTTGTTCCAGTCACCTGAAAGCTGCCGCTAAACTCCCAGCAAGATCAGTGCTTTCACCAGCCTTGGAGAGCCTAGTCATGAGCTTGTCCAACCCAGCCCCACCCAATTTGGCCCGATTCAGTCACCATGGTGGCAGAGTGTGAAACAGTAACCCTGGGATCCTCAGGTCCTACCCATTGCCAGGAACACCCAGGTACTTCCGGTAATCAACAAAGGCCAAGTAAATATTCCAATGCCAATATTGCAATTGCCTCTTGCCTGCAAGCACCACCTTGTGGCTGAGACGTTAACCTGCAGAGTCTGTCACAACTTCTGACGTATTTGTACAGCACTCAGCCAGCTCTCACCCACAATTGCCACCTACTGTCCAGTAGCATGTACTGCACAACCAAATATAATTTTTGCTGACAGAGAAAACGCTGGGAAAGGACACAAGCCTCCAGAGACCTCCACTACCTTTTTCCTGTAAAAGACAGTGAGCCTGACCACAAGTGCACCCCATCACTACTACAGCCACAAACAATTAACATTTAAGAAAGCCACTACACTATAGCTCTCTACAACCAAGGAATTCCAACAGACCCTTCTGGAGGATAAGGGTCTGTAGGAATTCCTAGAAGCAAAGCCAAAAGACCCTTTGCAGCATACACAATAGTTACATCCTCAAGGGTTGGGGAAGTGAATCCCACTCAAACAAAAATAAATTAAAAAATAAGAAGTAACGGTTTCTACAGGTGAGAAGAGACCAGCACAAGAATTCCAGCACCATGAAGAAACAAAATGTTGTGACACGCACAAACAACCACACTAGTTCTCTATTAATGGATGATAACCAAAATGAAAACTTTGAAATGACACATAAAGAATTGAAAATATGGATTGTAAGGAGCTCAAAGAGAACCAAGAGAAAGTTGAAAATCATCACAAAGAAATCAGAAGAGTAATGCAGGAGATGAAAGATGAGATAGCTATATTAAAAAATAGACCAAACAGAACTTTTAAAAATAAAAAATTCACTGAAGAAATTTCAAACACAGTTGAAAGCTTTAACAACAGACTAGACCAAGCAGAGGAAAGAATTTCAAAGGCTGTAGCCCAGAATTTAAAGTTAACCCCATCATACAAAAATGAAGACAAATAATTTTTTAAATGAACAAAGCTTTTGAAAAATTTGAGATTATGCTAATGGATCAAACTTATAACTCACTGGCATTTCTGAGAAAGAAGAAGGAAATGTGGAAAAGATATTTGGGGAAATAATTTAGAAAATATCCCTAATCTTGCTAGAGAGGTAGACATTCAGATATAAGAAATTTGGAGAACACCTGTAAGATACTATACAAAATTAGCATCACCAAGGCATATAGTTATCAGATTATCTAAGTTCTATGCTAAAGAAAAAAATCCTAAAGGCACCTAAGGAAAAAGACCAAATCACTGAGGAAGGTAATCCCATCAGACTAATAGTAAACTTCTCAGCAGAAACTTTTTCAAGACAGAAGAGATTGGGGGCCTATTTTTAGCCTTCTTTAAAAAAAAATTGCCAGACGAGAATTTTGCATCCTGCAAAACTAAGCTTCATAAATAAAGGAGAAATAAAATCTTTCCCAGAAAAACAAACCTAAAGGAAATGAAAGCACAATACTTCTGTTACCATAAAAAGCATATGTAAGCACATGTAAGTAAAAAGTTAACAGATTCTATAAAGCAATTATGCAATTGAAACTACAAAGCAACTAGCTAACAGCACTAGGACAGGAACAAAACCTCACATGTCAATATCAACTTTGAATGTAAATGGACAGAATACTTCATTTAAAGAATATACTATGGCAAATTGGATTTAATATATAAGACCCAATCAGGAGTTCGAGACCAGCCTGGCCAACATGGTGAAACCCCATCTCTATTAAAAATATAAGAATTAGCCAGGCGTGGTGAAGTGCATCTGTAGTCCCAGCTACTCAGGAGGCTGAGGCAGGAGAATTGCTTGAACCCGGTAGGCGGAGGTTGAGGTGAGCTGAGACCGTGCCACTGCACTCAATCCTGGGTGACAGAGCGAGACTCTATCTCAAAAATAATAATAATAATAATAATAATAATAATATACATATATGACCCAATCATCTGTTGCTCTCAAGAGACTCACCTAACCTGTAATGACACTCACATACTTAAAGAGACAGAGAAATACATGTCACACAAATGGAAACCAAAAAACAGCAGGGGTTGCTATTACTGTATCAGATAAAACAGACATTAAACGAACAACAGTTTTAAAAAAGACAAAAAGGGCATTATATTATGATAAAGACTTCAAGTCAACAAGATTTAACTATTTTAAATACATACACACTCAACACCAGAGCACCCACATTTATAAAACAGTTTCTACTGGACCTACAGAAAGAGGCAGGCAGCTATACAATAATAATGGGAGATTTCAACACCCTACTGACAACACTAGACAGATGATTGAGGCAGAAAACTAGCAAAGAAGCTTTGGGTTCAAATTGGACTTTTGACCAAATGGACCTTAGGCATCTACAGCACATTTCACCCAATGATGGCAGAATACATGTTCTTTACATCTATGCATGGAACATTCTCCAAAATTGACCATATGCTTGATCATTAACAAAGTCTCAATAAATTCCAAAATCAAAATCATATCAAGCATCTTCTCAGACCGCAGTGGAATAAAATTAGAAATAAACCCAAAAAGGAGCTCTGAAAACCACACAAATACATGGAAACTAAACAACCTGCCCCAGAATGACTTTGGGTAAACAACAAAATTAACGCAGAAATCAAAAACAAATTTTGAAATAAATGAAAGTAGAGGCACAGCACACCAAAACTTCTGGGATACAGCACAAATAGTGTTAAGAGGAAAGCTTACAGTGCTAAATGCCTATATCAAAATCAGAAAGGCCTCTTATTAACAACTTGATGTTGCACTTTAAGGAACTATGAAAACAAGAACAAACCAAACCAAAAGCTAGCAAAAGAAATGAGATAACAAAGATCAGAGCTAAACTAAATGAAATTGAGGCAAAAACGTCATGCAAAGGATTGATGAAACAAAAAGCAGGTTATTTGAAAGAATAAATAGAACTGATGATCTGCTAGCTAGATGAACCAAGAAAATAAGAGACTGGTTGGGTGCGATGGCTCATTCCTGTAACCCTAGCACTTTGGGAGACTGAGGCAGGAAGATCACTTGAGCTCAGGAGTTCGAGCCCAGCCTGGGCAACATGTTGAAACCCCATCTCTATAAAAAATACAAAAAAAAAAAAATAGCCAGGTCCAGTAGTGCATGCCTGTAACCTCAGCTACTTGGGCAGGTGAGACAGGAGGATTGCTTAAACTCAGGAGGTCAAGGCTGCAATGACCTGAGATCACACCACTGCACTCAAGCCTGGGTGACAAAGTGAGACCATGTCTCAAAAAAAAAAAAAAGAGAGAGAGAGAATTCAAATAAGCACAATCAGAAATGATAAAGGTGATGTGACAAATGATACCACAGAAATACAAAAGATCTTCAGAGACTACTGTGAACATCTCTATGAGCACAAGCTAGAAAACCTAGAGAAAATAGACACATTCTTGGAAACATGTAATTGCTCCTTATTGAACCAGGAGTACACTGAAATACCAAATGGACTGAATTAAGATTTATGAAATTAAATCAGCAATAAAAAAACCTATCAACCAAAAAATCTAAGACCAGATGGATTCACAGTCAAATCTACCATACATACTACGAATCTTACTGAACCAATTCCAAAAAATCAAGGAGGACAGATACTCATTTTATGAAATCAGTATCATCCTGATACCAAAACCTGATAAGAACATAACAACAAAAAATACTACAAGCCAATATCTCTGATGGACATAGATGCAAAAGTTTTCAATAAAATACAAACAAAATTTAGCAGCACATTAAAGAGATAATTCATCATGGTCAAATGCATTTTATTCCAGGGATGCAAGGATGATTCAACGTATGCAAATCAACAAATGTGTCACCACCCAAACAGAATTAAAAATAAAAACCAGACAGACACGGTGGCTCACGCCTGTAATCCCAGCATTTTGGGAGGCTGAGGTGGGTGGATCACGAGGTCAAGAGATTGAGACCGCCCTGGCCAACATGGTGAAACCCCATCTCTACAAAAAAATACAAAAACTTAGCTGGGCATGGTGACGCAAATCCGAGCTACTCAGGAAGCTGAGGCAGGAGAATCGCTTGAACCTGGGAGGTGGAGGTTGCAGTGAGCCAAGATCACTCTACTGCACTCCAGCCTGGTGACAGAGCAAGACTCCATCTCAAAAAAAAAAAAAAAAAAAAAAAAGATAAATAAATAAATAAAATAAAAGCCATATGATTATCTCAAAAGATAAAAGAAAATAATTCAATAAAATCCAACATCTCTTCATGATAAAAACCCTCAACAAATTAGGCATCAAAGGAACATACCCCAAAATAACAAGAGCCAACTATGACAGACCCATGGGCAACATCATACTGAATATGGGGAAAAGACGAAATCATTTTCTCTAACAATTAGAATAAGACAAGGAGATCCATGCTCCTCACTCCTGTTCAACATAGTATTAGAAGTCCTAGCCAGAGTAATCAGGCAAAAGAAAAAAATTAATGAATCCAAATAGGAAAAGAGGAAGTCAGATTATCTCTGTTCACTGATTACACAATCTTATACCAAGAAAACCCTAAAGATTCCTTCCAAAGACTCCTGATAAGTGACTTTAGTAATGTTTCAAGATACAAAATTAATGCACAAAGATCATTTGCATTTCTTTACACCAACAATGCTCAAACTGACAATCAAATCAGGAACTCAATCACACTTAAAATAGCCACAAAAATAATAAAATATCTAGGAATACATTTAACCAAGGAGGTGAAAGACTTCTACAAAGAGAACTATAAAGTACTGATGAAAATATCATAGATGACACAAACAAATGCAAAAATACCCCATGTTCATGGACAGGAAGAATTAATATCATTAAAATGACTGTACTGCCCAAAGCAGTCCACAGCTTCAAAATAATTCCTATAAAAATATCAATGTCATTTTTCACAGAAATAGAAAAAAATTATATGTATATGGACTGAAAAAAGAGCCTAAATAGTGAAAACAATAAACAACAATAACAACAACAACAAAGTCAGAGGCATCACATTACCCAACTTTAAACTATATTACAAGGCTATAGTAACCAAAATAGGATGGTACTGGTACAAAAATAGACACATAGGTCAATGGAACAGAAAAGAGAACCCAGGAATAAGGCCACACACCTACAGGCAACTGGTGTTTGTCAGAGCTGACCAAAATAAACAATGGGGAAAGAACACCCTATTCAGTAAATAGTGCGGGGAAAACTGGCTATCAGAACAGTGAAACTGGACTCCTACTTCTCACTATAAACAAAAAGTAATGAAAGATGGTTTAAAGGCTTAAATGTAAGACCTCAAACTATACAACCTTATACCCATTAAGCAACATGTCCTCATATCCCATTCCATCCCTGGTAACCACCACTTTATTGTTTACTTCTATACCTATGACTATTCATTTATAGATGCCTCATTTAAGAGGAATCATTCACTATTTATGCTTCCGTGACTGACTTATTTCACTTAGTGTAATGCTCACTTTTAATGTACAGACTTACCCAAACATTAACTCAAGATGGATTAAAGATTTAAACATAAGAACTGAAACTATAAAATTCTACAAGAAAACCTAGAAGAAACTTTTCTGGACATTGACCTTGTCAAATAATTTATGACTAAGACCTCAAAAGCAAATACAAGAAAAATAAAAATAGACAAAAGAGACTTATTAAACTAAAGAGCTGCTGCACAGCAAAAGGAACCATCAACAAAGCAAACAGTCAGCCTACAGAATGGGACAAAATATTCGCAAGCTATGCATCTAACAAAGATCTAACATCCCGGATCTATAAGGTAAAGAACCAACAAGGAGAAAACAACTCCATTAAAAAGTGGGCAAAAGACGTGAACTGACAATTCTCAAAGATGATATATAAATGGCCAACAAACATATGAAAAACTTCTCATCACTAATCATCAGATAAATAAAAATTAAAACCACAATGGGATATTATCCTACACCAGCCAGAATGGCTATTATTAAAAAGTCAAAAAATAAAGAGGTACGGTGAGGATGTGGAGAAAATGGAACACTTATACACTGTTGGGGTGAATGTAAATTAATTCATCCTCTATGGAAAACAGTATGGAGAGTTCGCAAAGAACTAAAAATAAATCTGCCATTCAACCCAGCAATCCCACTACTAGGTATCTACCTAAAGGAAATCATTTTATCAAAAAGATAAAATTCCGCAGAAATTAACAATGGAACTACTAACTATATGATTCAGTAATCCCACTTCTGAGTATATGTCTGAAAGTATTGAAATCACCACCTCAAAAAAGATATCTGTTCTTCTATGTTCACTGTAGTATCATTTACAATAGCCCAGATATGTAAACAACACAAATGTCCATTGACAACTGAATGGATAAAGAAATTATGGTATATGTAATCAAAGGAATATTATTCCTCACTTAAAAAATGAAGGAAATCCCATCACTTGCAACAACATGGATGGACCTGGAATACATTATGCTAAGTGAAGTAAGTCAGTCACAGAAGAACGAATGGTGCATGATTCCTCTTAAATGAGGCAAAAATATAAAGGTATCATCATATGTATAGAAGTAGACAATAAAATGGTGGTTAACAGGGATGGACATGTTGCTCAATAAGTATAAAGTTACAGTTACAAAAAATGAGAAAGTTCCAGAGATCTGCTGTACCACATGGTGCCTACAGTGAATGAAAAAGTATTTTGTATTTAAACACTTTTCAAAATTGTAGATCTCATGTTAAAGTGTTCTTACCCCACAACCCGACCCCCACACACAAGGAGCAATGGGACACAAGGAATCTTCTGGAGGTCATGTCTATGTTTATTAATTGGATTGTGCTGACAGTAATACAAGTGAATACATATGTCCAAACTCACAATATTGTATACCTTAACTATGGACAATTAGCTGTACATCAATTATATCTCAATAAACTGGAAAATTGTACTAAACCTCAAAATAAAAATTCCTTCAAAAAATAAATAAAAATATACGACATTCAGTGGGATTAAAAAATTATGAAATCCTTAGAGAAAAATTTTAGTAAAACATGTGCAAGACCAATATACTGAAGAATACTATATATTGCTGATATATATTAAGGGAACCAAATAAATGGAGAGAAATTCTATGCTCACGCATTGGAATACAATTATCTTAACATGTCAATTATCTCCTATTTGATATTTAAGTTCAGTTAAGTACAATCAACTCTTAGTATGTTTTTTTAAAATTGGCAAACTGATTCTATAATTTATGTGAAAACTTAGGGCACCCATATTACTTAAAAATAACTGATCCATGAACCACAGATGAATCTCAATATGTTATGCTAATTGAAAAAGCTAGAAAAAGCTAGATATAAAAGAATAGATATCATTATTCCATTTATATAAAGTTCTAGAAAGGGAAAAATTATAGTGACAGAAATTATATCAGTGGTTGTGAGACACTAGGATTGAAAGGATGGTATTGATTACCCAGCAACATGGGTGAACATTTGAGGATATAGTAATGGTGTATATTATGATTTTGTTGATTTGTCAAAATTTATCGAGTAGAACATATAAAGTAGATACATTTGTACTATATTGATAGCTCTCATAAAAAAACAATTAAAATTTTGTACAGGAAAACCAATTTTCTCCCTATTCAAGATTCAGTCTTAAAATTGATGGTCATATTTACTTTGATAGATGATTTAAGAATGTTGTGGTAGTGATTCAAGAAGGTAAATCTAACATAAAGCTTTCTAAAACTATACGATCCTGGGTAAATAATTTAATAAATGAGTGAACAAATGAATGTAACAATGAATAAAAATTTAGAATATGCAAATGAGCAGGAGCAATACTGATTGTTTCACAATTAAAAGACTATAAGTGGCCGGGCATGCTGGCTCACACCTGTAATTCCAGCACTTTGGGAGGCCAAGGCGGGTGGATCACTTGAGGTCAGGAGTTCGAGACCAGCCTGACCAACATGACGAAACCCCATCTCTACTAAAAATACAAAAATTAGCTGGGCATGGTGGCTTGAACCTGTAGTCCCAGATACCCAAGAAGCGGAGGCATGAGAATGGCTTGAGCCTAGGAGGTGGAGATTGCGGTGAGCAGAGATCATGGCACTGTACTGTAGCCTAGGTGATACAGCAAGACTCTATCTCAAAAAAAAAAAAAAGATAATAAGTATTTGTATCTTTGAGGTGGTCATAAACTGGAGTTATATAAACTAAGAATTTGTGAATGTACATGCAATTGTGTATGAGAGAGTGCTAAAGAGAGGTTTTCGGTGAAAAACAATGTTATTGACAGAACAAACAGATTCAAGCAAGTTCCCTGAGTATGTTCAAAAGACGTAGAATAGAAGACATTGAATTTACTCTTTTTGTGTTTCACTTACGGCCAAAACTTCTAGTATTGTAATATTACAGAGGGCTAAAATTTCATATGGGGAAAAATAGCTTCCCAAAATACCAATGCAGCTACATTTGTATTAAAATGCTAATAACAAAATATATTTCATAAATGCAAGATGTCCCAAACATAGACACTGATGTCAAAGTTTTCACATGGCAAGCAAAACCAGAAATGCTTGATACTATAATGGAAAGTAATACAATCCTTTAACAGGGAGACCACTTAGACATGGTTCTTTCAAACACCACCACCATTTCCACCTATTCCTTTTACAGATTATACAATGAAAATTTATAAGTGTGCATTAACTTACCTAAACTCACAGAGTGACAGAGCCTAACCAGGAAGCCAAAACTCTGGATTTTTACCAGTGTTCCTTTTACAATGCCACAAAGCCTCATATTCATCAAGACGTTTTTCAATTGGGAATAGGTAATGCTAAGGTTATAAAAAACATCTCGAAGTGCCTCTTGGGAAATCACAAACTTACTCCTCAGATTTAGAGCAGTCCCTCAGGGCAGATTTGTAGTTTTCTGTCAAAAGCAACAAGTCTTTCACCAGTCAAATTTCACCTATCTCATGCATTTTCAAAGTCAAAAAATCATGGATTCCAGCAATGAATGACAACACGAATGGATTGTAAAACACGCTCATGACCAATGTTGAAACTAGGTGTTGAAATGATAAAATGCCAGGATTGCAAGGCATGGATAACAGATATATAGTAGGCTTTCATCACTTGTTAAACGATATATAATTTATCTGGATAAAATGCTTTTTAATGCATTTACAGAAGTAACCAAATTGTTATCTAAATATCACTGACATGTTTGGTTACATACAAATGTAGTACAATATACTCTTTTGAAAGAACAAATTCAGACCATATGATCAGTGTAATCACTTTATAAAATATTTACTTTAGCCATACAGTACAATGAAGGGAAGATGTTTTGCCAACAGTATAGTTTATTAGTCTTTTAAAAAAATTCTTCACTTACCCACTTTCTGTAGGAGAGTTTAAATGCAAAGTAAGATATTCTTAATAAATAGTTTATTTTATTCAAAATATTTTAGTGATAATTTTGAAGGTGTTGAGAGTAGACTATATGAACTAAATTTTCTTGAATAGATCATTTTGTTTTTGTTATTCAGATTACTTTGGTAAATGATTTTGAGTGGGATGTGAAGAAAGCAATGTGTTCAAATCAATGGACACTAAATATTTTTATATGTGATACATTGCATATAATCTTTATAAAATTTCTAAAAGGATATATTCTTATACAATTTACATATGAAGAAACAGAGAGTTGGAAGAGAAACTTACTAAGATAATCAAAGAATATACAAAAGCTGGAATTCTGAATGAAGCCTCTCCTAGTTCTGACATGACAATGTCCTACAGAGGTATCAGAGAAGATCTATGTGGACAAGTTTCTTTGGTGGAAAAGAGTTCCCGTGATGGTTAATTTTGTGTGTCAATTTGGCTAGGCCACAATACCCAGATATTTGGTCACACGTTAGTCTTGATGCTGTTACAAATGTATTGTTTTAGATAACATTCACATTTAAATCAGGAGTTTTGAATAAAACATACTACCCTCTACAATGTTGGTGGGCTTCATCCAATAAATTGAAGGCCTTAAGGAAAAAAGACTGACTCACCCAAAGAAGAGGAAGTTTTCCCTGCAGTCTGCCTTTGGACTTGAGCTACAACATCAACTCTTCCCTTGGTCTCGTCTGCTGGCCTATCCTGCAGAAGTTGGACTTGCTAATCTCCACAATTGCATGAGTCAGTTCCTTTATTTTCTTAAAATAAATTAGGTAAATGATGGATAGATAGGTAGATATAGATCTATTGTTTCTCTTTCTGTGAAGAACCCAGACTAATACAGTTCCTCATTTATTATCAAAGCCAACTGAATAGCTTTTCCAATCACCCAACGGCCTGCCTAAATTTTCATGAGCTAATTCATAGAACAAACCATAGGCAGCCACACATAGAATCAATATATGAAATACACATAACATCATAATGCCAGGAAATGTCCTGCGAGCTAAACGGTAACATAAATTACTAAAAGTCTCTTCGAAATTGGTCTATGTAACATAAGGTTTGGAAATTCTGAAAGTCCTTGACAATGTAAAAATTAATTGGTCAATATAGGAAGCAAATGCCTTTTAGAGTTAACTACTTGGAGTTTTCTTAATCCACTTACTTTTTGGCAAAAGTTTAATTATGCATGAATATTCCCTGAAAATATATATTTAGGTGAGCAAGCATTTTTGTCTTTCAGTTACAAAAGAATCCCATGAGCTATATCCACATAATAAAACTTTCAAAGAGAACAAAGTTTCATTAAACTGAATACATTAGAAATTTGACCCATAATTGATATTATACTAAAATCAATTCTTATTTATTTGTCCAAGATTATGTGAAAATGAAGTTAAAAGAATTTAAATGTAAACCTGAGGACAGGGAGCAGGTTCAGACTATATGAGAAAATAAGCTAAAGTATGAACATAGGTTAGTTACCACCTAGAGTTTGGTCACAGTGTCTTTTTGCATGCCCTATTTGACTTTCCACCCTCTCAGTCCTATTTACTCTCCCCTAAGGTTACCACACCGTGAACTATAAACACACTAGGCTCAGTATTCTCTATATAAAATAACATCATCATACATTGAGGAGCTAGCTAGTCATCTAATAAATAGCCTTTTGACTTATTGCTAATGCTTGGTCCTTTTTTTGTGTCCAGTTCTAACACAAGATTGTGCATATGTGTGCTTTTAGTTTTTTGTTTTTTTACTTTTCCCTTTCTGACAGCAACTAGATTTCATTTTAGAAAATTCACCCTGTGCCACTGGGGACAGTACTGGTAGGAGAGTAAATTCAAACACCATGTTTTTCTGCTGTGAAAACAAATGGCCTTCGAAGGTTCTAATAAAGTCTTTCTTTCAGACTTTTATTAGTCATATGGCCAAGGAGTAGGTCTGTGACCTAATTTTAGCCAAATAAACTACTCTCAGTAATTGAATCTTGAGCTAAATCACATATGAAAGTAAAAAATAATTGGAGAACATTTATTTTTGTGATAGTGGCACAAGAGTTTTGGTGTTCTAGTTTTTTCCTGTCCTAACTCTATATGTAGTTCTCTAGCCTTTTATCAATACAGTAAGATACAAAATTACTTTGTGATGAATTCTTAAACTAGTTTATTGTGGAATTTAAATTCACTAGGGAATAAATATGAATTGGTTTTATTATTTAACAATAACTGCCACCCCAAATAAGTTATGCCTAATCCTCTCTCTCACTGGGTAGTAGGTCACTTAATAACATCTTGATCAGATTCCGTAACTTTAAAAAGTGTTTAATTTCTTAAACTTAAATTTCAGGCATGCCCCTGTGGACGCAGACACCATGTTCACCCCAGAGTCAGACTGATCTTTGCAGACTCAGGCTCAAAGCCAACACCAGCAGAAAGCCAGCTACTGTGGACCCAGATTTTAAGTTGGTCTCAACAAACACAGCTGCAGGTTGGCCCTTATGGATCCAGTTGACAGGCTCCTACCTTTAGGACCTAATGAAACCAGGCCAGATTATATGGGATCAGGATTCATGCCTATCCTAGGGGACCCAATCTCCAGGCTTGCCCTGGGGGAGCCAGGTTCCAGGTCTGACTCCACATTCCCAAGCACCTAGTTGGTGCCTTTGGATCTAGGTGCCAGTCCTGCCTACCCGCTGACCCAGAAACCAAACCAAGACACCCTGTTTTCATGTTACAGCAGCAGGTCTGCCTGCAGACCTCACCACATGGCCCACTAAGAATCTATGACAGGCTGTGTGGTGAAGAGCTTTCTCGTCAAAGCCAGTCTGTAAAGATTAGAATAGGTATCCACTTCTTCAAAAGCTCAAACACCAATGTAAAGCCACAAGAATCAGTAATAATAAGGGAAACATGACACTACCAAAGGAGCAATATAATGCAACAGATATAGACCCTAAAGAAATGAAGATCTATGAACCACCAGATAAAGAATTCAAAATAGTCATCTAGAAGAAACTCAGTGAGGTATAAGAAATACAACTAAAAAGAGCAAAAAGAAAAATATTTATTAACAAAAACGGAAGTTTAACAAAGATAGAAGCTATAAAAATTAATAAAACAGAAATTCTGGAGTTAAAGAATATGAGGGCTGAGCCAAAAAGTTTCACAGAGAGCTTGAACAGCAGACTTGATCAGGCAGAGGAAAGAATGAGTGAATCCAGAGACAGAACATTTGAAATGACACAGTTAAAGGAACAGAAACTAAAAAGAAAACAAAAAGAGTGAAGAAAGCTTACAGGACCTACAAGGCAACATCAAGGAAATGCATATATGTATTATGGAAATTACATAAAGGATTAGAGAGAGAAAGAGACGGAAAGCTTACTTGAATAAATAATTACAGAAAACTCTTCAAGTATGGAGATAAACATCAAAATCCATGAAGTTCCCAAAACCCAAATAAAATGGATATAAAGAGATTTTCACCAAGACATTTTATAATCAATTTCTCAGAAATCAAATGCAGTGAGAGAATTTTGAAAACAGCAAGAGAAAAGCAGCTCACCACATACCAGGGAACACTTATAAGACTACCAGTAGATTTCTCAACAGAAACCTTGCAGGCAAGGGATAGTAGTATAATATACTTAACACACTGAAGGAAAATAATGCAAACCAAGAACACTATAAATAGTAAGGCTGTCTTTCAGAAAAGAGACGAGGACTTTTTCAGACAAAAACACATTCCAAAGAAGTTTATTATCAATAGAACTGCTTTATAAAAATGCTAAAAGTATAAAACACACTATAAAAGTAAGAATATAGTCAAATTCAGAATACTCAAATACTGTATTGATAATGCATAAATCACTTTTAACTCTAATAAAAAAGTAGAAGAAAAAGTATCAAAAATAACAGCTACAATAATTTGTTAAATGATCTATGCTATATAAAATATGGATAAATTGTGGCATCAATAACATAAAATATGGGAAGAGAAGAATGTATAGAGTTTTTGTATGCAAAACTAAAATAATATCAAAATCAAATTGCTATCAGCTTAAAATAGACTGCTATAAATATAACATATTTTACGTAAGTCTCATAGTAACCTCAGTGAAAGAACCTGCAGTAGGTGTATAAAATATAGAAGGGAATCAAAGCTTACCACTACAAAAAATCATTAAATTACAAAGGCAGACAGTAAAAGAGAAAGAACGAAACAAAAGAATAACACAAAATTAATTGACCACAAATATGTGGGTTTATTTCTGGGCTTTCTATCCTAACACATTGTTTAATATGTCTATTTTTATTCAAGCACCATGCTGTTTTGATTACTGTAACTTTGTAAATTTTGAAATCACGTAGAGTGATGTCTCCAGCCTTTTTTCCTCAAGATTCATTTGGCTATTTGGAGTTTTTTTGTGGTTCTATACAAATTTTAAAATTATTTTTTCTATTTCAATGAAAATATGCCATAGGAATTTTGATAGGGATTGCATTGAATATGTAGATTACTTGGGATAGTACCAACACTTTTATAACATCAATTTCTATACACTAACAACAAACTATCCACAAAAGACATTAATAACACCATTTACAATAGCATCAAAAAATAAAATACTTAACAAAGAATGTGAAAGTTGCTATAAACTGTAAAACATTGATAGAAGAAATAGAAGATGATAGAAATAAATGGAAAGATAGTCAATGTTCATGAGTTGGAAGAATTAATATTCTACTTCTAACTGTAAAAAAAAAAAAAAAAAACAGAGGCATATTGATAGGAAACAACTGAACTGAAGAGTTCAGGGAAATCAAATGTTACCAGAAATAAAGTAGAAGATCAATACGAGTAAGAAAGATTTAATATTCTCATTCTCTGTTTTTCCTGAACATTAAAATGCAGTATTGGCTGAGGATGCCCATCATTACAGTTCAAAACTGTGCAATTCAAAATCCCTTAGTTAGAGAAGTACACTTTTAAAGGTATTAGTAACAACTTCATTGACTGGAAGAAGGGAGTGGGGTCAGGAATTATAAATGGAAATTGATCTTGTTCTGGGACAGTATGTAGAGCTGGGGGTCCCTAACTCTTAGGCTGTGGACCAGTACTGAGCACCCTATTAAGAACTGGGCCACAAGAGGGAGGTGAGCATCAGGTGAGAGTGCATCACCACCTAAGCTTCACCTCCTGTCTGATCAGTGGCGGCATGAGATTCTTATAAGAGCGTGAACCATATTGTGAACTGCACATGTGAGGGATCTAGGTTCCATGATCCTTATTAGACTCTAAAGCCTGATAATCTGAGGTGGAACAGTTTCACCACGAAACCGTCCACTACCATCACCACCCTCCCACCCCACTCCGTCCATGGAAAAATTGTCTTCCACAAAACTGGTCCCTGGTGCCAAAAAGCTTGGAGACTGCTCACTTAGAGCACCTAACTTATTTGTTTGGCTTGATGTAAATTAAGAAGAAATGTGGTCTGAGAAGAAAAATTAATGAACAATGTTTTAGAATACTTCAAATAGATATCCTTTCATACTTTTGCTGCTTCCAATTCTTCAAACAAGGCTGTTCCTTTATTCTACTGTAATTCATGCCCATGACTATACAATCACTCTGGTTTGCATTTTGTTGTTGCTGTTATTTTATGTTTTTAAATAATATAGCATTTCTTTTTTATATTGCAGATATATGAATCAGTATGGATTTTCCCCCTTATTTTACTTTTCCAGTATAATCTATATCTTGCTCTCATATTATGGCTATATACAGGCCTAAAGTTACCCAGACATAGTTCTATATCTGGAACCTTTAAGACAAGATTCAGTGACCACCTGAAGGTCCCTTGGGGTCTAGGTTAACATGATAAAAAGCATAGATTTTGGCATCAATGTAGTTATACAAAAGTAATGGTTTCATATTTATGTAACCTTAGCAAGTTTACTTTACTAAGCCTTATTCTCTAAATATACACAATGAATGAAAGTATCTAATCATCAAAGTTGTCCACAAGGAGGAAAATACATGGAATTGCTTAAAAATTTAAATACTGTAAAATATAAATAAATATATGGCAGGATGTGTGGTGTGGGAGTATATGTGTGTAGTGTGGATGTGCGTATATATGTGTGTGTCTGTTGTTTATGTAAAAATGAGGTAGACACATCAATAGAAATTCCATTGGTTTTTGGGGGATTGTGGGGGGGGGTGTAGGTATGATAGCAACTTTGTAACTAGGACTAAAATTAGACTCTAAGATCCAAACAGAGAAGCTAATGGAGATGACTACTTTTTCAATTTTTTTCTATTGTGATAGACAGCAATAAAATTAACAAAAGCCTAGAGCAACACTGTGGATACATATTCTTATATATCCTATGTAAATGCAAACAGCTTTGATCTTTCTCCTGATGGGTATGGAAAAGAACACATATATAAGATTAAAAGCCGCATATAATGTTTCTGAAGGCTGTGCCAGATCTGCTCAAGAAAATATGTTACATCCAGCACAACAACTGTTATCGGGGCTACAACTTACGTAAAGTTATGGTGTTGTATAAGTCACCTTCTATAATCTAACTAGGATTTTCATAGGCTAGATGGCTAAATTAAATGAGGATACATAATGAATGTCATTACATCTTTGAAGGTGGTACTAATTTTACCATTTTCCTTGAAACACAGTATCATTTTTAATGTATCTTTTACAAAAGGGAACAATCTCAAGAGATTCCACTTGGTCTTTCTTTCCAACATAGCTTTTAGAACACATAGTAAGGAATAGATGTGAGGGATTTTCCTACTGCTTAATATGTTCATTACTATTTTACATTTGGAAACTAGGGATATCAGCATTTGATGGGTTTGAGGACTTGAAGGGCCCAGTGCAAGATGAACCTGGGTGTTAAATCATTTATTATCTGACCCCAATATGTCCCTCCTCTAACAGAGACCATTATGGTATTTGAGTCCCTGGTTATCAGTGTCAACTCAGGCTCTATCTTCAACAGTCCTTAAAACATCTGATAATTTAATTTTCCCCAGTTTATGGCTACAGATCCCTGTGAGGATACACTGATGAGATCATTATTGCATACATTTTTTTAGTATTGTTTTACTTAAGAGAAAAGTTTTTTTTCTTAAGGGGATATAATTTCTCCTTCAGGTGATAGGTAACGTGTCTGAGAACTTGCTAGATCCAGAAAGTGTGTAAGTGATTGTGACACCCATGTTAGCTGCTGGAATATCTTGCCTAGGAACTCTTAGTAATATTATCTCCCTGCAAGTGAAGATGCCTAGCAGCCATTCAAACCTTGCTGCTCATTACAGTGATTATGCCCATCTTGCTTCTGATGGTTAAGTGCCTCCTTGTTATTCTATAATCCTATCATGCCCTATTGCTACTAGGAAGGCAAGTCCTATAATATCATCTTTTTTGTTTAACCCACAGAGGACGTGCATTATGAAGTTTCTCAAAAATGCTGGTCTTCTCCTCAACAGCATACTCCTTAGTGGCCCCCAAACATACTGTGGGCTCTGTTGGCCTCTGTACCTCTGAAAACATACTCATTTGAGAGCTTCATTTGGTTTCTTTAGGAGACCCATTGGACCATGTCCACTTCTCTGAGTCTTTTGATCCTTTTTCATAGTCTTACATGACATTTTTGGCACTTCTATTTTATTTAATATCATGTTTCCCACAAATTGCCTCAAAATTTATATTGGAACCAACTCTTCTAAAAGTGGCCAAAAAAGATGATCCCCATATCAACAATGTTTTTCTTATCCAACTCTAGGGCCAATATTCCTGAATCTGGTTCCCTCAGGATCCACAACCAGGAATATTTCTCTTATATTTCACACTATATGTTAGCCAACTACTATAACTCCTTAGCATACACCCCTTATATTTCTTTACTAGGTCCAGCACTTCTATATTTTAAACATGCTAATCACCTTTGTTACGGATCTGGTAACTACAGAGAGTCAAGGGAAGATACTGAGGAGAGAACTCATCATTTATTAAGGCACCTGACCCTATGGTGCTTCTACATAATCTTCAAAAAAAGAGAACGTCCATCTTCCAACAAGGGAGAATAGGCCAGTTCTCCAAGCTCCAAGAGTTCCGGATAGCTTTGGTTCACTTCAAGGTTCTTTAGTAGTCTTTACCAGGGTCTAACTCATTTTATATTAGAAGAATAAATTTGTCATTGTAGACATGCTGAAGCTGAGAATTCTACCTTTTATTCCAATCTTACCAAAAAAAAAAATCCTGAAGTCAAACTTTTATTCTTTCTACTGTCCAGTTATAGTAGATAAATGTCACCTTAAATTCTGCCAAGTACACTGTCTGATTGACATTTTACTTTACATTTGTGATTAATAAGCCTAAGCCCATTATTTTCTTTCTTCAAATCGTCAAATATACTCACCCAAAGCAACTCAATTTCATAGGATTTCTAATCATTCTAATCACTCACATACTTATTACTACCACAAAGATTGCACAAGTCAGTATATTTCCTGCTTTATCTCACACAAGTTTACCACAGTTGAAATCCTTTACAATTGCATTCATACAGCTCCACTTTCCACCAGTAATGGAGTCATAACTCTCACATACTACTGGGTGTTCCAACTCCAGAATTCCATTTTTACAGTCTACTTATTAGGATTACTTCTGCTACCAAATATCTAAGGCTGGATTCTCTAGAAGAAGAGATGTGACAAGGACTTATATGCACATGAATTGAAGAAATACTTTTCAGGAAAACCTGCAAAGAACTGAAAAATAAGAAAAAAAGTAAGAATGAGGTCTCAAGTAACATCAAATAACATCTGATCTTTTCTTGCTTCACAAGGTACCCTGGAGCATAAGTCATATTACACAATTATTCCTCTTTGAGAAAAAAGGGTACAACTCTATCACTATATCTGTCAGTCATTACTCAGGGATCCTCACTGGTGATGAAGCTTTTATCAGCAGAGAGCAATTCTCAAGAGAAGAAAGGAAATACGAGTCATTATCAACAAATCCTCATAGCATCTGGGTAATGAGAGATCTGAACAAAACACGTGACAGCATCTATTGCACTGACACATAGTAAATACTCAGTGTTAATTGAAATAAAAATTATATATGCCAACCTCTATTAATTATACATAGTTATCATTTTAACAATAATATTATCAGAGTTACTTGAGAAGCTTTTTTCAAAATGTATATACCCACAAATTATTAGCATTTCTTTGAGGATGTTGGTGGAGAACACAAACATATTTTGAAAATAAGTCCCAGTTGTTACTAATATATACCAACATACACACACACACACATACATACACATACACACCCATACACACACACATACACCCTGTGAATAATTATGATAAGATGTCCTTTAGAATTTGACCTTGCTTACTATTTTAATTTTCATCTCTTCCAACTCCTACATTTGATGTTATTTTCATTCATCAATGTATATTTCTCTAAATATATAAAGTTGTTTTATACTTCCATTCATTGGAAATGGTCTTCACTTCTCCCTCAGTCAGTTTCATATACCAATGCATGCACAAGCATGCTCTGTTCTCTCTCACACACACACATACAAATATACACACCCCCCCACACAAATATTTCTGATATTTTGGGGCCTTTTTGAATATACCTGCCTTTGCTATATTCTACTTATATGCCACTATTATTGTGAGGCTGTCATTTATACTTCCATACATAATTTACTATTCCATTCTTAGAGCTCCTACAGGTAAATTCACTTCAACTGACTCTATTGTATTTAAACGTTTATTATTCTAAACTATGAAATCAACAAAAGGACAGTTTGAGTCTAATTATTTGAGGGAGATTTTATTAAGTACAGAATTTGAGGTTGGTAGTTATTTTCTTTTAGCTCCTTGAAAATAGCATTCCATAGTCATCAGCATCCATTGTTTCTGTTGGGCAGTCTGATGTCCCTCTTATTACTGACCTTTTGGAAGTAATCTTCTTCTCCTTCCCCCATTCCTGGAGCTCTTGCAATTTTTGTTTTCTTTATCTTTGGTTTTTCAATGGTTTTATATGTTATGCTAGGTGTTGATTTCATTTAATTACTACTACTTAAGATTTTTAGTGATCATTGAACTTATGATGTTGAAATCTTTCAAAGACTGTGACCTTTTAATTCAGTAATTATTTATCCAGCCATGGCTAATATACTCCTAAATGTATATTCTTAATTTTGGTTATTATGTTTTTAGTTCTAAAATTTTATTTATTTTATTTTTTTAGAAACAGATTTAAGATATAATTCATATAATTCACCCTTCTAAAGTGTAGAACTTTCTAATTTTTAGTATATTTAGAATTGTGCAACCACCACCACAATCAACTTTGGGACATTTTCAGCACCACAAAAAGAAATCTAGTGCCCATTAGCAATCACTCTTCATTTTTCTCTAAATTGTGCAGCCCTGGTAATCACTCAATCTATTTTATGCCTCTATAGATTTGCCTTTTCTGGATATTTTCTACACAGGGAATTATACAATATGTAGTCTTTTGTGATGGCCTTCTTCACTTCACATATTTTCAAGGTTTATTCATGTTGTAAAATGCGTCGGTACTTTATTGTTTTTTATTGCTCTATAATAGTTCATTGTACGGATATATCTCATTTCCTTATTCATTCATCAGTTGATGTAAATTTGGGTTGTTTTTATTTTTGGTTATTATGAATAATGTTTCTATGAACATTTTTGTACAAAAGTTTTTATGTGAACATAAGTCTTAATTTCCTTTGAGTATATAATTAGTCATAGAATTGCTTGGCCATATGGTAACTGGATATTTTGGAGAAACTGCCAGACTGTTTTCCAAAATGGCTGCACTATTTTACATTTACACCAGCAGCATATGAGGCTCCAATTTCTTTGCATCTTTGACAAAACTTGCTATCATTTGATATTTTCATTATTGCCCTCCTAGGGCATGTGAAGTGGTATCTCATTGAGATTTTGATTTTTGTTTCTCTAATAAATAATAATGTTGAACATAGTTTCATGTGCTTACTATTTCTATATCTTTTTTGGAGAAAGGTCTGTTTAAATCCTTTGTTCATTTTTCAATTGGGAATTTCGTCTTCCTAATGTGGAGTTTTAAGAGCTTTAAACACACACACACATGCATGCACACACACACACACACACACACACACATTCTGGGTAAAAGTCCTTTATCAGATATATAATTTGCAAATATTTTCTCTCAATCAGTGAACACTCTGTTTAACTTATTGATGGTATATGCTGAAGCACAAAAGTTTTTTTTTATTTTGATGAAGTCTAATTTATTTGTTTTTTATTTTGTTTCCTTAAGCTTTTGGTGTCATATATAAGAAACCATTTACTAATATAAGGTCAAGAAGATATATGCTTATGTTTTCTTCTAAGATTGTTACAATTTGAGATTTTACATGCAGGTTATTTATTCATTTTGAGTTAATTTATATGTGTGGTAAGAGGTGGAGGCTCCAAATTCTTTCTTTTTGATCAAGATATTTGTTGTACCAGAATCATTTGTTTAAAAGACTATTCTTTACCCATCAGGTTGACTTAACACCTTATTAAAAATCATTTAATAGTCAGAGGTGGAGCAAGATGGCTAAATAGAATTCTGCAGCAATTGTTCCCACAGGAACACCAAATTGAACAACTATTCACACAAGAAAGCACCTTCATAAGAACCAAAAATCAGGTGAGTGATCACAGTACCTGGTTTTAACATCAAAGCAAGAAAAGGCACCAAAGAGGGTAAGAAAGACATTCTTGAATTGCCAACACCACCCTTCTCCCTTACTCCAGCAGTAGCTGTGTGGCACAGAGATGGAATCTGTTTGCTTCAGGGAGACAGACAGCAGTTATTGTGGGACTGTGACTTGGAAATTAGTGCTACCTGTCACAGTGGAAAGCAACACAGGGCAGAATTTGGCCAGCCCTCTAAAGGGACCATTTACACCAGCCCTGGCTACAGGGGAATCATCCATCCCAGTGTTCAGAACTTGAGCTCCAGCTAGCTCCAGCACTATGAGCTAAAGTTCCCTGGGGTTCTAAATAAATGCAAAAGGCAGTCTAGGGCACAAAGACTGCAATTTTGGGGAAAGTCTCTGTGCTCTACTGGGCTCAAGACCAGTGAAATTGGGGTGCATAAAAATTAGTGAGATACACAACCTGGGACAGCCAAGGGAGTGCTTGTGTCACCCCTCCCCCAACCCCAGGCAGCGGAGCTCACAGTTCCAGAAGAGACTGTTTCTTTTTGCTTAAGGAGAGGAAAGTATAGTGTAAAAAAGACTTTGTCTTGCAATTTGGACACCAGCTCAGCCACAGTAGGATACAGCATGAGGCAGAGTCCTGAAACTCGTATTCCAGGCCCTGGCTCCTGGATGATATTTCTAAACTGAATCTGAAGAGAACATGGTGCCTTGAAGGGCGGCACCCAATTCTGGAAAGATTCATCACCTGCTAATTAGAGAGAGCTTGGGCCTTGAATCAACACCAGTGGTAGCCAGGCAACACTTGCTGTGGACCTTGGGTGAGACCCAGTGCTGTGATGGCTGCAGGTGTAACTCAACACATTCCCAGCTGTTGTAGTCATGGGAGTAGACTCCTTTTGCTTGAGAAAAGAAGAGGGAAAAGTAAAGGAGACTTCATCTTGTAGCCTGTGTACCAGCTCAGTAACAGTGGGGTAGGGTAATATGTGAGTTCTTAGAGTCCCCAATTCCAGGACTTGGTTCCTGGATGGTATTTCTGGACTTACCCAAGGCCAGAGGGGCGATCACTGCCCTAAAGGGAGAGTTCGAGGCCTGGTAGTGTTAACCATAAGCAGACTGAAGAAATCTTGGGCTTCGAATTGTCATTGGTGGTAGCCAGGTAGCACTTGCCATGGGCCTGGGGTTGGGGAGGCCATGGGGAGAGACTCCTTCTGCTTGAGGAAAGAAGAAAGAAGAGTGTAAAGGTCATCGTCTCATGGCTTGAGGGCCAGTTCAGCCACAGTAGAATAGAGCACCAAGTAGATTCCTAAGGTTTCTGACTCCAGGCCCTGGCTCCTGCATGACATTTCTGGACCTACCTTGGGCTGCATGGGAGTGCACCACCCTGAATGGAAGGACAAAAGTCTGGCTGGATTCACCACCTTCTAACTGAAGAGCCCTTGGTCCTTGAGTGAAATTGGTAGTAGTTAGGCAGTGGTTGCCACAGACCTTGGCCAAGACTCACTGCTCTGTTGGCTTCAGTTCTGACCCAGCAAAGTCCCAGTTGTGGTGGCTACAGATGGGCTTGTGTCAATCCTTTCCCAGCTTCAGGCAACTCAGCATGGAGACATATATTCCATTTGTCTGGGGTAAAGTAAGGGAAGAGAACAAGAGTCTCTGTCTGGTAGCCTAGAGAATTCTCTCAGATCTTACCCAAGACCGCCAAGGTGGAACATCTACAAGCCTTCAAGAGTCATAGTTTTACTGGGCTTGGGGTGTCCTCTAATGTACATACAGCTACAGTGACTAAGGACTTAGATCACAACACTCAATTTTCTGTGGATACATGGAAAGCTTTTTCAAGAAAGATGAGTGCAAATCCCAGACTGTGAAGACTACAATTAATACCTTACTCTTGAATACCCAGACATTAATGAACATCCACAAGCATCAAGACCATCTGAAAAATATGACCTCACCAAATAAACAAATTCAGGCAACAGTGATAAATCCCAGAATAACAGATAAGTGATCTTTCAAACAGATAATTCAAAAGACACACTTGCAGGAAGATCAGTAATATTCAAGGCAACAGAGAGAAGGAATTCAGAATTCTACTAGATAAATTTAACAGAGATTGAAATAATTTTTAAAAATGTAGCAGAAATTCTAGAGCTAAAAAAATTGATTGACACAATGAAGAATGCATCAGTCTCTCAACAGTGTATTGATCAAGCAAAATAAACAATTAGTGAGCTTGAAGGCAGACTGTTTGAAAATACACAGAGGAGATAAAAGAAAAAAAAAGGAATAAAGCATGCCTACAACTTGTAGAAAATAACCTCAAAATGGTCAAATCTAAGAGTTGTTGGCCTTAAAAAGGACGTAGAGAGATATATTGGGGTAGAAACTTTATTCAAAGGGAAAGTAACAGAGAACTTTCCAAATCTAGAGAAAGACATGAATATTCAAATATATGAAGGTTATAGATCACCAAGCAGATTTAACGCATATAGCACCACTACAAGACATTTAATAATCAAACTCCCAAAAGTCAAAGGAAAAAGAAAGATCCTAAAATCAATAAGAGAAAAAAACAAGCAATATACAAAAGAACTTCAATATGTCTGGCAACAGACTTCTCAGTGGAAACATTATGGGCCAGGAGAGAGTGGAATAATATATTTAAAATGCTGAAGAAAAAACATTTTATCTTTGAATAGTGTATCCAGTGAAAATGTCCTTCAGACATGGAGGAGAAATGAAGACTTTCCCAGATTTATAGAAGCTAAGGGATATTATCAATACCAGCACTGTTCTACAAAAATGTTAAAGAAAGTTTATCAATTTGGAAGAAAAATACATTAACAGGCAATAAGAAATCACCTGAAAGTACAAAACTTATTTGTAATAGTAAGTACACAGACAAGCACAGAATATTATAACATTGTAATTGTAGGTTTTAAACTCTTATATTTTGAGGAGAAAGACTAAAAGATGAATTTATCAAAATAATAACTAAAACAACTTTTTAAGACAGTATAATAAGATATGACTATTAACAACAAGATGTTAAAAAATGGGGAGGTGAAGTTAAAGTGTAGAGTTTTTATTGGTTTTCTCTTTGCTTATTTGTTAGTCTGTTTCCTTTTACAATCAGTGTTAAGTGGTCATGAATTGAAAATAATTACGTACAATGCATCTACAAGCCTCATGGTATCCTCAAATCAGAAAACCTACAACAGACACATAAAATACAAAGAGCAAGAAATTTAAACATACCAGCAGGAAAAAAATTACCTTCACAAAAAGGGAGACAGGAATAAAGAAGGGAAGAGAGGACCAGAAAACAAATAAGAAAATGGCAGGAATAAGTTCCTACTGATTAATAATAAAATCAAATTTAAATGAACTGAACTGTAATCAAAAGACAAAGAGTGGCTGAATGGATAGAAAAACAAAACACAATAATCTGTTGCCTATATGAAACACACTTCACCTATAAAGACACACATAGACTGAAAACAAAAACGATGGAAAAAGTTATTCCATGCAAATCAAAACCAAAAAAACAAGCAAGAGTACATAACACTTATATAGAAAAAATAGATTTCAAGTTAAAACCTGTAAAAAGAAACATGGAGATCAGTATATAATAGTACATGGGTCAATTCAGCAAAAGGATATAACAATTATATGTGCACCCAATGCTCGAGGACCCAGACATATAAAGAAAATATTATTAGAGCTAAACAGAAAAATAGACCCTAATACAATAATATCTGGAGACTTAAACACCCCACTTCAGCACTGGACAGATCACCCAGACAGAAAGTCAACAAACAAACATTTGACATATCTGCACTATAGACCAAATGGTCCTAATAGATTTCTATTCTTCTCAGCACATGGATCATTCTCAAGGATAGACCATATATTTGGCCACAACATCAGTCTTAAAAAATTTATAAAAATTGAAATTATGGAAAATATCTTTTCTGACCATATGGAGTAAAAATAGAAAGCAATAATAACAGGAATTTTAGAGATTATACAAATACATGTAAATTAAACAATATGCTGCTGGATGGCCAGTGGGTGAATGAAAAAAAAAGAAATTTTAAAAATTTCTTGAAATAAATGAAAATGAAAACCCAACACACCAGAACCTATGGGATAGAGTAAAAGCAGTATTAAGAGGCAAGTTTATGCTAATAAGTGACTACATCTGAAAAGTAGAAAATCTTCAAATAAACAACCTAATGATGGATCTTAAAGAATTTAAAAAGCAATAGAAAACCACATACAAAATTATTAGAAGAAAAATAATAAAGATGAAAACAGAAATAAAATTGAAACAAAGAAAACAATAAAAAGATAAATAAAACAAAACCTTGGTTTTTTTGAAAAGTTAAAGAAAATCTACAAACCACTTGCCAGATGTAATGGTTAATTTTGGGTGTCAACTTGATGGGATTGAAGAATGCAAAGTATTGGTCTTGGGTGTGTCTGTGAGGGTGTTGCCAAAGGAGACTAACATCTGAGTCAGTGGACTGGAAGAGGCAGACACACGCTCAATATGAGTGGACACTATCTAATCAGCTGCAAGTGCAGCTAGGATAAAAGCAGGCAGAGGAATGTGGAAGGACTAAACTTAGTCTTAGTCTTCTGCCTGCATCTTTCTCCCATGCTGGATGCTTCCTGCCCCTGAACATCAGACTCCAGGTTCTTCAGCTTTGGGACTCCCAGGCCTTTGACCACAGTCTGAAGTCTGCACTGTCAGCTTTCCTACTTTTGAGATGTTGGGACTTGGACTGACTTCCTTGCTCCTCAGCTTGCAGATGGCATATTGTGCAACTTTACCATGTGATTCTGTGAGTCAATACTCCTTAATAAATTCCCCTTTATATATACATCTTTACTATTAGTTTTGTTCCTCTAGAGAACCCTGACTAATACACCATGCAAGGATAAAACCAGAGAATACTCATAAATAAAATCAAAGGTGAAAAGGGAGACATTGTAACTGATACTATAGAAATTCAAGGGATCATTAGAGACTACTAGGAGCAACTATATGCCAATGAATTTGAAAGCCTAGAAGAATTTGTTAAATTCCTTGACACATCCAACCTACCAAGATTGAACCATGAAGAAATACAGAATCTGGATAGACCAATAACAATTGAAGCCATAATTCAAAGTCTCCAGGCAAACAAAGCCCAGGACCTGATGGCTTCACTGCTGGATTTTACCAAACATTTAAAAAAGAACTTAATACCAGTTCTACTCAAACCATTCCAAAACACAGATGAGGAGAGACTATTTCCAAACTAATTATGTTAGGTCAGTATGACTCTGATAACAAAACCAGATAAAGACACATTAAAAAGGATAAGTACAGTCTAAAATCCCTGATAAACATTGATGCAAAAATCCTCAACAAAATACTAGCAAACAAATTTCAACCACACATTAAAAAGATCTTTCATTATCACCAACTGTAATTTATCCCAAGGATGTAAAGATGTTCCAACATATGCAAATCAATCAATGTGATACATCATATCAACAGAATGAAGAATAAAATCCATATTACTTCAATTGATGCCAAAAAAGCATTCGATAAAATTCAACATCCCTTCATGATAAAACTCTCAAAAATGGTGTAGAAGAAACATTCCTTAATACAATAAAAGCCATATATGACAGACCTACAGCTAGTATCATACTGAAAGGGGAAAAACTAAAAGCCTTTCTTCTAGGATCTGGAACATGACAAGGATGCCCACTTTCGCCACTGTTATTCAACATAGTACTGGAAGTCCTAGCTAGAGCAATCAGAGAAGACACAGAAATAAAGGGAATCCAGATTGGAAAGAAATAAGTCAAATTAATCTTGTTTGTAGATGATATGATCTTATATTTGAAAGAACCTAAGGATTCCACAAGAAAACTGATAGAACTAATAAGCAAATTCAGTAAATTTGCAGGATACAAAATCAACATAGAAAAATCAGCCACATTTCTATATTTGAACAATGAACAATCTGAAAAAGGTATCAGCAACAGATAAATTTCACCAAAGAAGTGAAAGAGTGCTACAGTGGAAACTATAAATCATTGATGAAAGAAATTGCAGAGGACACAAAAAATGAAAGGATATCCCATGTTCAATGGTTAGAAAAATCAATATTGTTAAATTGTTCATATTACCCAAAGCAATCTACAGATTCAATGCAATCCCTATCAAAATACCAATGATATGTTTCATTGAAATAGAAAAAAATCATCCTAACATTAATATGGAACCACAAAAGACCCAGAATAGCCACAACCATCTCAAGAAAAAAGAACGAAACTGGAGGAATCACATTATCTGACTTCAAATTATATTACAAAGCTGTAGTAACCAAAATAGCATGATACTGGCATAAAAACAGACACACAGACCAATGGAGCAGAATAGAAAACACAGAAATAAATCTACAGTGAACTCATTTTTGACAAAGTTGCCAAGAATATACAATGGGTAAAGGACAAGTCTCTTCAGTCAATTTTTCTGGGAAAACTGGATATCTATATGCAGAAGAATGAAACTACACCCCTATCTCTCACATAAAAAAATCAAATCAAAGTAGATTTAAGACTTAAGTCTACAACCTGAAAATATGAAACTACTACAAAGAAAGCATTGGGGAAACTCTCTAGGAAATCAATCTGGGCAAAGATTTCTTGAGTCATACCCCAAGAGCACAGGAAACTGAAGCAAGAATGGACAAATGGGATCACATCAAGTTAAAAACTTTCTGCATAGCAAAGTAAAGAATCAACAAAGTGATGAGACAACCCACAGAATGGGAGAAAATATTTGCAAACTATCCATCTGACAAGGAAGTAACTGACAGAATATATAAGGAGCTCAAACAACTCAATAGAAAAATAAATCAAATAAACCGATTAACAAATGTGCCAAAGATCTTAATAGACATTTCTTTAAAAAAGACATACAAATGGCAAACGGGTATATTAAAAAGTGGGGTATATTAAAAAGTGCTCACCATCATTGATTATTAGAGAAATGCAAATCAAAACTACAATGAGATATCATCTTACTCCAGTTAAAATGGCTTTTATCCAAAAGACTGGCAATAATGAATGCTGACAAAGATATGGACAAAGGGAAATCCTCATACACTCTTGGTAGAAATGTGCAGCCACTATGGAAAACAGTGTGGATATTCCTCAAAAAACTAAAAATAGAACTACCATATGAACCAGCAACTCCACTGCTAGGTATATGTCCAAAGGAAAGGACATCTGTATGTTGAAGAGATATCTATATTCCTATGTTTATTGCAGTACTGTTTACAATAGCCAAAATTCAGAAGCAACCAAGTGTTCATCAACAGACTAATGGATAAAGATGTGGTACATATACAAATGGAGTGCTATCCAGCCATAAAGAAGAATGAGAACCTGTCATTTGCAGCAACATAGCTGGAACTGGAGGACATTATGTAAAGTGAAATAAGTCAGACACAGAAAGACAAACTTCACATGTTCTCACTCACATGTGGAAGCTAAAAATTAAAACAATTAAACATATGGAGGTAGAAGGTAGAATGATGGTTATCAGAGGCTGGGAAGGGTAGTGGGGTAGAGGAAGTCGGGATGGTTAAAGGGTACAAAAATATCATTAGATTGAATGAATACGATCTAGTAATTTATAGCACAATAGGATGATTAAAGTTAATAATAATTGTACATTTTTAAATAACCAAAAAGGTATTATTTAAATGTTTGTAACACAAAGAAATGATAAATGCCTCCCATTGATTAGAAGGATAAGAAAAAAAGAAGAAACGATAAATGTTCAAGGTGATACATACCCCATTTACCCTGATGTGATTATTACACATTGTGTATCTTTATCAAAATATCTCACGTACCCCATAAATAAATACACTTACTGTGTACTCACAAAATTTTTTAAAAATCAATTAACTGTAAATATAATTATTAATTTCTGTACTTTGAATTCTGTTTCATCAGTGTGTCTCACTATCATTACAGTTAGCATATTATTTTGATTACTGTAGTTTTATAGTATATTTTGAAATAAGGAAGTATGAGTCTTCATTGTTCATATTTGACATCATTTTTTACATTCTAGGCCCCTTACATTTCCTTGTTAATTATAGTATCTCTTGTCAATTTCTGAAAAAAACCCTGGATTTATTTTGTTTTGCTTTCTTTTTTCTATATTATTTTTAATATTTATTTATTGTATTTTAAATTAATACATAATAATGTATACATTTATAGATACATGTAATATTTTGATGCATGCGTACAATATGTAATGATCAAATGAGGGTATTTTGGATATTCATCACCTCAATTATTTATCATTACTTTGCATTGGAAACATTTAAAATATTCTCTTCTAGCTAGTTTGAAATATACAATAGTGTGTTGAATCTGTAGATCAACTTGAAGAGTATCTCCATCTTAAAAATATTGCCTTCCCATACATAAATATAGTTTGTCTTTCCATTTATTTATGTCTTTTTAATTTTTTCAACAACACATTGTAGTTTTCATATCGCTCACTTCTCAATTTTATTTCTAAGTATTTTATTCTTTCTGAAGTTATTATAAGTGAAATAATTTTCTTAATTTTTAGATATTTACCTTGACTATTCCAACATTTCTCAATTAATTTATTAGTTCAAAATTTAATAATTGGTTCTAATCTTTTGTAAATTTCTTAGAATTTTTTTTATACCCAGGTTCATGTCATCTGAAAATAAAGTGTTATTTCTTCCATTCAGATGTAAACACATTCTGTTTATTTTTCTTAATTGCCTTGATTGTACCACCAGTACAATGTTGAATAGAATTGGCAACAAGCATCCTTGTCTTTTTTACTTCTGATCTTTTGAGTAAAGCATTGTCTCTCATCATTAAGCAGGATGGTGGCTGTAGGTTTTTCATATAATTCTTTTAACATGTTTAGGAAGTTTCCTTAATTTTCTAGTTTGTTGAGTGCTTTTATCATGAAAAGTTGAATTTGGTCAAATGTGTTTTCTTCATCTATTGAAATTATCTTGTGGCTTATGTCCTTTATAATATTGATAGGGTGTTTTTTATATTAATTGACATTTGGATGTTAAATCAACCTTGCTTTCCTGGGGTAAATCCTACTTCATTATACTGTATATTTCTGTTTGTATTACTGAATTTGGCTTCCTTGAGGAGTTTTGTATCTATAATAATAAGGAGAACTGGTCTGATATTTTCTTTTCTTATGGATAGCTTTCTTTGGTTTTGGTGCCAGATTAATACTAGCCTCATAAAATGAATTGATAAAATCTCTGTTCTATTTTTTTGAAAGAGTTTGTGAGTAATTGGTATTAATCAAGTTGGTAAAAACCATGAATGAAGCAATTTGAACCAAGGGTTTTCCTTTTAGGGAGATTTTTGGTCACTGATCTTATCTCTTGTAATAGGTTTATTCAGATTTTCTGTTTATTATAAAGAAAATTTTGGTAGTTTGTGCTTAGGAATTTGTCCACTTCCCCTACATATCTAATTTCTTGTTAAACACTTGTTCATAGTATTGTCTTATAATTCTTTTTATTTCTGTAATATTAGTAGTGATGTCTCCTCTTTCATTCCTGCTTTTAGCAATTTGAGTCTTCTCTTTTCTCATCCTAGTCAATCTATCTAGATATTTGTTGTTTGTTGATGTTTCCAGGCAACTAACTTTTGATCATGTTAATTTTCTGTTTTTTTCTTATTTTTTATTTATTTTCACTTAATATTTATTTATTTTTCTTCTGCTGATTTGGGGTTTCATTTGCTCTTAATTTTTCAGTGTCTTAATTTGGAAAGTTAAGCTATTGATATGAGGTCTTTCTTTTTTATATAGGCACTTACAGTAATAAATTTCCATCTAAATCTTGCTTTAGCTGCATCCCATAAGTTTTGGTATGTTGTATTCTCACTTTTGTTCATAAAAAAGGAAATTTTCTAACTTTCTCTCCATTTTTTTTTGTTTGACGCATTGGTTATTTAGAGGTGTGTTATTTCATTTTTATTTATTTAAGAATTTCTCAAATTTCTTTTTGTTTTTTATTTTTTAATGTATTGCATCATGGTTGGAGAATACACTTTGCATTTAAGCAAGCATGGGGCCTATTGAGGCTTGTTTAGTGACTTAACATATGGTCTACTGAGTTGAATGTTTCATTCACCCTTGAGAAGAATGTGTCTGCAGCTGTTGTTAGAAGGAGTGTTCCACAGATGTCTCTTAGGCCTGGTGGATTTATAATATTTAAGTTTTCTATTTCCTTGTTTATCTTCTACCTAGTGGTTCTATCCATTATAGAAAGCTGGGTATTGAAGTCTCAATTACTATTGTTAAATGGTTTCTTACTTTATTTTTGCAGTTATTGTTTTATATATTTTGGAACTCTCTTGTTAGGTGCAAATATGTTTGTAATTGTCATATTTTCCTGATTGATGGATCCTTTTATCATTACAAATTATCTCTTTTTTTCTAGTGTATTATTTATTTTAAAGCTTATTTTGTCAGAGATTAATTAGTATAGCCACTTCCTTTTCCTTGTGTATATGTGTTTATATTATATGTATAATTTATTTGGGTACGTAATAGGTGTATATATTTATGGGATACATGAGATGTTTTGATACAGGTACGCAAAATGAAGTAAGCAGATAATGGAGAATGGGGTATCCAAGCCACTTTAGTTTCTTATGTTTGCTTTTTTGCATGATAAGTCTTTTTGATCCTTTTACTTTCAATCTATTTGTATCATCAACCTGTTTCTCTATAGACAACATATAGTCAGATTTTGTACTTTAATCTTACAGTCTCTTTTTATTGGATTACTTAATTCATATTAATGTTATTATTAATATACTTGTCTATATGTCGATTTTGTTTTGTTTCGATATGTCTATCTACTTTGTTCCCCATCTTTCCCATTACTGATTTCTTTTGCATTATGTGAATATTTTCTGGTATAATGTTTAAATTTCTTTAGTAATTTTGTATTATATTTTTTACTTATTTTCTTAATGTTCACTCTAGGGCTTATAATACATATACCTTGACTTACCAGATCTACTTCTTATTTATCATATTTTAAGCTGAGGGGTAGGTAGGAAATATCACTCTTCTTCCCCTTTATTGTGCTGCTATTATTATATATATTATATCTGTATATTTGCTATGCCAAAAAATAGCTTGTTGTCACTGTTACTTTATATAATTGTATGTTGTTTGAAGAAGCTGGGAGAAAGGGGAGCAACTTTATGTTCATAAAGTTAATTATAATAATCTTTTTATTTACCTCTTCTTTATTTGTTTCTATGGATTTATCTACTGTCATCTCCTTACTCCAATAAAACTTTGCCTCCTTCTGCCTCCTTTTTTCTATTGTAGTCAAATATATTACATTTATGTATGTTAAAGAAACAGTATACAATTGTATTTACATTGTTTTATACTATTGTTTTTTAAATAATAGAAGAGAAGAAATATGTAATTAAACTGTCTTAGATAATTACGTACATAATTCCTTTTGTTGATGGTTTTTGTTTTTTCATGTGGATTTCAATTACTTTCTAGAATTACTTATTTCAAACTAGAAAGTTTTTTAGTATTGCTTATGAGGCCGGCCTGCTGGCAAACAAACAAAAATCATTTTTGTTTTTCTAGGAATGTCAGTTTTATCCTTATTTTTAAAAGGCAATTTTGCTGAATATGTGATTCTTGATGACAGTATTTATTTTCTTTTAGCACTATGAATATACCACCTGACTTGCTTCTCTTTTCCATTGTTTTAGATGAGAAGTCTGATGTTATACTTATTACAGTTTTCTTGTATATAATGAGTTGTTTTTCTCTGGTTGCTTTTAAAATTTATCTCTTTGTCTTTATTCCTCAACATTTGTATGTGAGATGTCTGGGTGTTGGTCTCTGTGTTTATTCTATTTGGATTTTGTTAAGCTTCTTGGATGCACAGATAAATATTTTTATTGAATTTGGGGAGTTTTCAGACATTATTTCTTTAATACATTTTCTGATTTTTTTCTCTATCTTCTTTCTTTCTGGTGCTGCCATGTGTGTATGGTTGTATGCTTATTCATGTTCCGTATTTATTCAAAGTTTTGTTCTATTATTTATTTATTTATTTTATTTTATTTTGTTTTGTTTTATTATATCTTGAGGCAGAGTCTCCCTCTGTCACCGAAGCTGGAGTACAGTGGAGTGATCTTGGCTCACTGCCACTTCCACCTCCTGGGCTCAAGCGATTCTTGTGCCTCACCCTCCTGACTAGCTGGGATTACAGGCGCCCACCACCACACTTGGCTGATTTTTTGTATCTTTAATAGAGATGGAGTTTTGCCATGTTGCCCAGGCTGGTCTCAAACTCGTGAGCTCAGGTAGTCTGCCTGCTTCAGCTTCCCAAAGTGCTAGGATTACAGATGTGAGCCACCACTGCTGGCTGTGTTCTATTTTCTTTATTCTTTTTCTGATCTTCAGAATATTTAATTTCTATCAATCTTTGTTCAAGTTGACTAACTTTAGCATCACAAATCTGTTGAGCACTTCTAGTAAATTTTTCATTTTACTTATTTAAATTTTCAACTTTAGAATTTTCACTACTTTTTAAAATAAACTTTACCTCTTTATTATTATAATCTAGTTGATGAGATAATGTCATCATACTTTTACTTCTTTAAGTATAGTTTCCTTTAGTTCTGTGAACATGTTTATAACAGCTGTTTTAAAGTCTTTTGCTCACATCTCTATTCTCTCTAAATTCTCTCAGAGGCATTTTTGTTGCCTGCTTTTTTTTTTCTGTGAAAACATTACACTTTACTATTTCTGCATGTCTTGTAATTCCTTTTGAAAACTGAACATTTTAGATAATATTTTGTAGCAATATTGGATACTGATCCTTCCCTCTCCTACCATCCAAGTTTTTTGTTTCTTTGTTTAGTGATGTGAGTGGATGATTTTAGTGATGTCTATTTGCCCTACAGTGTATAGACTCTGATGTTTTTCTTGCCTTTCATTCATGTAATCTTCTCTCCTCATTTGCTTGTACTTTTGACTGAGTGTCAGATGTGGTATATAAAAATTGTAAAGCTCTCCTCAGAGAGAGGGCTCAGCCTTGAGCATGCGCACAGTCACCCTGTGATGACAGTACTTTTATCATTGCCCTCTTGGACTGTCTCTTTATGAGATTTCTCTATTAAGCTGTGTGTCTCTGTTGGTTTTATTCCAATCTGTTAGCTTCCACTAAACACCAGACGATTGCTCTATTGTTTTCAACAATGTCTTGGGGCATAAATTGCTCCTGAGTCTGTTCCAATTTAATGTTTGTCCCTTTAGGTTCGTCTTTGCCACAAGAGTTGGAACTTGTTACTTCATGAGGGCTCATCTTAGCCATCTCCTTTGATGAACTTTATTTTGAAATACCTAGTTGGTCTATGGGTTAGCTAACTTGTTCTCATGAGGCTACTGCACATTTCTTAATTGCTTGACAAGAAAACCTCCATTGTTTTCAACAGCACCCTTAAGTTTGAACTTACTTATGCTCTTTTACAAATAAAGTCAATACCCTTGAGGATAGCTACGGAGCTCTCTCTTCCTAGAAAAAACCTCTGTGCCATTTCTCCAGAGCTGTGGGCATGAACAGTGGCCTACTTCTCTCAGATAGGCATGCCTGATTAATGAGCTGGGTGCTGAAAATACATTACCTTTTGGTCTTCTCATTTTTCTTTTTCAAGTATGAAACCTAAATTTCAAGAACAAGTGGATGGCAGGGCAATGCAGTACCCAGTACTCTTGGCCTGCTGTGCCTGAGGTAGAGATTCTATCCTATTACTGGTGCTAGATGTAGGAAGAGAGCTCCACAATTCCCAGCCACTCTTGCCTGGAATAGAGCTTTTGCAACACAGAGCTGGAAAGGATAAGAAATACTGAGAAGCTATTCCTTCATGAAAACTTTGTAGGGGAATACTGTAAGACAATACTAAGCCAGAGAATAGGTAACCCTGTATTCTTAGCTATAGCCACCCAGATTAGAATTTCTATCACACTGTACTGGGGATAGGGGAAGGGAACATGTTGGGCTCAAGTGTCACAGACTGTCAATACTCATATTGAGATTTATTACATGTTCTTAAGTAACTATTTCATTTACTGTATGCCTTCAAGATAATCTCTATAATTGTAAATGGTTGGGTTTCTTTTTTAATTTCACCAGTAAAACTTCAATGAAAGATGGGTCTGTGGACTTCCTCACACCATCTCAGGCGTCTACACTCTAGAATATAAATTTAGTTCCTTATTTTAATATTGCGTTCTCTGCCAAAATTCAAACTTCTATCCTTTATTTCCCTGAACATGTTTGAACATTTTTTTTTTTTTGAGACAGAGTCTTGCTCTATCACTCAGGCTGGAGAGCAGTGATGCCATCTCTGCTCACTGCAACCTCTGCCTCCCAGGTTCAAGCAGTTCTCCTGCCTCAGCCTCCCAAGTAGCTGGAACTACATGCGTGCACCATCATGCCTGTCTAATTTTTGTGTTTTTTAGTAGAGACAGGGTTTCGCCATGTTGGCCGCCGCTGGTCTTGAACTCCTGACCTCAAGTGATCCACCCACCTCAGCCTTCCAAAGCTCTGGGATTATAGGATTATAGGCATGAGCCACCGCACCCAGCCTGAACATTTATTTTTAATTATGTGTCTCTGAAATGCATTATCTAGATATTCTTCTATTGTTGAATGTTTTTCTTGCCTTTCATTCATCTGATCTTGTCTCCTTACTTGCTTGGTTACTGTTGACTGAGTGTCAGATGTGGTATATAAGAATTGTAAAACACCCCCTGACATGCACAAACACATAATACTTGGAGTCCTGGGATGATGTTGATGTGTTGTCTTCTTTTAGAGTGCTCTACAATTGCTGCAGTCAGGTAATTACACAAACTAGCAATCCAGGAAAACTTCATTCTGATTTCATAAACCAAGTCATTTCAAAGTATGCTTCATTTCCTGAAAATGCTGATGTACATTGTGTTTAATCTTACTCGTTTGGCACATCCATCAAACATTTCTTGTCAGCTTTTCAATCTTTCAGTTAGTGTTTCCAGATTTGGTAACTACTTCTATGATAAGAAGGGGTCCAATGCCAGGTTTACTTCCTGGATTATTTTCTCCTCAAATATTGTTCTCATCATTCTTAACTGTTTTATTAGCTCTTTGCTGCCATTAAGAATTTTTTTTAATGTTTCATTTAGACAGTCTAGGTGTCCTCAGCAGGAAGGTTGAATCAATATCCTAGCTCACTCCTCATCATTGGGTCTTATTCATCTTTCCATCTTAATAATAGGCCCAGGAGCCAGCAGAAAAAAAGTGCTCAATCAATAAATATTTTTATGAGTGATTACAGTTAGGATTTATTTAGCAAATCTAGTCTGGACAATTACTTATTTAGAGGAATGGCAAAAATATTTCTAATTACCTTCATGTTTCAACATGACTATCTTTTTTGCATATTCGTTAAAGACTGTACCAATTCAGGTTTACGTCTGATCGAGATAAACATGCAGGATAACATATCCGTCCCAGTCTCTAATTGTGTCATGTTCCTGTTCCTGTTTAGTTGTGGTGACACAAAATCTGCCAGGAAGTTTCCATGTGTAAGGAGTTTGGAAGTTGCCACTCCATCCTAACAAATAAATCACTCAACAAAAAAAAAATCAACAACTTATTTGGATTCAAAAGAAGGGGGAGGACATAGGAGAAACTGCTGCCCACCCCTCCACCCCTAGAGTAGACAGGTTAATACAGGGAGCCACCAATTAATTACCAGAGTAGAGACTCAGAAGTGGAAAACACTGTGGGAACCAATGCCAGGGTAAGAAAAGCTGAACTATAATTGATGAATTACTGGAGGTTCAGTGTGGACAAATCTTAGAGCCGAAAATTCCAGGGGTATCCAGTCATGGAGAGCCCTCACAATTTTGTGAGATTTTGTGAGCTATTGGTTTAGGAACTCAACCAGGTTCTCATATAAATATTAAAGAAAAATCCCCTTATGCTTCTGGCAGGAGAGGAAAATGAGCATTTTGAAATATTCCAAAATTTGCCAAGAATAAGCTCAATCTTATCAATTATAAGACTAATAAAAACCCAACCTGGGAGAATAATAGGATCTGAATCCTAACAAAAAAGAAATAAAAATCATGTATTGCTCTATGCCAAATAGGTATTTGTGGGCTTGAATTGGTCAGTAAGCATTCGATTTCATCTTCTTGACTTAATCCTTTCATTTTTAGATAGTCTGTCTTAGTGGCCCAATACCTTGTTTCTGGGAAATCCATGGTCGGTTGGGTAGTGTGTTTGGTCCTCTGTTTACTCTCCTTGTGAGTCATGGATCTCCCTAAATTCAGGCTTCTTTTGTCTAATTGCTGCCTAAAACAAACATGTCTGGTGTGTTACCTGGACATAGATTTGGATTGTGAGGTCTCCTCCTAAAGGTTATCAGAAGCATCAAAATCTTTTCAAATGATGTACTTTGCTGTGCTTTCCTTCTTGGCGAGAATTCTTAACATATCATCTCTGAGTCTTGATTGTTCTCAAGGATTTCATACATTCGTTCATCCATATTCACCAGACATTTGTTGATTGCACCATATGTGCTAGGCACTAGGAATATAGAAATAAATGAAATAAAGGCAGTCTTTTCCCTCATGCAGTGGAAAGAAAATATAACAGGGAGAGCTTCTATTGACATAAACTCTATATTTGAATATAGATGGATTTCTATATTAAACAATCGAGCAAACTGATGACATCTTCCTCCTTTTTAAACAGTATAAATTCAATATATCAAAGAGGACCAGTTATATATTTTTTAAGCAATGACTATTAGTTCTTTTGTAAGCAAGACAAAAATGCCAACAATCCAAAGCCCCACATGAACCCAGTTCACTATTTCTTCAAATCAAAATGCTCAAGGCACACTCACTGAAGGTCTGTCATATGTTCCTTAGAGTATAGCGTATGTAGTTATTTCAAAGTTCAACTCACTTCTTTCTAATGCTTAAAAAAAAATCCAGAAATACTTCCAACTCTGCTTTTTTACTGCGAGAATTCTCATAGGTAGATCCCAAATATAAATGCCTAGTATCTTTGAAGTTTATTTCATGCACTATGGCCACTGCCTCAATGCTCAGCCTCTAACATTCTAGTCTCTTACACATTCTATATACACCACTTAATCCATTTACACTTATGGGTGTTTGCAGAATGTCTCAAAATTTACTTCCCACTTCTTAGTAACTCTTTCATCAAAATATTTTATCTTTGCATTTATTTGAAGTTGCACTGACAAGACAGGATTTCTTGATGCCATGCTTTGTTTTTTGTTTGTTTGTTTGTTTGTTTTGGTCAGTTTTACCCCAATTATTTAACACTCCTCTGTCCTTACCATCAATAGAGGGTCGCTGTCACTAACAAGTTTCACAATCCTCACCTGCCATTATCTTTGCTTTGCTGGGTGAGAAGACTCTTTTTCAAGGGTCGCATATTAAAACTAGAGTCCTACATGGATATTGGGATCACTAAATAATGAGCTCAAAGAAACCATACCTGAGCACATACAAAACAGTATTTTAAAGTACATGCCTGGGAATGGCAGTGCTCCATCTGCTTATTAAGTAGGAATTACAGAACAACAACAACTACTTCATGTCAGTCTTTTATTACTTGCTAGACACTGTGTTAAGAGTTACTATAAGCTCCTATAATTTATTCCTTACCAAAAATCTTACCAGACAGATACTATTACAGATGAATAAATTGAGTTTTAGAGATAATAAGAAATTTGCAGAAAACCATACTTTTACTCAGGAAATATGTGAATGCTTAATTCTTGGCTGTCATGTGAAAACACCCTGCTATAAATCACGGTTCTGCAAAATTTTTCTCTGAAGGGCCAAATAGTAAGTATCTCAGGTTTTGTAGGTCATACTGTCTCTGTCATAACTATTAAACTACTCACAATGTACTGCAAAAGTAACCATAAACAATAAGTAAAAATGGATCTGTGTTCCAATAAAACTTTATTTACACAAACTCACCGCCAAATTTTTCAGGACTGGCAAGATTGGGCCCAGGGACTACAGTGTGCCAACCTCTGTTAACACATTGTACTATATGGCTTGATTTAAACTTATACAGTGAATAACTAAATTATTTCAGAGTATGGGAAAATTAAATGCACAATATCCTTTTTGAGATAGTCACACCAACATAAATCTTTATTTAAAAAGAATCAACTCTACTTTGTCATTTTTCTTCAAAATAGGTTAAACTGCAAAACTTGTCCCATCCTCATTCTTACATAATCTATCATAACAAAAACACTGTTCTCTATTTAGCCATTTTCTGTGAAGGAGCTCAATCTCTTTTAGAAAGTTATTTCATTAATCCTGCCTATGACCCTGTAAAGGAAGGAGATGACAATTATGAAGAAATGTTCATAGCCTATTAGATCAATTCAAAAGTTGAGCAAATCCAAGTGAGAAGTGCTTGCTACCCTAATAGTTATTCAATATCCTTAAAATACATGCTTTGAATCTTTCAGAGTTATGCTGTTCCCCAGCTGGATGATTCTGGGAAAAGGAATCCAGCACAAAAAAATCTACGTTTCAAAAATGTCCTTATTTGAGGCCATATCACCCACAAGGATTTGGTTTCCATAGAGTTTTTCATCACGCCTTGCCTAATAAAGATCCTCTGTTCTACAAACCAACTGTTCTCTTTCTTCTGGTTGATGACTGTATTTTAGTAGTGGAAAAAAGTAATTCAAAAATATAAAATATTCGGGGGTCTTTATGTCTTAAAGGTAACAAATATGTTGGTGCTCTAACTTCCCCATGAAATCAAACTATGGATTTTTCCCTTGTTATCATCTGTCATATGTCTTGGGAATGTGAACCCATACACACATAAAAGCAAATGACATTATTTTTAATTTTATCTATTATTGAGATTATATTATGTTGAATTTGTTACTATATAAAAGCATGTGTGTGTTTTCAGTAGTGCCTGGTAAGAATTTAGGCGTAAAATAAGGCAATAAATTTTGACCTTTTAGGTCATGAGTGATAATCATCAGTAAAGGTAATATTTAAAAATATTCAAATTTTAAAATAATATTTTTCAGTTTCTACTTTCATCAGGCTCTGCTCCTTCTGTGGTACCTATAAGGGGCTCCTATTATCAACCTTCTGAAATCCAGCTATTTTGACCTATTCTTTTGCCAGCTCAAACGTGGACCACTAACCACATTTCTCAGGCTCCCTGACGTATGTCTTTATACAGCCTAAGCAAACCCTCCTAATACCATTCACAGATTAGTTATGTATTTATGGAAATACTAATCTTAACATGAAGTGCTTCCCACCTACAATTCCTGGCTTATCTTTTTCCATTATTTGATATTCCTCATTTTAGTAAAAACCTGGATTCAAGCTCCCTTTCTTTATGAAGTCTTTCACGACTAAATCAACTGAAGGCTCCATTCATTCAAAAAATGTTTATAGGGTACCCATTACATGCAAGACACAATGCTAGAGACTCTGGGGCTTGTTTCGACAAATTAGTATCTCTTTAAAGGGGTATAAGATATAAATAGGTAAAGCATAAATAAAGGTGTATTATATATATAAAAGCATAAAGGAGTATTATATGTCTTAAAATAGATAAAATATTCACAGGTGCACACATACATGCACACTTAAGAATAACACAAAGAATAAAATTTATATTGCTGTAAGTAGCGTACTTTGGGAGATTACATGGAGACATTTATTTCATGGGTATATTGGGAAAGATTTATCTAGAAGATGTTTGCAGGAAAGCAGAGTATACATGTAGAATTTGCATCTGTAGAAATAAGGTACTTGAGGGCAGATGTTCTGAGTTTTACAAAACGATGAACAAATTAGCTTGAATTAAATGTATACTGTTCGCCCTTGAATAACGTGGGGATTAGGAGCGCCGATAACACTTATTCAAAAATCCACCTGCAACTTTTGACTCCTCCAAAACTTAACTACTTAATAGCCTACCATTGAACAGAAGCCTTACAGATAACATAAACAGCTGATTAACACATATTTTTATGTTACATGTAGTATATAATGTATTCTTACAATAAAGTAAGCTAGAGAAAAGAAAATGTTATTAAGACAATTATAAGGAAGAGAAAATGCATCTGAAGTCCTATACTGTATTTATGGATACTGTAAGTTTTTGTTTGTTTACAAGATGAATCGTCCTTCTGAAATGGCAGGCAACCATAGACACAGACTTCAATCTATGGTACATATCAAGAAATTTTATTTTTTTTCCTCGTATTTTCAAGACTTATTTCGCCCCTTGGGAGCATCTCCAGCATCATTAGTAGGACTTTGTATATGGGTCCTATGGTGTTATTCAAGGTGTATGGTATTGCACTAAGCAGCATAATCCATGAGACCCGGGAAAGATCACTATTTACTGTAATACACAATTTAGTGGAGAGACAAATCGCTCACTCAGAGATGATTCCTGTAATACAACACTTGAGCTCACCACAATAGCAACAGGAATTGTTTGCAAAATTATTACAGTAGTACAGTATATAATATAGTTAATTTTATGCAGTTAGGATTTAATACTTCATCTTTATGTGTGTTTGTTTATATTTCTCTGGCATGCAAACAACACCATGTAGATCTTGTGTTCATATAAGTCTTGATAAATTTTAACTTCTTATAATACATTTATGTGTATTCTACAGCAGTAAATAATAAAAATAGACTAATATCTACATGTATGTTATGCATACCTAACTTTTCTTAATTTTTTTCCATATGTCTGGGCTACAAGGTTTGTATGCAAATTTTTTCAAATTATCACAAATCTCCAAAATTTATTCTGATGTATTTATTGAAAAAAATTCCCATATAAGTAGACCCATACAGTTTAAATCCATGTTGCTTAATGGTCAACTAAGTATATGGGAGAAAGTAGGAAATAATAGGTTGGTCACAGGTTATGGAAAATTAAGATATTTGGATGTGCCTCTGAATATAGGAACCAGTGAACATTTTGTGCAATAGAGAGCCATAAGAGCTGTGATTTAGAAAGATTAATCTGAGACAATATAAGATAGGTAAGATAGATTGGAGACGGAAGGATATCAGAGCTAAAAGACTAAAGTTTTTGTACAAGTTCAGTAAAGAGATTGTGAGATCTTGGATTAGGATAATGGCATTTAAAATGAAGAAGTAATGAAAACATACAAAAGATTGTATAGATGTAGCGTTGAAGCAATAGAAGAAAAGGAAATCTCAGTCAGTCTCATGCTTTTAAAACCATCTCCCATAACCTTATGCTGAACCTTATGCTAACCCGACACTCTTTTGCTATAGAAGGTATACGGAGGTAGGTGGTTTTATGGGAATGAAATGTAGAAGGATGGTGACAAGTGGACCGTCATTGAAATTCAGGGGTTGAAAAAATTGCCAAAAATGCATAGAAAGCAAGACAGGTAAATAAACAGCATAATGTATGTACATGTAGGTAGCAGGAATTTAACCAGAAGAGTACATTTTCATGGAAGCCATGAAGGATTGTAAGAATGGTTTATTAGCTTTGTTATACATGGTAAATGATTGGTATCAAGAACTCTGAGATTACTGTGACTTTTTGAAAGGAAATATTTTTAAATAGAGTGTGAAGAGAACTAAGTTTTCAGGGTCCCAGCATGTGTTAAATAATGAAAAATGGGAGCACCAAATATAGATTACACTAAGAATTTCTTCATTCTATTATTCAATAAATATGACTGAATGCATAATACGTGCCTAGAGTAATGGGGATAAGATAGTATATAAAAATGAATCATATGCGGATTCTTACCTTGTGAAAATTAATCAAAAAAACATGAATGCTCAGCAATGTACCCGAGTCTTAGCTAGGCTAAGACTGGGAATTAAAAGGAGGACATGACTCTCCCTTCAGTTGAACATTCATTCGTTCAACAAACATTACTATCTTGTTAAACCGGAATCACAAGAAACAAATAAAACATGATCCTTCCCTATTTTCATAATAAGTTTCTATTTTCATAATAAGTTTCTATTTTCATAATAAGGAAGATTCTATTTTCATAATAAGGAAGGCCAGTGGCTAAAAATAATTAAAATTCAGCACAAATGGTTGAATAATGGCACATAGATAATGCTATAGGGCATAATGGAGGAAAGAATTAACTTTTCCAATAATGATAAGTTTAAATATCCCTTTAGAGTTCAAGAGTGATGAAAAATAATACATACAGAATTATGAGATTATGAGAGAATTGTCAAAACAATTTTTTTTAAATGAGATGACTTAAGCACATTTGTAAACTCTGAGAATGTATCCAGAGAAGGACAACCAGAGGGAAAAAAAGATAAAAATCATAAATGAAGTAATAAATTATTTTAATCTACATTTATCTGTGGCTGATATAATCAGCTTTGAATTTATATGTTTGTAATTAAGGTAATAACTCAATATAATTCTAATGGTATATTGGCAAAACTTAATGTATTTAATATTTACTTGTTGTGTGGACAGCTCCATCCACATATTATACAACAAATTTGAATGTTTAACATTGTTAATAAATGGGAATTTTGAGCTATCACATGGGAGCACTGTCTCCCAGACAACAGTTCAATGTCAATAGAGTCACAATTTTTATCTTTAAACAGTGCTCATGTAATTATTTAAGTATTTTATACATTTTATATTTATTATTTCATAAAAATGAGTTTACAATAGAAAAGTGAAAGTAATGATACAAGTATAAAGAAAAGTAATTCTTATACAATTTTGATAAAATTGAGATAACTTTAATAAAAGAGATACAAATCAATAGAGAAAACAATGTGACAATTACCTACACTCAGAAACTCTGAAATTAGGTACATTAATTGGATATTTAATTATGAGAAATAAGGAAAAAAATGTGAAATGTACACAAAATACTTAAAATATATGATTGATTTGTATTTACAAGACAGGCGTTGGCGGGGGGGAGGGGGGGATCTTTGTAATAAGTAACTTTCCAGGAAAAGAATCTTTCCTCTACATGAATATTTTAATATTTAACATTTATAAATGTGTTCAAATGCATTGTGATTTAATGAGTTGCTTTTATTGTATAATAATTGCTATTTTCCAAAACTAATATTCCAAGGAACACTTCAGGTTGCAAATAGTATACTGGAAAAGTGCTCTCTTGTAAATTAGGTTCAGAGAGTGTTGAGTTATTCCAAGTTAAACAGGATTTTTTACACAAAGCTCAGAACTTTTGCTATGCAAATGTGCATTTTTATTCTCCAAGAACAGCATATTATATATAATGCCCCCCAAACTAATTTGACTACAGAGTCATATTTTTCAATCAAAGCACCTATTAACATCTACCAGAACCAGTGATTTGCAAAATATGACTTGGAAAAAGTTCTACAGATTCTTTAGCAGAATTCTCATGGCCAGAATAATAGAAAACGAACTCATAAGATTTCAAGCTGGAAGTGATCCTAGAGGTCATCTAGCACAATTTTCCTGCAAAAAAAATCATTCAAGAGCACCTCTGACAGATGATCATCCAAGTTTTCTTTTAAGTGTATCTCAAGATAATACATTCTGTGTGAATCCTATCTATTCTTAATAAATAGGATAATTTATTAAGACCACATATAACTCATTTGTCCTCATTCTGTTTGCTCCCTCTTCTATATGACAACACTTTGAATATTTGAAGATAGCTTACATGTGTACTACTAGATTCTTCTAGATAAACACACCCCATTCTGACAATGTACCACATGTAAAGAAGTTATCAAATTCTTCCTTATTTCAGCTCTCTTTTCCTGTGAGCATTAGACTCAGACAATGCCCCTTTTAAAATGTATTATTTGATAAAACATGATTCTTCAACTTTTCCTTCTGAAATTTGCACACTGATATTAATTCTTATTTGGGCTCTGTTATTAATTGGAGAAGTATATTGCTGGCTGCTAGCAAGCTTGCTTATGATCAAGGAAAATGACAACGGTAGCCGAACAAATTTCCACACTTACACTTACACAGTTAATTTTTTTTTCAGTTAAGTTACATGGGTAATTGTTTATCCTTACAGCCAAAATAATTCCATTTTCTACATGGCCTTGAAGAAATGCAACTTTCTATCCCTCTGTAATGATGAAATTATTTGTTAGCTACAAAAAGATAGGCACTTGTTTCCACATCTGAAATAGCTGATTATTGGTGTTAAATGGTTGTTTGCTCCACTTTATGCTTGCAAAACAAAACAAAAATATATTTATATAATATGCATAGGTACATGTATTTTGTGGGCATACATATATACAAATATATTTTTAAATTTAAAAAGAAGTAATAAACGTTTAATTGATAAGATTTGTATTATTGAAAAAAATAATCAATTTCTGTATTTCAGTTGGGTTTTTCTTTCCCTCTTGCCATCACCTAAAAATAAGAAGTCTAATTTTTAAATTCAGGACTAGATGAACAATTGTCAGCGTTGCTTTGCTTTAAGCAGTAGAGTGTTATTTATAAAATAAGACTGAAGCAGGAAAAAATGTTTACTTTGGAAGAGGGCCAACATATTTGCAGAAACTACAAAGATTTGCTCAATATTATATCACTAAATAATTATTTCTTCTATGCCCTTATAAATCCTCCTTTTGACAAAAATCATGGTTAATGAGATTGTGATGTTACAGGAGTAGTGCAAAAACAATGCAGGTAAACGAGTAGAGAAATTAGTTCTGAAGTGTGGGATAATTGTAGAGGGCCTTGGGCAAAAAACAAAACATAGATGTGCAGGAAACATAGCGCATCTTGTCTTCACTTGTCTTTGTTAGTGCAAGTGAAAAGGTTAATGCCGTTCGGTTCCATCAACACAGAGTGAGGAACTGTGACACCTTTGAATTCTAAAGTTACCCACAGTGCTACTGATTTAATTCCTGTGAGAACAGTACTATTTACAAGTTTGCTCAGGAATATGTCAATTAACCATGTGCTCCTGGTCTTGTACAGTCAATCTCTGTCTCGCGCGCGCACGCGCGCGCGTGTGTGTGTCTGTCTTTCGTTATAGAGAAATTGTTTTTCAAATCACTATCACATGGAATGATTCACTGTTATTTGAAGCTATCTTTTGATTGGAAGAAAAATTGTCAGATGCACACTGGGCCGAAGCATTGTCTTCTCCAGGCTCCAGATCATCAAATATTACATTCTCACGTGTCCTTAAAACCTAAAACCTCAGATAATCTTTGGCATGTTTGAGTTTTCTGCCCCAATATATTGTAGCTAGTGTTTGCATTAGTAGCTTTCAATATTCTAACAAAATGTGCCATTTTAAGGTATCCAAATACCAATATGTCTGTATATGCATGTGTGTACAGGCAGTATGTTATTCCAGACATTTAGCCATCAGGCAACAGCTTTATTTACCCTTCTTGATTCAGTTTCCTGTTTCTACACCTTTCCTCTTTGCTAGCACCCACTCTATTCTCAAAACGTCCTCTCTGCATGTCCCCTAACCTTTTAATACTATCCAGTTTCTTCTACTACCATCCCTCTATCCTTCTACAACTCACCCCCCGCTTTGACTGATTTGGTCTCATGTGATTCACCTTGATACTTTGTCTCTTCTTTCACATCCTTGAGCTCTGCTAATTGGAGGTTCGTTTAAATATCCTTCCAATCTTCTGGGTTACTGATGATACAATTTAAAAAAAAAAAAACTTTTTGTGGAAAAGTGAATAGTTGAATGGAATGAGGAAAGGAAGATTACAGCCATGGGGACTGTAGTGAGGTCACTCCTTTCCCCTTTCTCTATACTTCTGAATTGGAATCCATTTATTCTCAAGTTTGAAAAGCCAAAAATTCCCACTGGGGTTACAGTGCCCTGGAGCATGATGCGTACTTTCTACCAAGAATTCTGATTCAAGCGTGATTGAAAAACTTTGAAAGCCCTTGATAGTTTTTAACAACGTGGTAAGAAATACTGACTCAGCCGTTAAACAATTCTTAGAGACTCAGGAGAAGTGGAATGGAACAGTCTGGACCTTTGTTACTGTAAGGAATATGGTCTTATGTTATTATAAAGGGAATGTAACTTTTATTACATTCCGTTTTATTTTTTTTCTCTCAAATGAATCAATAATATTCTAGTGGGAATTGATTTCCATTATTCTCAGGTTAACACTTACCCACATCGTCTTAGTTGTCAGGAGGTAACAGGCTAGGGTCATCTTCTTGGATTCTAATCCTGGTTGCATTGCACTCTGGCCATGTCACCTTGGGTCAAAGTCATACCTCTCTGAGCTTTAATTTCTTCATCTCTATAATGGGGATAATAATAGTAACTACATTATAGGTCTATTAGAAGGATTAAATAAGTTAATATCTATTAAATGCTCATACTAGGGCCTGACACAGAGTTAAGTATTCAATAAATGTTCATCACAATTTTCTCTAATCATATGAGTGATTGTTTGACACCTTCCCATATTAATAGCAAATAAAAAATTCAGCTTCTAAAGCATCCAAATCCTGCCCCGACGGTTAGCTCTCAACTATTGAAATATTGTAGTCAATATTCTCCATTTCTAGTAATTTTCTCACATTTTTACCTTAAGCCTTTACATGCAGCAATTTTCCTCCTCCCATCCATAAAACATTATTTGACCTTTCCTTTAAATTGGAGTCAAAATTGCATCTTTTTCTAATGATGAATGTAGGTTCAGAGAGAGTGAGTTTTGAAACTGGCACCAAGTGCTAGAGGTGCTCCTCCAGTCAAGTTCAGTCAAGTTCTTCAGCATTTTTTGCAACTTAGTATCCTCATTGTAACTTGAGTCTAATATTACATAATTCACAGGATATTCTGAGCTACACACATATATATATATATACACAATTATTTATAAAATATTTCTACAAAATAGTCACAGATAAATGTTGGTACTACACTGCTACACTGCTATACCCAATTCACATCTTCTCTGGACCTCAATTCATATTTAGACAAGGCACAATGGTGAAATGATGTGAATACTCATTTTGCAAGTATATGTTGAAGATTACATATTAATATATAATAATTTTCACATGATCATTACAACATTTTAAATCTTTCTCCACATAATTCTAATACGTGTTGGAATTATTTTACATAAAAGTTCACATTTATATTGATTAGTTCTATATGGTCCAACTCTTTTAGATAAGTGTAGTCCTTTTTTCAACTATCAAAATTAAAAAGACCAGCATCTCAGGTATGGCACCCATATAGATCTTCATTAACTTAACTAGAGAAAATACATTGAAAAGAGAAGCAAATCAAGCAGAAATTATGCAGATCATGAAAAAGATGTCATGGAAGGAAGAAGCTATGTCAATTCTGGAAGAATAGAAAGAGAAAGATTTTTAAAAGATATTAGGTGTGCTTAAAAATGACTGACAGAGTCAGGGCAATGAAAAAATATAAGTGAAGACTAGGCAGTCAACAGGTTTTAACATACAATTTTTTTTCTTTTTCAGTTACTTTTTAAATGTATTTTTAATTGACATAATAATTGTAGATATTCATGAGGCACATAAGATATGTTTCAATACTTATAATATGTAGTGATCAAATCAGGACAACTCACACATCTATTTCATCATGTCAAATATTTATCATTTATCATTTCTTTGTGTTGGGAACATTCAATAACCTCCTTCTAGTTATTTGAAACTACATGTTATTAACTATAGTGATCCTACAGTGCTAGAAGACTAGAACTTATTCCTCCTATGCAGCTGTAATTGTGTATGCTTTAACAAATCTCTCCCTATTCCCCGCCTCTTCCCCCTACTTTTCCAGTCTCTGTTATGGTCTGTTCTACTTTTTACTTCTATGAGATAAACTTTTTTAGCTTCCACATATGAATGAGAACATGCAGCATTTAACTTTCTGTTCTTGGCTTATTTCACTTAACATAATGTCCTCCAGTTTTATCCATGTTACCAGAAATAAAAGGATTTTATTCTTTTTATGGCTGAGTAGTATTCCATGGTGTGTACATACCATATTTCTTTACCCATTCATCTGTTTCTGGACACCTAGGTTGATCTTGCCTATTGTAAATAATGCTGCAATAAATATGGGAGTGCAGATGTCCCTTTAATATAATTATTTCCTTCTCTGTGGATAAATGCCTGGTAGTGAGATTGCTGGATCATATGGTAATTATATTTGTAGTTTTTTGAGGAACTTCCATATTGTTATCCAGAATGGTTGTATTAGTTTACATTCACACCAACAGTGTCTGAGTTCCCTTTCCTCTACATCTTTGCCAGCATGTTATTTTTTGTCTTTCTGATAGTAGCCATTCTAACTCGGGTGAGATGATACTTAATTGTAATTTTGAGTTGCATTTCCCTGATGATCAGTGATGTTGAACATTTTTCATGTAATATTTGTTGGCTTTTTGTATGTCTTCTGTTGAGAAATGTCTGTTCAGATTATTTGCCCATTCTTAATTTAAATTTTATAATTTTTTGCTGTTGAGATGTTTCAGTTCATTGTATATTCTGGATATTAATCTCCTATCAGATGAGTACTTTTCAAATATTTTCTCCCATTTTTTTCACTCTCTTGTTTTGTTTTGTTCCTGTTTTTGCTGTTCAGGAGTTATTTACTGTGATATAATTCAATTTGTTTCTTTGTTGTTGTTGTTGTTGCCTGTGCTTTTGAGGTCTTATTCATAAATTTTTTTCTCAGACCAATGTGTTGAAACATTTCCCATATTTTCCTCTAGTAATTTTATTTTTTCAGATCTTACATTTAGGTAGTTGATTCATTTTGATTTAATTTTTGTATGAAATGAGAGGCAGGGTCTAGTTTCATTCTTCTGTATATGGATGTGCATTTCCCAGCACCATTTACTGAAGAGACTGTCCTTTCCCCAATGAGTGTTCATGGCACCTTTGTCAAAAGCCATGTGGCTGTAAATATATGGATTTATTTCTGTATCCTCGGTTCTGTTCCTTTGATCTATATGTCTTTTTTATGCCAGTACCATGCTGTTTGGGTTACAATAGTTTTGTAGTATATTTTGAGGCTTGATAGTGTGATGCTTCCAGCTTTATTATTTTTGCTCAGGATTGTTTTGGCTATTTGGGGTCTTTTGTAGTTCCTTACAAGTTTTAAGATTTTTCTTCGTTTCTGTGAAGAATATCATTTGTATTTTGATAGCAATTGCATCAAATCTGTAGATTGCTTTGAGTAATATTATCTTAACAATATTAATTCTTCTAATCCATGAGCATTGGTTGTCTTCATATTTCATTTTCTTTTCATTTTTTTCATCAATGTTTTGTAGTTTTCTTTGTCAAAGTCTTTTACCTCTTTGGCTAAATTTATTTCTCTCTTTCTCTCTCTCTGTGTGTGCGTGTGTGTGTGCATCTGTTGTAAATAGGATTGCTTTCTTGATTTCTTTTTCAGCCAGTTCATTGATCATGCATAGAAATGCTACTAATTTTTGTATGTTAATTTTGTATCCTGCAACTTTAATAAATTCATTAATCAGTTCTAACAGTTTTTAGATAGAGTCTTAGGATTTTAAATATAAAATCATATCATCTGCAAAAAGGGACAATTTGACTTACTCCTTTCTAATTTGGATGCCCTTTTTTTCTTACTGTTGCCTAATTACTCCAGTTAGTACTTCTAGTACTATGTTGAATAAGAGTAGTAAGAGTGGGAATTCTTGTTTTATTCCATTTCTTAGATGAAAAGTTGGATTTTCCTCATTCAGTAAGATGTAGGCTTTGGGTTGAACTAGGCTGACAGACTTTTACTTGAGCCAAGTTTCTTAGGACAGTAGTTAACTTTCATTGATCTCCCTTTTATATTTTCATTGACCTCTCAATCCACTGCATAATGACATCTGCCTCCACATTTTATTGAAAATTCTTGTTCTAAGGTCACTAATGGCTACCTCACTACAAAATTAAATCAGTGAACTTTTTAAAAATGTTTATTTATTTTTGTCCACATTTACTAATGCTTCCTATTGCATTTAACCTAGAGAATATTCTTGAAAATTTTCACTCCCTTATTTCCATGGAAATCTTATTTTTTTGGTTTTCCAGTGTCTCTGGCATCTCAAACCATTGTATCCTGGTCTCTCCATGAGCTCTACCATTCATGATCAAATCACACTGATCCAATGGCACACTAATCTTCTTCTGCATGTTTTCCTTGAGTAATCACATCCACTCTAATGACATTTATCCTCCTATGTACTGAGGAATTCAGTAATCTAGATCAGGGTCAGCAAACAGTGGCTTGTCAGTTGGATTTCACTTGCTGCTTGTTTTTGTAAATAAAGATTTATTAGGACAAGCCATGCCTATTTGTTTATGGTGGTTTTCTTGCTACAAAGGCAGAGTTGAAGCAAATAATTATTATCTGGCACTATACAGAAAAAAAGTCAACATCTTAGCTCCATCTTAAGATGAAGTTTTCAGGCTAATATAACAAGTTATTTAAAAGACATACACATTTCGATGTACTGGAAGTAGCTAAGTCCAGATTTTTAAAACTGCTTTTCTTTCTCCACTCTTATTTTCTCTTATTAGGTATCTATATTTAGCAAAAACAGAAACCTGGGAATCATTCTAGATTTTGCTCTTTCCTTCATCTCACAATACATTGATCACCAAGCCTTGATCAATATCATTCATATTTGTCTTCTCTCCATATCTATGACCACAGTCATAATTGAGGATCTTAACTGAACTTCTCATGGCTGTAGGCAAAGGCTTTCCATCAAAAATAGGCTGTGTGTTAATTATCACTTCTCCAGGTAAAGGACATGTTATTTATCTTGCCTCCCATAATGATCTAAGAGTCGAGTGAACTAAGCCCCATCAAAATTGTTCTGTGTGGATACCCACAGTGTTTCAATGATTCAGGACTTTTGTAACTCCCAATCATAGAGTGAGATACTAATTCCCACAAAGCTGTGATCATGGTATAGAAAGGAAAGCTCACTGTCTGCACTGGTGAGTGGAACTTGATTGTGGTGGAACATACTTACAGTGAAAATATAATATTATTAACACCTAAGTTAGGGATGCCAACTATCTGTTAGAGTCAGGAAAGCCTTTGCAGGGCAAATGGCATCTAAAATAAGTCTTACAAGATAAGGAATTGTCAGTTCAGTAAATGGGATGCATTCTAGGCAATCAAGAAGTCTTATGAAGGCTAGAATGAAAGGAAGACCTGTACGTATTTGGAGAATGGCAAGCATCCTATAAAATTGACACAAGGGCTGGTTGGGGTATTTGCAAAGAGGTAGGCTAGAAAGAAAATGTAAGCCTGGATTTGAAGGTTTTGTTTTGCTTTGTTTTTACCTCCATGCTTGAATGATTAGACTCATAATAATGAGGGCCGGGCGCGGTGGCTCATGCTTGTAATCCCAGCACTTTGGGAGGCCGAGGCGGGCAGATCACAAGGTCAGGAGATCGAGACCATCCTGGCTAACACGGTGAAACCCCGTCTCTACTAAAAATACAAAAATATTAGCCGGGCGTGGTGGCGGGCGCCTGTAGTCCCAGCTACTCGGGAGGCTGAGGCAGGAGAATGACGTGAACCTGGGAGGCGGAGCTTGCAGTGAGCCGAGATCGCACCACTGCACTCCAGCCTGGGCGACAGATCGAGACTCTGTCTCAAAAAATAATAATAATAATAAATAAATAAAAATAAAAATAAAAAATAAATAATGAGAAGGCTAGATTTCAAATGGAGTTATATACAGAATTAGCATTTATAAGAAGGATTTATAGTGACAGATTATGGGGCGACAGCACATCACACAGTGAAGAAAAAAATTGTCACAGGCAAAATTAAGATTATTACAATAATTTATTAAAAGAAGTTACTTGCCTAAATGAAGTCACTGTCCACGGGAGCAGGTAGAAGGAGCCAGGTTCAAGATACAATTCTGTAATGAATCTACAAGATTTAGTTGAAAGTGGGTGACAGCTGCAGAAGAGGAAGGTAAGTAAGGGACACAGCTGGCAAAAGCAAGCAATAGTGCTATTAATTAAGAAATTAACCTTCCACACAAGGCAGAAAAGATTTTGGGGGCAAAAGAATGAGCTTGTTTGGGGGTATGTTCAACTTGAAATGCCAACACAATGGAGATAGCACATGAAAATATCCGGGAGACAGTTGGAAATACTAGAGTGGATCTCACAGTAGAAATAAGAATATTGAGGAATATTGGTATCAGTATGGGGACAAACTTATCCAACCACTAGTTCATCCCTGTTCCTGAAACGGTAGCATTAAGTATTTATTTTTTGAGAGAAACCACACATATTCTTAATAGATTCACTGTCAAAATGCTAAGCTGTTGTAGGAGTAATATATTAATTAATTCACACTCATAGATTATCTTGGATTTTTTACTGGCAGAGTTTAGATATTTAATGAAGGCTTTAAAAACACAGAATCTAGGACACAGAGTATGGTACATAAAGAAAAAAATAAGTCAGAAATATGAGGAACTACCAGGCAAGATGAATATGACAGCATACCAAAACAGAAAGGCTCAGCATGGTAGTGGGTGAGGGGAAGGGAGCAGAAAAACTGGGAAGAAAGTCAGAAAAAAGTGAAGAAGGAAAGTAAAGGAAGGCCAAGTCTAGTCATTTCCCAGTTTGGACCAGAGTTATCTGAATGTATCAAGTGTTCTTTTTGTTTTTATCATCGCTCCTTTTTAAAATGCCTTAGGCAGCCTGTGATACACTTATGCTTCTACACATTCAAAAATTAAAAGCCAACCAGTCCAGTCCTCTTAATTATTCTTTCAGTTTTATAAGTAATATATTGAATAACGGATGTTTAGGGAGAAAATGTTTTATGGTAGTTTTAAATAATGCAGAAGGCTCTCCAAACATTGCCTATAATACACAATTCATTGCATTTTAGTTCCTTACAAATACTTTAAAATCCCATCTATCCTAGTTGTTTTTCCTTAATAACTTTTTCTGTGTATGCATTTTCTTCAGCCCTTAAGAGATAAGGGAAAGGTTTAGATAGTAACCATTTGATTGCACCAGTCTGATGTTTCCTGAATCACCAACTGATACTTGAATGCTCAAACTGTAAGGAAACACTTTATGTGATTGTATTCATTTACAAATTGTCCATTATTGCCCTCCATGCTTTAAAATGTTTCCTTCATTGGCATATTCAGAAATATAATATTGATAGAAATAAGCATGAATTTGGCCCCTTTTTGAGACTACTGTATGGAGAGGGGATGGGAATGGAGGGAGGAAATACCAAAAAAAAAAAGAAGAAAAGAAGAAAGAAATCTTGTGGACATGAAAAGCAGACAAATAGTATTTAGATTAGATATTCAAATTTTTCAATTTTGTCTCCTAATTGGTAAGTTATTATGTGCCAATAATTTTACATTTTTATTTATTCAATTTATTTATCAGTATGGATGTATTAAACTAAGTACTGACACTTGGTTTATTACATTAAAGTTTACCTTCAAAAATCTGTGACAAAGTATATACTTTTGTACATGTACATATATATTTGTATTGTATACACACGCATATATAAGTGTATATGCATACATTTGTGTGTGTTTGTAATGTTACGTCATCTGATGGCAATAAGAAAAAATATAGTTTATAATTTGAGATCAGAAGCATAATTTAGATAATTGTATTTTTCTTGTAAAGTATTACTTACAATGAGTGTGTATATATGTATATACATATATATTTATACACACACATATATATAAAAGGCCACAATGTATTTTATATATAAAGCTTAACAATTTATTTTTTGGTGATAATGTTGACTTCAATGCATTCCTGAAAAGTACAATGCTTTTTATGTCATTAAGTTTATATGGTATTTTTATGCTGCCTTGTTTCAGGGAAGCTAAGGATTACATTTTTTCAGATTCTAATATCTTTTATTTGGAATATGAGCTACAGTTGATGGCAGCATTTTTTTCCCTCTTAGTGATATATAATAGTGTTTCTAAACATTTCAGATTCAATAAAATTCTATATTAATTTATTTCATTTCTTTGAAAGTAGAGAAAATAATGTGGAATTGTAACAGTTAAAAGAATATCCCTCTTTTATTATGGGGAAACAGGAATGTATTTTAGGCATTATGTTTTTCATCTAAGTTTGTGTAAACCTTGCAAGAACTACACAAGGATACAAGGAACCCATTTCAAAAAGTTTTTCTGAGGCACTAGTCATTTTATTTAACATAAGATGAAAATGTAGGGACAGGTCAGGTGAGTCACATGTCATCTAAGGTCATCACCCCAGTCACCAGCAAAGCCATTCAGCCAGTTCTGAGTCAATTCAAAGTATCACACACCCACACATTGTGATTTTTGTTTTTTCTTCTTCTTTCAGCTCTCTCATGACACCATATAGGCTTTACCAAGATTTTTCTTTGCTCTTTTGAGTTTTCTCTGCTTACCCTGCCAGCAGTAACCATGATGAAAGAACTGTATGACGACAGGTGCTTTTCTAGTCTGGTTGGAAATAAGAATGTCATCTAATCCTATGCATAAGTATTGTAGGCAAGTTTTATAGGTTTTAAAGTAATTTTTCTTTCTCTGTTCTTACTGTTTTCTTAATCTATTACAATTTACTTTTTGATAGATCCTTTTGATCTCCTTTAGAGATTTGGGAATATACACTCCATAAAAGAACTGCTAAGGAAGGCAACTCAAGAGAATATTTTAGGAAGCAAGAAATTTATCTTCTGTGTTATCATCCACTGAAAAATGTACAATGGGAAAACAACAAATGAGGCATTATCCTGTGTCTTCCATATACATGAAGGGAGGGACAGCAAAATTATGATTGCTCAGATGGTTCTAAGGGAAGATTAGTGAGTGGATTCCATTCAAAAGAGCTTGATCTAAATAATCCCAAACTGATAAAATAGCACATCAGGATTTTAGTTCTCACTTTACAAAGTTTTATTTCACAAATAAATTTATAAATGATATCTTTATCCGGAAACAAACATTGACATTTTTGCTTGTAACTCACATTATTGGAAGACCATGGAAAAATAAATGCACAGTTAATATACTGAAGAGTGCTATTAAGTGGAAAGCAATAAATATAAAAAGATTGCATACCAAAAATTATGTATTAAATAAAGAAAATTTGATTTTCAAAGTTAGAATGTATTTTTAAGGATATATATGCCATGTTATATAAATATTTTATAATACAATCACACACTCAACCTTAGAAACTTTGATTCTCTTATCAGTGCAACTTCTCTTTAAGTGAAAATTTATTTCTGGTTTCACTTTTACCAGCTGAAAATGTAATATTAGTATATCCAGACATGCATCCACACTTATTCCATGCCAAAAGCAAATTATGAGAAATTAAAAACAGCAGGGCAGCATTCTGTTATGTGACATAAAGAATGACATTTCTCCTGGGTATGTTTTTAAAATAAAATTTGATGGATGCTAAAGAAATATTTAGAAGATTCTACTCGAGTATAATTAGAAAGGACTTAGGTGGTGAGTGAACCAGGGCCAGTGAATGGAAGGGCAGAATCCTGGTAAACATTGGTTCAGTCCCACAGTTTCTAACACAGGGCTCATGGATCAACTTATGTTGAAATGTTTCACATATGGCAGACACATACACGTCTGTAATGTTTGTCGTTACAGGATGACTTTGATTTTGTAATACAGTTTATACATAGCCAGGCTCTTGAGAACACTCAAAATCTGTGCTAATCAAAGCTTAGGTGGTTGCTTGAGCTGGAGCTAAACATAATCCTTAAAAAGGGGCTCCCTACACTGTGCTCCGCTTTTCCTCTTAGCCTCTTCCCCTCAACGAAATGGTAGGAGTTCAGCTGACAACAGGGTAAACAGATTATTGTGTTATTGCTGGCTGATTGCCGGAGTTATTTTGGAGCTTCATAATTCATTTAAAGAGATTTTTGACATTTATGAAATGACTTCTATAATCAACTGACAGTGCAATATCCTATAATTGTTCAATTAAAAATGACTACTAGTGCAGTCATTTATTAGTAGAATCAGATAATTGTCTTGCCACTAAAGAGTACTTCTCACTTTGCACATCAAATGAAAATGTTTGAGTCTAAATCTGTGACACAGCAGCCAAAGTCCTGGGGATTTTCAAGTGCATATGTAATTATTACAGACCTCTGAAGTAAATATGGTTTAATGTGATAATCTTAAATGGATTGTGTGTGAGCCTTACAAAATACTTTTCTGTATAAACCAGAGCATCTGTCAGAATGGATAGGAGTTCATTTCTAACCATTATGAAGTTCATGATATTCTTTCCAACATGTAGTTTAACATGTGTAGTTAGAACACAGGACAGCATGCCTTTCCCTTGATTCTCATTTATCTTTTTTTCCCCCTTGCAGATGAAACTGATTACCAAGGTAAGGAGCCAGGAATGATTGCATTGATAAATCAGTTTCATATGGAATACTACCCTACTGGGGTCAGCACTCAGAAGCTCTGACTTCCAGATACGTACACAGATAGAATGCAGATCCACAAAAACAGAAACACTTTCATACACATGCGTGTGCATGCACACACACACGCGCACATAAAGCACAAATTTCAAATGCTGGATTTCTCTGAAATAAAACACTTTGACTCACATTATCACAAACCATCTGTTAAGCTAAATCATAAATCAGTCTTTGATTAAATAATTAAAAAAAGAAACCCTTACCACACTGAACACAGAGAAGGCACAGATCATTTAAATACCAATATAAAGAAATAACTAAATGGAGGAAACAGCAGCAGTCCCCTTACAGATAATGATTTATTTTTATTTTAAATTAGCATTGTGCTTCTTTGGACAAACTGGCTAAAACTCAAAATTTACATTCAAATAATGATAATTAAGGAAATTCAGAGCAGGCTCAACAGATGGAACATGTTACTTAATTTGAGGTTGCTACAAAATAGAATTTAGTGGTGTCATTTCAAAGTTGCAGCTTAATTTTAATTTTTAAATAAATAATCTGATTTAGTTGTTTTTTCTTTTTCCATTTTGTTTGCAGGAAAATGTTGAAAAATTGCTGTCAGATTCAATCGCTATCTCCCTCTTTCTTTCTAACCCATCAGCAAGAATAGGGCATTTGAATCACAGCTGCTCAGGGCTTTTTGTTTTTGTTTCTCTTCAAAAAAATTTTTTTCAAGCCCGTTTTTCTTCTTCTTGTATGGATTTTAGAAAGAGTTTTGATAAAGACAGTCCTGGCAGCTGGATGATAAATATTATTTTCTTAACCTGCCTAGCTTTGTCAGCCACCTGCGACTGCAGCCTGCCACACGTTGGAAGCAGCTCATTAACTTTCCCACAGCTTCCCAGGAGTTTTCCTTGTTTGCTTTCACCTTGGGTGTGTGCTGCCTTCTCACTGAACGGTTAACTATCCGAGTAGGCCGAGTGGGCTTTGGCACCGCGAGCAGAGCACGCTTCAGGCAGCCTCCCTGCTAAGGCTCAAAATCTCTCTTAAACACATTAAGCAGCCCATTTTGGATTGATAGTGCAGTAATTATTCTGCTTCACCCTAAAAACCATCCTGGGGTAATTGGCGCAGAGGAAAATTACCCAGAGTCCTCCACCACCTGGTAGTTAAGGAACGAATCCAGGGAAAGATAAGTGAAGCAGGAAAAAAAATCGGCACTTATTTGATTTTAATCTCACCACTTTGCAAGCATTTAAATTGCCTTAATCAGGTGGTTGGCTTCCAGCCTAGCTGGTAATCTGTTATCAAATTTGAAACTAGATTTTTTAAAATGTCAGTGTAGGCTGAGAATTGAAGTCTATTAACAGTTATGAGCCTCCCTCCTAAACTTCCATAATCTATGTATTAATAATACTTTTTACAAAGCTGTCAAATATTACTTTATTACAACTCTACATTAATAATATAGATGTAAAGGCAAGATTTAATTATTTATTTTTTATTTTTATTTTAAAATTGAGGGAACACACAATGCTAACATTCCTAGCACTAAAATCCATTTTCTTAAAGCAATAGCTTGAATCTATGGAATAACCTTGATAAATGTAATTGAATTTTTCTATGATAAGATTAACTAGTTGTAATTGTGAATGGGGAGGTCTGACCCACTCCAAATGAGATGTATGACAAGCTGAAAATAATCAATTTTTTTCTTTATTTGAGCCCAGATTTTTTAAAATGGAAAGAGAAAATCGGGGCCTTGTAGGATGAAATATTTGTGTCTGAAATGTTTTTATATACACCACTTATCTCCCATCTCCTCAGTGTGTCTAATTGTGCTGAGCTTGGTTTAAAATGAGATCAACACATTGAAACCCCAGAAGGCTTAATTAAGGGAGGGACTTAATATGTACCAAAAAGGGTTTTTTTTTTTTGACAAATGTGGCATAAATTTTACCTGTAACATCCTTATCTAAAAGCATCCCAAAATTGTTAAGCCCATTAAATTGCCTCTTTTTAAAAAAAAAAAAAAAAAAAAAAAAAAGGAGAGACAGAGAAGAGAAAAAGGAAGAAAATAATTTTACTTTGAAAATCTTAATTACTGTGATAGCAGGGTTGGGTTGTGCCTTTTTACGATTCCTGTATGATTTGCATTTTGAGTTGAAGTTTTGTTCTTCACAGCACACAAGCCAGCAATCAGGAGCATATAGAAATGGCTTGATAGATTCCCCTTTTAAACATGCTTATAAAACATTTTGCCTATGTAGCTTTTTGTATTACACATTCCATGGGGTTTCTCACATACCAATCAAGAAAGCATATCCCTTTTAATTCATTTTCTCAGAAGTTTAAAAGCTTAGAAATATATATTAATGCAGAACAAATAAAATATTTCAAAAAACTACAGCAGTATTGTAAGGAGTTTCATTTGAAAAGCAAAAAATGCTGTCATTATTTTTATTCTTCTTTCGTGGTCTTTATCTGACCATAGAATTTGAGTGAGTAGATCAGACTACAATAGAGACTGCTCCAACAACTTGGATTCCTAATTCCCTTCCTGGTTCCTGACTAGGTTCAGAAAAAGACTCTTTCAGAAACATCAAATCTAGTGACAATGAAATTAATCACAATGTACAAAAGAAAAGCAGCTGGCAACCAAACACTGAATAAAGCCAAGCGTGAATTTAACTAGCTGTCAACCTCAATGTATATAATATGTACACATTATGTACTTCTTTATATTCTTTAGCTAGGCACAATCAGTATTGATGTATTTTTATTGTGTGTGTGTGTGTGTGTATATATATATATGGATTTCCTATATTACCTCTGAAAGTTTTAAAATTACTATTAGTTATTACTACTTTAGGGCTTAGTAACTGCTACTAAACACAAGTAGAATATCTTGCCTCTAGTTGAAGACGAGTCTCTTTAAAACTGGTCATCACAGATATGCAGATAAATTCTATATCTGCTGGTTGGAACATTTCACTTTTGAAGTAAGATAAGTTTTAACATATGCCTTTGCCAAAAACTAACTCCAAGAAATAATTTAGGAAGAGCTATAACGGATGTTTTCTTCCTTCCACATAGGAGCATGCTCGGCACCAAAAATAGAAAGAGAATATTTGAGCTTTAAGCTAATGTCATAGGAACTAATGTACATTGTATATGAGTAATAATTTCTTAAGGTCAACATCAGTCAATTCTTGTATGAAATTATGTTCAAATTCATAGTTCTTCTGGTTCGTTGTGGCATAGGGTGGTCTCTAGCTGAAACCGTTCATTACTATCTGCATTAGTAAGGTCACTTGCTTGATCTGGTTCTCTCACTTACCAACTTTGATGCCTTGGGAATGACTTGCAATCCAAGCAGATTTCTCACTGACCACTATCTAAGTCAGTGTGTATCATATGATATTTAAATTAGTAGAATACTTAGGACCAAAAGTATTTCTTGGCATACAGATTTAGAGAAGTAAAAGCCACAGTCAATTATTTGTTCTTTTTTTTAAACCTGAATTTCAGAACTATTTTGAAAGGCATAAAAATAGATTCTCTGTGAAATTAGAATACAAAATGTTTGTTAAAAGTTTACACAGTCCAGGCCGGGATTGGAATTGCACTCAGTGTGTACTTTAAGGGAGTTACAGAACGCACCTATGCAAACCATTTTTTAATTTCCAACCTTGTTATCCTATTAAATCAAATTTTAAAAACTTGACTTCTGTGAGCATAGAGAACTTGAAAATGATACTTCGTTATACATACAGAGGTCAGGAAAAATGGAAGTCCAAGTAGGAAAAACACTAGATTCCATTTCATTTCAAGCACTCTTTGCTAAGCCCTCTCCTCAGTCCTGGAGGTGAAAATAATAATAAAATATTGCCCTTGCATTTAAAAGATCAACATTCTACTTGGGGGAATAGATATGAGGACAGACAAGTTGGGATATAATGCAGTAAGTGCCATGAAATAGTATGAGCTCAGTCCTTTGAGACAACAAATGAGGGAACTCTACTTTGCCTGGAAAAATTGAGGCTAGTTTGATGAAATAGATAAGTTATTTCTCGAATCAGAGAAAGTAGACAATTAATGATATTCTATGAGTTAAATGTGTTGCTTATTTCAAAAGAAAAATACAGAAATAAGGCTAAATGTATATGCCTCTACTTACAGAATTGTGTATAGGCAATTCCTTTGTAACTAATTATAATAGCAGAAACAATAGCTAGCATTTATTACACACTTATTATGCACCAGGCAATGTTCTAAATGCTTGCATGCATTATCTCTATTGCTCCCCATAACAATCATAGATGCATTATTATTATTTGCATTTTATAGCTGAGGAACCCAAGGCACTGGCAGGGTAAATGACTTGTTCAAGATCAGGCCACAGAACTAGGAAGGAGCAGAGAGAAGATATGAACTGAAACAGTCTGTCTCTAGAGCCTGATATCATAAGGTTTTTATTTTCAATAAAGTACTTCATGATGGACAAATATAAAACATTCTATTTTGAATAATATTTTTTGTAAAATTTTTCTTTGATATTTCAAATGTTTAAAAGAGTGGCTTTCTGCCCAGAACCACTTCACTGTGTCCATTACGAAGTTAGCTGGTTCTAAGCTCCATAGCAATATATTCTTGACAGCAAACAAGAACCTGGCTTACTTTATTCCTCAGCTTTTGACAACCTTTATTATTTCATTTATCTGCTATTCATAGCGAGATGTAAACATCTTACTTCCCAGTGTGATCCTCATATCAACAGTGGGTGAGTTTAAAATATTGGGAATCAATATGTTATAAAACATCAGCCAGTACTAAAAAGGCAGACCCAGAGAAAATTCATTGAATGTCAAATAAAAAATAAACATCAACAGTTAAAAATGTAATAAGATAATAAATAAAGGCAGGGAATTAAAAAAATTTCTTAACCCCAAAAGCAATTTGACAAGTAAGATATACCTGTGTTAAACACAAAGCCACTTACAGTACAGGGAGCAATGAATTTTTCATGCAGGTAAACAGAACAATTCTTTTCTAAATTTAATAGACAGAATACATGACATTAGTGCCATTGATAGTAGGGTTGGGGACTCAGAAAGAGAGAGAACACTACAGTCTCTGTGAAAACATTAGTTAGCACAGGCTCTACATATTTTATTGATTTATGTAGACACTTAAGACTAAACGTTTTTAGACTGAGGATCTCCTTTTCATCCCAGATACGTATGCATATATTTCTCATGTGCAGGTACTCAGCTCTGCTATATACTTCTAACTCTCAGGCCCTCTTATCCCTCTCCTCCAAACTTGCACAATCTGATCCTACGGTCAGTCAGTCAGTCTGCATTTGCCTGTGAGACATCTTTTTATTGACCTGTCATTGAATCCACACTTCTATAGAAAGCCCTATAAGAACTGAGAGAGAAGTAGGGCATTGCATTCCTTTTGGGATGTTTAAAATTTAATGTGCAACAGCTAACAATCAAAAAGAAACAAATAATAGTCTTGAAACTTGTTGCCTAGATAAAATAGATAGGAAGACAATCGTCTAGGAGGAGATGTGATTGGGGTCTTGCAGTCCTTTCAATTCACCCAGTGAAAACATGCACTACCTACCATACTTTCACAAACACTGGAACTTAACAAATATTTTCTTCCTCCATTGCTGTTGCTTTTAGGAGTGGCACATATCTCCAAAGAGCCACAGCCTTCCAGGTGGGCACCTCCTTTCCCCAGCTTCTCTTCCTTCTGACCGTAAGTACCTATAGCACTCATGAGGCTCTTAGCATGAATTAAAAGTATAAGCTAAAAAAAAAAAAAAAACTCTCTAATTGTGAAAGGGCAAAGATCAGTTAGTACATAGAAAATATTTTTGTTTTTGTTGGTATTTTTGACAGATTGTTTTCCCAGAGCCCTAGCAACCATATATATACATTCATTTATTGGTGTGTCTATTGAATGAATATTTTTGAGTCTCTTGCATATCCTAGGCATTATGCAAATTTCTAGGGAAAATGCGCAACTCCTACTCTCAAGGTCCTTCCATTCTAATGGGGGAAATATGTATGTGCAAGTGTGTGTGTAATGTGTGTATTACATATTTATCATATGGTGAATAATACAGTTCTCCAGAGGGTAGAATTATTTTCTGGGAAATACAGAGAAGAGGCCCCAACAAACCTGGAATATTATACGAAAGGATGAAAAATTGTCTTGGAAATGATATTAGAACTCTGACCTATACAAAGAGTAGGAAGTAGTTTTTTAAAGAGTGGAAAAACCATAAGCAACAATGGTAGAGTACCCTCTGTGAGGAACACAGGCAGCTGAGATTGTGGCAACATAGAGAGTAAGGAAGAGAGTTGCAAAATACAAAGGTACAATCGGAGGCCTGGGTCAAACCACAGGGAGCCTTAAAAGCTCTGATGTGTTAAACAGAACCAACGACAAAAACCGCATGATTATCTCCATAGATGCAGAAAAGGCCTTCAACAAAATTCAACAGCCCTTCATGCTAAAAACTCTCAATAAACTGGGTATTGATGGAATGTATCTCAAAATAATAAAAGCTATATATGACAAAACCACAGCCAGTATCATACTAAATGGGCAAAAACTGGAAGCATTCCCTTTGAAAACTGGCACAAGACAAGGATGCCCTCTCTCACCACTCCTACTCAACAAAGTGTTGGAAGTTCTGGCCATGACAATCAGGCAAGAGAAAGAAATAAATAGTATTCAATTAGGAAATGAGGAAGTCAAATTGTCCCTGTTTGCAGGTGACATGATTGTGTATTTAGAAAACCCCATCGTCTCAGCCCAAAATCTCCTTAAGCTGATAAGCAACTTCAGCAAAGTCTCAGGATACAAAATGAATGTGCAAAAATCACAAGCGTTCCTATACACCAATAACAGACAAACAGAGAGCCAAATCATGAGTGAACTCCCATTCACAATTGCTACAAAGAGCATAAAATACCTAGGAATCCAATTTACAAGGGATGTGAAGGACCTCTTCAAGGAGAACTACAAACCACTGCTCAACGAAATAAAAGAGGACCCAAACAAATGGAAGAACATTCCATGCTCATGGATAGGAAGAATCAATATTGTGAAAATGGCCATACTGCCCAAAGTAATTTATAGATTCAATGCCATCCCCATCAAGCTACCAGTGACTTTCTTCACAGAATTGGAAAAAACCACTTTAAAGTTCATATGGAACCAAAAAAGAGCCTGCATTGCCAAGAAAATCCTAAGCAAAAAGAAAAAGCTGGAGGCATCGCACTACCTGACTTCAAAGTATACTACAATGCTACAGTAACCAAAACAGCATGGTACTGGTACCGAAACAGATATATAGACCAATGGAACAGAACAGAGGCCTCAGAAATAACACCACACATCTACAACCATCTGATCTTTGACAAACCTGACAAAAACAAGAGATGGGGAAAGGATTCCCTATTTAATAAATGGTGCTGGGAAAACAGGCTAGCCATATATAGAAAGCTGAAACTGGATCCCTTCGTTACACCTTATACAAAAATTAATTCAAGATGGATTAAAGACTTAAATGTTAGACCTAAAATCATAAAATCCCTAGAAGAAAACCTAGGCAATACCATTCAGGACATAGGCTTAGGCAAGGACTTCATGACTAAAACATCAAAAGCAATGGCAACAAAAGCCAAAATAGACAAATGGGATCTAACTAAACTAAAGAACTTCTGCATGGCCAAAGAAACTACCATCAGAGTGAAGAGGCAACCTACAGAATGGGAGAAAATTTTTGCAATCTACCCATCTGACGAACGGCTAATATCCAGAATCTACAAAGAACTCAAACAAATTTACAAGAAAAAAACAAACTCATCAAAAATTGGGCAAAGGATATGAACAGACACTTCTCAAAAGAAGACATCTATGCAGCCAACAGACACATGAAAAAATGTTCATCATCACTGGTCATCAGAGAAATGCAAATCAAAACCACAATGAGACACCATCTCACACCAGTTAGAATGGCGATCATTAAGAAGTCAGGAAACAACAGATGCTAGAGAGGATGTGGAGAAACAGGAATGCTTTTACACTGTTGGTGGTACTGTAAATTAGTTCAAGCATTGTGGAAGACGGTGTGGCAGTTCCTCAAGGATCTAGAACTAGAATTACCATTTGATCCAGCAATCCCATTAGTGGGTATATACCCAAAGGATTATAAATCATGCTACTATAAAGACACATGCACACTTATGTTTATTGTGGCACTATTCACAATAGCAAAGACTTGGAACCAACCCGAATGTCCATCAGTCATAGATTGGATTAAGAAAATGTGGCACATATATACCATGGAATACTTCAGCCATAGAAAGGATGAGTTCATGTCCTTTGCAGGGACATGGATGAAGCTGGAAACCATCATTCTCAGCAAACTATCACAAGGACACAAACCCAAACACAGCATGCTCTCACTCATAGGTGGGAATTGAACAATGAGATCACTTGGACACAGGGTGGGAGCATCACACACTGGGGCCTGTTGGGGAGTGGGGGCCTGGGGAGGGATAGCATTAGGAGAAATACCTAATGTAAATGATGAGTTGATGGGTGCAGCAAACCAACATGACACATGTATACCTATGTATCAAACCTGCATGTTGTGCACATGTACCCTAGAACTTAAAGTATAATTTTTTTAAAAAAGGTCATCCTTCAGCATCAAAAGTAAAGCCATTGTTTAGGCCCTAATTCTACTACCGCCTCCCCTGTTCTGATGTAATTCTCTGATATCACTTACCACCACCTATTTTTTTCTAGTTCATTTCTTCCTTTGTTTATGTATTCATTTATTGTTTCCCTATTAAAATGTAAGCCTGGGGGAATAAAAATAAAAAGCTCTGATGTGTAAGCCATGGATAAGGTATGCTCTGGGTGGTGGGGAAGGCTGGGGATGCGATAGACCATCCAGGAAAAGGAAGAAAGTGAGAAAGACTAGACCTAAGAATCATAGGAGGCTCTTACACTAGCTGGAGATAATAAAGGCCTGACCTAGACTTGTGGTCGTGGGGATGGGAAGAAGGAGACAATGCCAATACATAGGCAGTAGAAATTCCTGCATGCGGTGAAAGAAAAGGCAGAGGGAGAAATCAAGACTTGCTCTCTAATATCACTGGAAAGACCATCAGTTGAGATAGTATCCATATATAGGATACAGTAGGTTTATTATACAAGATGTTATGTTCAGATATAATGAATATGAAATTAATATATACTAAGACAGTAAGGCCCACTGAAATTCTAAACATTAAGGGAGTAGATTATATATGATTTGGGAGTTAATTAGGGTATCTCTGAGATTACACAAAGTAACCCAAAGATAATACGTAAAAATAAAAAAGAAACATGATTTAATTTTGGGAGCATCAACATTTGATGGACATACTAAAAGTGAGGTGCCTAAAGAGGAGCCTGAAAAATTTGATTATGTGGCATAGAATACAAGGACTGCAATAATTTCAAATTGCAGGGAGATGGTCTGTAGAGTCAAGCATTTGCAACAAATAAAGAGAAAAGATAGAATAAGGGCTACAAACTACTATATTACATCTGATAATTGGGAACCTCTATTGATTGTATGAAGACTAGCTGTGGTTATGAGCAGGAAAAAAAGTGCAGCAGGCTGTGGATGAAATGAGTACCGATATCTCTCAAAATTTGTAGGTGAGCATTGAGGCAATTAATTGACTTAAGGGAAGAGGTTGTTACCGTTGATGAGAAAGGCTTCCCATGATTATTGTTTGAAGAGCAGGGGCAGGCAGAGACTGGCCTTTAAAGATAAAAGGGAGAGGAGATGACAGTTGGAAAATATCTGAAAGAGAACAGGAGGTGGAAGAGTTAAGGACAAAATCGAGATGCTACTTTGAACAAGAGAAAGAACATATTAGCCTCTCAGACTACAGGGAAGGATGAGATAATGTGTCTGCTACAGATAATTTTATAATTAGTGAGGTGAGAAATTTACCAGCATTAGACCTGAAGACCTCAGGTGTGGATCTTCAACAGCAAGAGGAAAGAAAGTTGAGTAGGGAGATTAAGAAAATAGGAGAAATTTTGGAATAGTCTGAAGAAAATGAGAGAGGGAGCTGATTAAGAAAAACACTCATGAGCAGAGATGGGGTCAAATAGATGTCTTAAACCATAGATTTGTGTAATAGTACTAAGTGGTAATACAGTGTTTTCCACCATCCCTCAAATATTCATGTGTGAGGTTGAAGAAAGCCCATTAGAGTATTTATTTTGTGCTGGAATTCTGGGTAGATGTGCAGGGAGGTATTTATCCATTCAACCATTCATGAGGATGACCCTCCACCACCATGTGTAGATGGTTAGCCTGTTTCTTAGAAGCCGCAGTTTCACCTCTTCTTCAGCCATCTCCATGGCCTCCATTGTGTTGCCTTGGTCTCTATCTTGAAACTCTTGCCCAGGCCAGGCATGGCACTCTGCCTCCTGGTTATTCTTTAATGTTTTATAAATTGAGATTTCTTAACCTGACATATAAATCTCTACATGGTGGAGTCCCCACCTACTCCTGACCTCCTCTCCCATCACCTGCTCCCTAATCTACAATGCTCCTACCCAACTCACCGAGTACATTCCTAGGGCCTTTGCACTAATCTTTCCCTCATCCCATAATGCCCTATCACCTGATCTTCTCATGGCTGGCTCTTTCTCATGCTTCAACACCCAGCTTAAAAGTTACCTCCCGAAAGAAAATATTATGTATCTTCCTATCTGTTGTACCTGACCTCTCTATCCCTTCAGAACTCTATTATTTCATACTTTTTCTTACTAAATGTATTCTTTCATAAGTTTTAGAAATAAAACAAATATTGTCATTAATGCATTTCACTACTCATTTTTTTTCACTACTCATTATTTTATCTTGTTTTTACTAGACTGCAGAATCTTTGAGTGCATGAGCACGTCTGTCTTGTATAGTAATATTGTCACCCCAACCCTTCCCTAGCAAAATGCTGAACTAAATGCCTGTCTGGTACATAGTAAAAAATGCTGACTCATTAAATGAATCAAGATGAAAGAGTAGATGAATGAACCTCCTAACTGCCATATATATAGCAAATTTTGCTGTTTCTATTTTGGGCATTGATCACTATTGTTCAACTTTGCCTTTGTGAAACCCTTTTACCTTGAATCTCTACAACATCATGTATCCCAGTGTTCTTACTTTCTTGGGAGACTTGCTCTCATTAGTAACTTCCTTTTCCCCTAAACACTCCTTAAATATTAGCATTCCTTAAAGATTTACCCTTGGCCCTTGGCTCTTCCTAGTCACCATATTTTTCCAAGATAATCTGAATCATGGTCACCACTTTAACCGTCCTATATGCTAACAATCCCCCAATTTTTCAGCTCAAACTTTTATTTGTCATGCAGTTTAAAGCTGTTTATCCAAAAGCCCAGAAAGAATTTCTAAATTAATATTTCCAAGTTGCCAAAAACTTAAGATTTCTAAAATTACACATTCCATTTTTCTCACATCCTCACCCTGTTTCTGCTTTTATACCTCTCCATTTATAGCACCACCATCCAGCTAGTTTTACCTAGGCCACCTACTCAGTCATTTATTCTTTCAGTAAATATTTATTGAGTGTTTCCTACAGGCCAGACACCATTCTGAACACTTAGAATAGGTACATCAATGTATGAAACAGGTAAAAATAAGCAAACAAAACACCTACTTATATTTGTCCTAGAATCCTTAGTCAATTTAGAATCTTCTTTTCCACTTCCTATTTCTATTTGGTAACCCAGTTTTGTAAATACTTTAATTTACAAACTCTTCATCTCATTTTTTCCATTCCTTCTCTACCACCTTAGCCCAAGTTCCTGTGACCTCTTACATTACAGTAACTTTTTAACTGGTCAGCCTGTCTTCAGTCTACCCCTAGGATACACTTCCTAATTGCAACAAAACAAATCTTTCCAAAATACTAATCCTGTCCTGATTTTTCCCTAGATTAAAATCTTTTAGAGAATGTCTGTCCTGTCCCTACAAGATGAGTGTCTTGTCCATATGTCTATGAAAATCAAGTCCAGAGGACTAAAGGCAGACTAAGACAAAATCAAAATTATGTAAAGGAAGGAGAGGAGAGAGCCCTAGGTGAATGCCCCAAATATTCTAAAGTTTTCATTACAGCACATCATCATAATATGAAATGTGCTGGCACCAGCTGGAAGAGACCAAGCAAATCCAATCAATTTATGCATGTATTTTTTCATCATAGAAAATACAGCTTTCATTTTCTCTTTATCATTCCTTGTGCTTGTTATACAATCTTATTTTATACAATTTGTTAAATTATAAAGTTTAATTTTAACTTCCAATTCTGGATAATTGATTGAATACTCTGAACAAAACAGTCTCCTAATGTAGATTTCTATGAGCCATACTAGCTATTTGTACTAAATATATAAGTGCTATAATAAAGCAAGATTCATTTTTATATATAATTCTCATTTCAACTTCAGTTTTCTTTTTAAAAAAACTTTTTAGCAAATAACAATTTATCTATCGAGCCAATGTAGAAATTCATCTTGATGGTTACTTAATGAATAGGGCAAACCAAATCACTCCACTTTTCTTTGAGTAATTTTTGGAATGAGGTGTTATTTATAAAATCATAACTTCCTTTGAACCAGAAATAATCTTACACTTCAGTAAGCTTGATATTTTTTAATTGGAGCTAAAAACTGATATTAAAGGCATGGATTGTCTAATTTGAGGGAAGCCATATTAGTCATTGTTTTTCTTGGTTGACAGAATCAATCAATTCACCTATCAATCAAATATTTATTAGGTGCCAACCTTGGACCTGGCATTGATCCAGTACTGGTCATTGATGAAACAATAAGTCCAAAAAGGGGAATATAAGATTATAAATTCTGAACTAGAAAATATGTTGATTAAGATATTTTTATTTCCAACAATATGAACTGTGTGTGTGTGTATACACACATATATATATGTAAAAGATCTTTGTAAAAAGCATTATTTTTAGTTTGAGGGATGAAAGGTATTATTTAAACTCTGATATAATATAAACATACATGGTATTCAGATCTCTTCTTCAGCGAAATGCTTTTTCCTAAAGGATTTGTGATATTGGGTAGTTTTTTTTTTTTTTTTTTTTTTTTGAGACGGAGTCTCGCTCTGTCGCCCAGGCTGGAGTGCAGTGGCGGGATCTCGGCTCACTGCAAGCTCCGCCTCCCGGGTTCACGCCATTCTCCTGCCTCAGCCTCCCAAGTAGCTGGGACTACAGGCGCCCGCCACTACGCCCGGCTAATTTTTTTGTATTTTTAGTAGAGACGGGGTTTCACCGTGTTAGCCAGGATGGTCTCAATCTCCTGACCTCGTGATCCGCCCGCCTCGGCCTCCCAAAGTGCTGGGATTACAGGCGTGAGCCACCGCGCCCGGCCTTGGGTAGTTTTTTATAATTACTCTCTTTTAAAGCAATGAACCAGTGTCTCTGCTCTACAGAGGCACTGCACTGGGTCACTGTGCCATCTTAGGTGGTCTCTCAAGGGGCTTGTTGGGAATAAAATAATTCTGAGCTCAGGGCCCTTCCCGGTAGACTCGAAGACCCCATTGTTCCATGTCAGTCTGTATTTACAGGCAATATCCACTTGATCTCTGAACTTGAGAGTTCAAGTAATCCCTGTAGAGCTTAGTCCCAAGAGAACAAATAGAAAGTCAAAGGAGCGATGCTTCTCTAAGTCAACAAAGAACAATTATTGAAGTCTAGGCAAGATCTTTATATATAAAATAACCTCTTCATCTAGATTCTCAGGTTGTACTTATTATGGATTCAAAATATGAATTAGATGAGGAAATATAGAGTAAAAGAAGCCACTTTAATGTTTTTTTCGGGCTCTTTGTCACTATATGAGTTAGTTAATAGATACAAGTCATTGTATCCCAAAAGACTTGCATTAGGGAAAATCTTCCATACATCTAATTATTTCAACAGTAATCAATCAGCCTTTAAACATGACAATATAGGGCAATTGAATAAGTGCAAAATACATTTAGCTAATAATGTGTTAATTTAGGGGATAATTTGAAATAGCAGCTATCACTTATTTTTGTCATCCCAGAAAATTATTTGAGCGCTTTATACGGAGATCAGATGTTCTGAAGAATTTTTCTCAGGTCATTGTGGCCCTGAGTTTTTTTTAACACTTGCAGAACCAGCCTCATCAACAAGTACTTCCAGAGAAAACAGCACCTGGATGGTATCTGCTCCTCAGAGTTCTGGGTCCCAGCCCAACAAAACTCATTCTTTATGATGAAAAACATTGAAACCAGCTGAGCATTGCCTTCTGCTCAGAGGTCTGGGTTTCAGAACCACAGAGCCCTTTCCGTAAGTTTTTAGGTTGTAATAATTCCAACATCTTCCCTTTGTTTCCTCAGTTCTAAGGGTGGTGCCTGTTTCCTCCATGTGTTATTTGCCTGATACCTTAGAACACTCTTTTTACCCTGTTAGTTACTTAGGAAACAGCTTATCCAGGTAACACCTCTTTATGTTAACTTCTCTAAGTTCAAATAACTAGTCTATGGTTTTGCCTTCTGATTGTACCCTGACGTAAAAAATAAATCATGTACTTCCACTTACTGACTAGCCAAAATTCTTAACCTTCCTAAGCATCAGTTTCCTAGCCTGCAAAATAGGGCTAATATTAGTACCTACCTCATATAGTTGTTGTGAAGATTACATTAAATAGTACATGTAAGTGTAAATAAAATACCTGCCAAAACTTAAATATCCAATATTATACAGCTTCAAGGGGATTATAATCTGGCCAATAAAGTAAAACAAATATGTTCTAATTCATAAGCTATAAAAGCTATAGAGTGGGTCCATGAATGTTTATTTATGTCTTTAAATTGTATGTATCCATTCTTTTGTATTAGCATTTATTTTACAATATAAAAAGGATACTAAAACAAAGTGAGCCTGAGAAAATTATATGAAAAAGTGTATACCATGCAAACACAGCAACTAAAAACCCTTAGAACAAAGAGTGCAAGAATCTATATTTGGTTATATTTTTCTCCAACTGTCAAATTTCTTAAAGTGAGCATGTATAATTCTCATAACAAAAAAAAATTAAATTTGAAAATTTAAAGACATGAGAATATTTTTTTTTTCGGTTAAATGGAGAAAGTTTTTAATTGCAGGTAATTTCAAGAGGTTCAGAAAGAACTTCCCTGTTGGGTGCAGAAAGAAATATGTGTACCTGGTCTTTAAGCCACGTTTCCCACAGCATCCCCTACCCTCCCATTTCCAAAGGCTGGCCATGTCCATCAAAAGCTGAGCTCTGTCTCCCAGGGTCTGTTATCAGAAAGCTCTTTGGTAAAATGTTGCAGATTTAATGAGGTCTTTATCTTTTCTTTCATCATAACCCATAAATTGACAGTAATAGAATAAAAATATATATATAGACAAACAACTTCTGTGAAAGAGGAAGGAAGTTTCAGCAGAAGGATTATGTCCACAAAATTTTGAAGATGTTGACAGAATGTAGGAGCCATGACTGAATGAAAACCAAGGATGCTGAGACCTGAACGTCTACAGGAGGGAACACCAATGAGAACCAAGGCAATTTACATCACAGAACTCAGAACTTACTGTTGAAGATGGAGCTACAACCTGTTAGATTATTGAAAATGTGTATAAACAGACTTCAGATCTACTCTTTCTCAAAATGCACAGCCTGACAGAAGTCAGACTTTTCTGGAGATCTAGCATGAGAGAGTGTCTTGATTCTAGGGACATGGGGCAAAAAATTTCCCAACGCTTTTCATACTGGCAGCTTTCAGAAAGCTGACTGACATTTCACCTCTCTGTTTCTCTACTCCTACTAGCTAAGAATTAAGATTCCCTGTTGGGGAAATTGATCAGATGAGGAGAAATGGCAACAGAGATGACAATTTGAAGTCGCAAACAAAACAGCTAGGTTCTTATTCAATTATCTTTCTGTCAGACCCCCCAAGAAATAAGTTTCCTTCATTTATGCTGACCTTAAAATTAGCTTTTTACCACTCCAATCTTAAACATGAATGAAAAACCAAAAATCACTACATAATTTAAGAAACATAAAACAGGAAGAAGGGAAACAATATACAAACTGAAAGGATTACTAATGAAACAGATACTATACAGGGAATAGAAGAAAACTTAAAAGAAAAATAAACTGTGATTATTCCTAGAGTAGCATGTATGCATATATGTATATATAATGTTTTATGGAAGATATATATACATATATATCTTGACAGTAATAGAATAAAAAATACATAGACAAACAAGTTCAGAGAAAGGGGAAGGAAGTTTCAGCAGAAGGATGATGTCAACAACATTTTGAACATGTTGAAAGAATGGCAGAGCCATGATTGAATTACAACCAAGATATACACACACACACACACACACACACGCACATGCACTATCACTAGAGTAGTATACATATATTATGTTTTATGGAAGATATATATATGTTATTTTTATATATTTATATACAATATATGTATACTGCTCCAGGGATAGTGCATATATATTTATTATATTTTATGGAAAACATATATATAGATAGCTATCTTCCATAAAACAAGAACAAAATGCTATACTCCAGTGGTCACATACAATGATAGAACTGAGGTAATTAAAATTAAATTTCTTCATTTTTGTAATCACTATGCAATCATTATTTATTTTGAATCTTATATTTAAATCCAGGAATATGTAGTACAATAGGGACTGAAAACAGAAGCTACACCCAAAGACAGCTCAAATGATTCTGAAGTATTATGAACTTATCTCAAATGAGTGTACTGTGTCAGGAGGGAGGGAGCTAACTCTATAATTCAGAGTTCTCCACATTAATTTTTATGCATAATACAATATTTAATATGGGATCAGTAACATAGCATGTGCTAGTTTGAAGTTCACATATATATTATTAAAAGTCAACAGTAATCCTAGCAGTTGTTGAGAACTTTAAATAATAGTAGATTTAGGTGGACAATTGCTGGCACACTAGTCAAAATAAGAGTATCTTTTAGTAAGTTTTAATATGATTTAAAAATTCTCTTCAGACCATTCCTTATTGCCTGCACTGAGGAAGACGGCCCCATTGACCCACTCTTGGTACTCCAGCTCCTAGAACTAAAACATATGAGTTTCCAGATTGAAACGATTTACCAAATGCTCTGCAAAAATGAATGAAAAAAAATCCACTCTAAGACATCTCATTTTGAAATTACAGAATGCTTATGATAAAAAAAACTTTAACATTTAAGAGAGAAAATGCAGCCCATATACTAACAGATTGCTCAATAGCAACAATGAAAACTAGAAAATAATAGAAAAAATCCTTTAAAATTTTAAGAGAAATGTATTTCCAATCAGGATTCATAATCAAGCTGAAATATAGAAAGTATGAAGGAAGAATAATGACATTTTAATATAGCCATGTCAAAAAACATATTTTCAACGCACTTTTCTCAAGAAGCTATTAGAGGATGCTCTATGTACAAAATGAGGAAAGAAACAAAAAAAAAATAGGAAATGAGACGCAATACATAAAAGAAGAAAAAGGAATTCCCGAGTTGGTGAAGGGTGAGATCATATCTGAATGCCACTGGTTTAGAATAACAAACTGAGAAAAGTAGACGAGGGTCTTATGGAAGGAATTACCTAACAAATACTTGGAGTGAGTGTTTATCAGGTATACTTGACAGCATTTGCCTCAGCTCTCCTATTAGAGCATAGGCTACATGAAGTCATGAAACTGGTCTGCCTTATTAAACTATTGAGTCTCTAGAACATAGGCAGGCACTTCTTAATTATTTGCTGAAATTTAAGGGAACACTGACTTTTTAAAACCTTTGTTATCTTTCTGTTAGAAATATCTCCTTGAAAGGAGGATGAAAAAGGACATGCCTAACAGTGCATTTTCAAATCTGATTAAGCCTGCCATGAAAAAGGAAGAAAAGAAAATTGCAATTGTAAATGATACTGCAAATGATGCCAAATTGTACCCTTAAAGTATGAGTGCAAATTAAGCATATCTATCCAAACTTAAAATGCACCTACAGGTTGACTCAGCAATTTTCCTGTATCTGTATATAAAAGTGGTTTATACAAAGGTGCAATGTAAAAAAAATGGTCAGTGCAGCATTCTTTATTATAGCTAAAAACTGGAAACTTTTTTCATCTAAAGGGATCTGAGTAAATAAACTTTGGTACAGTGGGTTGTAATGTAGCTGTTAACACAAAATGAAGTAGATTTGAATGTGTTAACTTGGGAAGATCTCCCAAGATTTATCAATAAGTCAGGAAAGTAAGACGATAAAAAATAGAAATGGACTGATCCAATTTGTGCAAAGGAAAATATACACAACCAAAGTTGGACAATATATAGGTATCTTCTCCCACTATTAAATACAAATTATCAGTCACACATACCATGTGATGAATTAAAATAATTAGTACATTTAGATTATTCAGAGAGGTAACTACTGTTGTGCTGGCAAATGGTTAACTGACTCCTCAAGAAAAAATGTTGGAAAAAGATGTTCACTATGTGCTCTCCCAAGCCAGGCTGAGCCAGCACCAGAACATCTCTGGAGGTAACCCCAAGATAAGGGGTTTGTATTGCCAGAGCATATACGATCTCCACTCTCAGCCCTCGTAGCTCATTTTTATCTCTCCTGTTATCCAATAGTAAGGCCAGAAAGACCATTCAGCAGGGCAAAGTTTTCTGTGATGTTTAATTTCCCTATGAAGTTGGATGAGCAGAGCTGCTAAACAGCTTTTGCACTGAACAAAGATCAGGCAATTTACATGATTTTCCTTTGCCCCTTTTGGGCTGTTGGATGTGTTTGCATGTAGAGTAAAGAAAATATTAGGTATAACAAGAATGAGCTATCAAATTGATATTCCCTGACCTTTTGAAATGGAAAACACACCTTAAATTAACAACATGTATGGAATAAATGCAATGAGTTATGCCCTTTGACTTCAAACTATTTGCTTTCCAGATATGTGTGTATGACCATCAACTTTCTGACAGAAACCCTAATACTAGGTCTTTGAAAATCCCCACAGTAAATGCTTGGCTAAATAGCAAGAAAGGAGAAATGATCTTTCCTCTTAAGTGAGTGCTGATCCAGGCTGCAGTTTCTTCATTTGCTCAATGCAATGTCATCTACCTACCATCACATCTGGGCAAAGGTCATGCATCAACAATGTTTATCTATGTCTATGTTTATTCACAGCTGGAAGTAGGCAGGAAGGGTAGTTATGAAGAAGAAACTTGAGAAAAATTGCAAAAGGAGAAAGAAGGAGGATTTCTGTCATAATATATAAATCTTACCCCCTTTGATGAGTTCCTGACAGGCCCCACATAGGTGATCCTGTCATTGAAACTAGGATGTTTTTATAGGGGAGTAGGTAAATAATTGATAATTAAGGCTGAACAAAAAATATAAACCAAGGCTGTCCTGGACTACATAGGATATATGCTCACTTATCAATAAATGATATTACAATTAAGCACATAAAGTACATAAAGTTAAGAGTTGTAATTTGGTTCTTTCACTTAACAGTACAAAATCAGTGTCCCAAAGAAAATGATAATAGAATTTGGAAAGATGATTTGGAAAGAAAAAAATCTAATTACATGTGTAGTTAATACAAGGAAAATCAAATTCGTAGCATATGAAGTTAAAATATTTTTACCAAGTTGCAGAGCTACTCTAGGATGTTTTTAGAGAAAGGCAGACAGATAGGTGATAGATAGATAGATAGATAGATAGATAGATAGATAGATAGATAGACAGTTGAATTTTATTTTGCCAAAATAAATGCATTTCTAAAAAGATATTAACACAATGTTTATTGAATTTAATTATCCTTCAATTTTAATCATGAAACTAGATATGTGAGCCTTGAAAACATCTAGTGCCACACATGTAGTCAAATTACTTCTATAAATGCCACAATGTTAAAAATAGTATACTGAAAATGTAACCGAATTAATGTTAAAAGTCAATATTGTGCAAAGTTTTCTAAGTTTTTTCGAATATTTTAAACATTATTTTAAAGGCATAAAGCAAACGAAAGACATTTTAATCAAACAAACCACACTGTTCCAAATTGTAAGTTCTACATTCTCTCCGTCCTAACATCCTACAACAGAATAACCTTTCTTCTTTTTGGTTTATGAGACTGCATTTCACTATAATTTGTGGAAAGCTCTGACACAAAGAAATAAAAGAGTTTGATGGAGAATACACATTGGAAAATATTCAAAAATAAGAGATAGTCTCTCAAAATACAGCAATAAATTTATTTTGCTCCATCCCCATTTGTTGGAACTTATACAACTGTAAATAAACTAATAGACAATTATATTTGCCCTATATGCTGATGTAAGCAGAAGATTTTTAGGTCTCTCTATTCAATGAGGAAAACAGAAATTCTCTGATGTGATAATTCATTTAATTCATGTCAGAACAATGCCCTGAATTATCAATTTTGTAATGGTATATTTCTGTACATAGAGTTTCTGCATTACAACATGTACCTGTAAAACTTAAAAGGACTGTCAGTTTTCCCATTAGACAAAACTCTGTTCAGATCCTAGCCTGAGTAAAATGTCAGGTTCTGATCTCTAAAACCAAAGAGGAATGTGTAGTGCATAATCAAACTAAGTTTTACTTTGCTAAAGGCAGTAATAATTCATTTCAAGCGACTTCTTTGTCCAGGTCATGCAATCCCAACCAACCATGGCCAATTCTAGGGCTTCGGTGCAAACTGTGTTAGAAACACTATAGGATGATTTAAAAATATACTTGACTATTCAACATTCTTTCATTTCAAATGAAATTTTAATGTGCATAAATTAAGGACTAGAGTTTATAAATGCCCCAATGCTATTAACTGTAATATTTGTGAAAGATTATTCTATAATTATGTTTAAATTGATGGAACAAGTATATCTATAGACTCAAACCAGAATGGGGAAAAAATCATGACTTGAATGTAAATCTTAATTGACCTTATTAAAATAGTATCTGAGGAATTGAACAGGCAGATGAAACAGAAACTTTGTTTAATAAATAAATGCAGTGCTGCACTTAATAAAAAATGATTGTAAAGAAAATTTTTAGCCATCGTATTACTCACCTATTCATTCCAAAGTGTAATTGTCAGCTTTATTTTCCTATGCCAGAGTTAGTGGCTGCATCTTTGGGATATTTACAATTTGTGCAATTTATTGAGACAGATCCAATTCCTTTTTTATTTGTTTTCCCAAAGCACCTATTTTTTTACCTTTGCTGACCAGTGCAAAATCATCCTCACTAATGTTTATAAAATACCACATTATTGTTAGATATCGAATCCAAATGCAAGCACTGCAGGTTCTAACAGATAGGAGCTTGATGGAATCTGTCTTTAGATTGTGGCTTTCCAGACTGCCTAAGCATAGATTCTGTAAAATCAGTGACATGAAAGAATGGAATAAAAGAAAGACAGGTGTGTGTGTGTGTGTGTGTGTGTGTGTGTGTGTGTGTGTGTGTTCAGGGACAGATATGTGTTTGGGGGAAAGAGGCAGATGGATTAAAAAATAACAGAGGGAAAGAAAGGGAAATTCTAGTAAAGAAAACATTCTAAAACTCGAATGCAAAAATATTGCAGCATCTCATTTTCCCAATGGTTATTAGCCCATGTTAAGCCAGACATAAGAATAATTAAAATTTACATTAAGAAATAGGTTAAATTCATAATTTGAATATTTAAAGATATTTATAGCCATTTGTAGTCCAAATTCTTAGTGTTTATAAAGAATACTACATGTAATAGAAAATATCAACTACAAAAAAAGGAATTTAATTTTGTGTCTCCTAACTAAAATACGAAGAGGCGCCATTTCCCAGTAGTTAAGGGGCAATGGAATATTTTATTGCTATCCCATCATTCACTACTGAATTTCTACCTTCCTCTCCCACAGTGAAAATAAACTTAAGGACACTGGATGTTTGCTGGGCAGGGGCAGGGATTCCCTCTATTCTCTGCCCAGCAACATAGAAAAATGAGAACCAGATCTGCTTATTCTTCACACATGACCCATCTCCTATTTTAAAGAAGGAAATATACCAAAGAAAGAAGGAAACCAACACTGATTATATTGGTACCATATGCTAGGGATTATTCTAAGATCTTTACCTACATGAGCTCCTTTAATCCTCTCAATACCTTTCTGATGTAGTAATTACTCCCATTTCACTAATGAGAAAATTGAAGCTCTGAGAAGGTAAGCAAATTATCCAAGGTTATAGAGGAAGTAGGTGTAGACTAGAGAACACCCCATTAAGGATACCTTGCAAGCATCTAGATTGTTTCATATGTAAAGCTTAGAAGTAGATTATAATAAACACCTTATAATAGGACTTATAAGAAATTCAGAATATTTGAACATTATTAATGCATTGCTGCTTCATGTGAGTTTTATTTGTGTTACCATGAAATCAATATATAAATGTATTATTGGGGAAAAACGGGTTTATGAACATTTTATCTGCAAAAATCAGCTAAATGAATTATCTATGTAAAGGAGCAATTGAAATCCAGTTTGGGTTAAACAGCGATGGCCTAAAAACCACCAGATGTACCTGTTGATAAAGCATAGCTAAGTTTCCTAGATCTACTGCACAAAGGGCTAACTTTATGAAATTTCAGTTGCATCTTCATTTGGGGAATTAAGGGACAGGGATGGTTATAGGTTTTTTAAGATCTACATTGGATAACTTTAAGGCAAGTATGGATAGGTGGAGAACTGGTTGGGAATGGGTGGAATTTATGACATGATAGATTTGGATTTGTGGGCACAGCAAAGAGAGGTTCTCACCTAAATTGAGTCTTGATGAGCAAATTATTATACAATTTTCACTGGGTCACAGACTTATCTTCCAGTAGCAAGTATTTTCTAGAGCACACAACTGGGTTAAATTTTCTTTTTTCCGGGGTTGTTTACCACTGGGGCAGGAAATTATGATGGTTCCAGTTTTCACTTGTGTCATGCAAAATATAAAATGTTACAGTTTAACACTGAAGCCCATGCTCCTCTTGCTTTCTCATGCGTCTTCTGAAGAAGAGAGTAAAGCTCTCCAAGGGATGAGCCCTCAACACTCTGGCTTTACCTCAGTCTTTATAACCAGTTTCTCTGAGCTTTCATTCTTCCACTCATAGAAGAGACAAAAACATTCTTTCTTTTAAAAATAAGCTTACGGCTGGGCGCTGTGGCTCACGCCTGTAATCCCAGCACTTTGGGAGGCCGAGGCGGGTGGATCACAAGGTCAGGAGTTTGAGACCAACCTGGCCAAGATGGTGAAACCCCGTCTCTACTAAAAATAAAAAAAATTAGCCGGGCATGGTGGTGGTGCCTGTAGATCCAGCTGCTCAGGAGGCTGAGGCAGGAGAATTCCTTGAATCTGGGAGGCAGAGGTTGCAGTGAGCCGAGATCATGCCACTACACTCTAGCCTGGGTGATAGAGTGAGACTCCATCTCAAAAAATAAAAATAAAAACAAGCTTACTTCTCTGAGGACTAGAATGTGTATCTTCATTATTTTTTCAGGACTAGGCTTATTCCCAGTGACTTTTCTTTCTCCCTTTGCCTTGCCCTTGGAGTTTTAACATAAATAAACCTGTGGTCTGTTTTGTTTTGTTTTTTTCTTTTTAAAAAGATCTAACAAACAAACCTTTTTTAAACCAAAGACATCAAAACATATGAGTTTGAATGCACTAGTTCTCTAGCAGAGAAAAATCTAGGAAGTTCATGTCAATATTCCATATATTTTCCCAAAAGCCTGGAACAGTAAGGAAAGTGAGTTCTCAAAATCTTTATAGAGCAGTATCCCTACTAGTTATGGAAAAACAGAAACAAAAAAACAACTATCCATTTGGATGGTGGAGGCAGGTGCCTTTTTCATGAAAAGAGACTTCTAAGAAATAAGGGATCATAAACTTATTTTATGTTGCTTAGTATGAACCCTGGATGAATTACATAGTTATAGGCAAATATAAATACTACTGAGTTAGGCCCAGAGTCGGTCCTGAAAGAGACAGAAAGTCCTGCAGAGCAAACTGTTTAGATAACTAGAATTAAGGCCAAACTCAAGGGTGACTTTCTCCCAGTGCTATAGCACCAAGAGGGGTGATGACTCTATATTGCTTAAACACATGGGAAGGAGTGTGTCTGTGTGTGTGTGTGCATGTGTGTGTGTGTGTGTATTAGAGACAGAGAGAGAATGCCAGGATGAGGAGAAGTTTCCACAGATCAAAAAAGCTTGTATTTTTCCACCATCACAGTTTCTGGGGGTAGTCCAGAAGCTTTCAAAATAATAACCAGTTTCTGTTCCCCTTTCTGAGGGAAGCTGCTACAGGTAGTTTTCTCAGCTATTCTGGTGTTAGATGATTATACCAGAAAACTGTGACTGAATTGAAAGCAGCCCAATAGGGATATTCCATTTTGAATGATTATTAATCTACCTAGTTAGCAATCTGTGCTTAAAAAGTTGACAGAAGAACCAAATTATACTAGCATGACAGGACCAGGTGGGCAGAGTGGCTAAGGCTGCTGCAGTATCCTCAAACTTCCCTGTAATTAGCTTTCAAACCTCCAAGATCCAAGTTAATTCATTTCCTTCGTGAGCCACGCCTGTGTAAGTAGCTTAATGTAAAAACAAACAAAACAAAAGGAAAGCACAATACTCAGGGAAGACTACAGAGCCATCAGTTGGCATAAAACTGGGCCCCAGCCTCTCCTGAACAGCTTGACAGGCCCTCGTTCAACCAACTTGTCCAGCACAATCAAAGGCCAGGTTACAAGTAGATTGCTAAGGTAGCAAAACATCCAAAGACATTTTCCCTACTGTAGATCCGGCTGAAGCAGAAAAGTTTTGTAAATATCCATGACCAGGGGCAACCAGTGTGTTTTCCCACACCAGAAAAACATACAAAAGCCTGAAGAAAAAAGGTGCATTTAGGGCAAGGTGAGGAGAAGCAAGAGCAATAGATTCTGAGCATTGATGTAAGTCTGAAAAAACTCCAAATTCTCTGTAAGCTGCTCTCTTTTTCCTATTGTTTCCCAGAGGGGAAAAGCAGAGAAATTTCAGCTAGATTTGTAAATTCAAGAGCAGAGTTTTACCTTCCCAAAATGTAGTCTGGAAGGACAATATGTTTGGGGAAAAAGTATCTAATAGGGTACCTGAGAGGTAGATTAGCAATGAGTCTACATGAAGTCCAAAGGAGCTCAGGGTGGTCTCCCAAACAGATGCAAATCTCAGCCTGTTGCCAAGAGACAGTCACATTTTCACACGTCCGTGAGAAGGCAAATATATTTCAGCTGGTAGAAAGATTTTGTGAAGAGATAGGAAAGGCTTGGTCAGGGTAAGAAGATGCCACCACCCCATGGAAGATTCAGCCTGGATTACCCCACAGAACATGTTTACACATCAGCCAGTGCGCGCATGGCGGACGGCAAGCACTCCGGGGACAGACAAGAGAACAAATCCCAATGGATGCCAATGATGAACAAACTGACCATGGACTAAACGCCTGACCCAGAAGCCAAGAGACATCTGTGGGATCTTTGAAGTTACACTGAGGAAAATGTGTGAAGACGTAAATCACGAGTTTACCTGGGTTTAATCGTAAAATGTCTAAGAAAACTAAACTGTTGGGTTCATCTGGAAATGAGTAAATTTTCTGCCATCAGTAGAGATGGGAGCTGAAGACAAAGCTTAATTATAGAACATCCAATTTCATCTTCTGTGTGGTTGAGTGTTTGGTTTGTAAAGACCACATTCACTGAAAGGGAAATTTGAGACAAAAGAAACCAGTACCCTTGTCTACTCCTGGTGAATCCTAACAATCACACTATGCAGCAAATACCACTTGGTACATTTCAGACCGGAGAAAACTGAGGTTAAGAGAGGTTAAGTAACTCACATGCATAGCTAGTCAATAGAACCAAAGTTAAAAATGAGAGATCTATGAATCCACAGCCTATTTTTTCTAACATATTGGGAGTTATTAATATCCTGTTTTAAAATTACCCCATAATCCTTGGCAGCACTCATCTAGTATTTTTTAATTGATTTCCAAAATTCTAGAGCAGATTATTAAGTGTTTGTTTTATTTTAGCATAAAGCACCTCTTCCGATAAAATATATGAAATTCTTAAATCTATATATGTGTGAACACACACATACACACAGGCGCATCTGCTCACATACATATACATATAATATAAAATGGAGCTACTCTGGATGACTGAGGGGTTTGGGGACATCGGGGTCTACTGCAGCACTCCATCAATTTCAGCGGTGATCACTAAAGTACTTTCTCAGGGCTATCTTAGAAATTCTAATATACTCTCCTTCAGAGAGAGTTGGGCATATTTATACACCAACTATCTCTCTACCTGGTGCCTTCATTCTCATCTACTACCACTTCACTGAAATTGATCTCTGAAAGGTTTAAAATCATCTCCTTTTGGTCAAATTCAATGGACTTTTATATATTTTATTTATTCAAAACTTTTACTGCAATTAAATCTTATGCTCCTTGCAGTTTTCTTCTCTTTTTTGTTTCAGAGCATGTCAATTCATTAGTTCCCCAAATGCTCTGGCCAGTTATTCTACCTTTTAGGCAGTCTCGATGGCTCCTCCTGATTTCTAACTGGAAATGCCCCTTAAGACTTAAACCCTCACTCTGATCCTCTGTACTTCCACACATTTTCTCAAAGAGCTTTTTTTTTTTCCCCAAAGCTTCATTTATGACCTTTTGGTGATAATCCAAATTATAAACCTCTATCCTTTCTCCCTATAGACTTGAAATGCCAAAAACCTACCAATAATATTCACTGCTGTCCCACCAAACTTCAAAAAGCCCCAATCTGCCTTGCTTTCACAGATGTTTTATTTCAACGTCAGCATCATTTTTCTATCTCCCAGAAGTAAAAACCTAAAGGCACATGTTACTCTTTTCTTTCCTCCCAATCAATATCCAATCTGTCACATTATTTTAGCAAATCTTCCTTCAGAATATCTCTCAGATTCATCCCTTTCTCTTTACTCTGGCACTGGCATTACTCTTGCATAACCTCACATCTGGTTTGCTGCAACCGTTTCCTGCCTTATTATTTTTCTATTTCTATTATCTCCACACTCTCCTTCATCCTGCAGGTAAATACCTAATTAATCTTCATGCACCTCCATCCTTTCTACCAGTGCTCTATACTCTGGTTCTTTCCTATCTATTCAGTCATGTTGCCTTCCTCTTCCCATCACTCATTTCCTCTACTATCTCATGATCTCCCAACTAGCTGGTGTGCATGCCATGCTCATGCTGGGTTCTGTTGCTTCCTACAATCTGTTCCTCTGTTTATCCAAATAATGCATAAAGCTTTTCTCAATGTCTTTACTGCCCCCTCTCCAATTCTTACCTAGGACTTTTATTATGCTTTTCAGCAAATCATAGTTTAACTCAAAAAGATTCCCTTACCCTTATAGGTTTGAGAGAGAGAGTGTGTGTGTGTCTGTGTGTGTGTGTGTGTGTGTGTGTGTGTGTGTGTTTCCCTTTGAGGGCAGGAATCACATGATACATATTTTATATCCCCTACAGCACCTAGCACAGTGTTGAGCACATGATTGATACAGTCATCTGACCCCACTCTCACTCCACGTTGTTGTCTGTCCTTTTCCCCAGTAGGAATTGCTGAATGATCACCATCCTTCTCACATCATATTTTACAGAGAAAACAAAAGCTATTGAGTGAGAATACTCTCTCAGGTCTTCAGCACCCTTCAAAATCTCCCTCTACCATTTATCAATATGTTCCTCCTTTCTGTCTATTCAAAGAAAAGTATATTCTTAACCAAGTTTAATCTGTCTACATACATTTGATCCCGTTCTTTCCTGGTTGCCTGAATTTTGCTTTGTCAATTATTTCCTTTTGTCTTTTATGTTTTCAGTTCCATTCTTTCCTCTTATATCTTCCCCTCAATCTGCATACAAACTCAGGCAGGTCTTCAAATCCCCAAAGTGTCATTGCCACCCATTCCAGCCCATTGCTTTTCTACCTTCCCCCACAAGGTTTGTCTAAGTGCAGCAAACCACACACACCGCTTCCATACTTCCCTGTCACTGCCTAATCTGCCTTCTATGCCCCTCTACTACTCAAACTGCCTCTAACGCAAAACCAGGGAGGACATTGCCCTAACCAGTGCCCTCTCCTTAGCTCCCACACAATTGGAATTCTCAATAGCTGTCAAGTCTTTTTGGTTCACTCCCTCTTTAAAAAGGTTCTTCCTTCACTTAGAATACCGTACTCTTCTGCTTCTATTCTTCTTTTGTCTTCTTTTTGTCCCCTTTTCTCCCTTTTCTTCATCAATTCCTGTTCTCCTTTCTTTCCCAATGGCAGGATATTTCCCAAAAGAGATACCAGGAACTTTGCTGTGGAGCTGATGGGTTCGAGTGAGAGAGATATTGAGTCTCTTAGCCTTTAGGGAGGTGCAGAGGAGCAGGTCTCAGGGAGCTGGTGACCCACAGCCATAAACAGTGTTGTCAGCTTGGCACAGTGTACCCTGCAAAAGTTAACATTTCATGACTTATTGTTAGGTATTTGGAAAGCACTGCCCTAAGATTCCATTCTAAACACTTTTCTCATCTCCAATCAAAGTAAAGTTTCCTAACTAAAATAAATAGTTTTTCATTTATTTTTCTTAAAAAATTAATTAAAAACTCTTTGTTGCCTTCAAAGACAGCCAAAATCTTTAGTGTGAAATTCCAAGCTATTCATAATCAAACCCAATTCCACTTTTTAAGTTGGATTTTCTATTATTTTCTTCCATGCAACTTACCATGTAGCAGACTGTCAACCGTAATGTGCAATTTTACATTTGAGTGCTTTTATTTATGGTCTTACTCATTTCTCTATTGAACTCTTAAGACGCACCTCTTTTGTGCAAACTTCCCTTAATCCCTTTGTTAGAATGGGTAACTTTATTTTATATATTCCCATGGTATTTTTACAAGACTTGGGCATATTTATACACCACACTGGTCTCTTTACTTGATGCCTTCATTCTTGTCTACTCCTATGACTGAAACTGAAACTGATCTCTCTGAAAGATTTAAAATCATCTCCATTTGGCTAAATTCAAATTTTATATATTCACAATCTTTACTGCAATTAAATCTTTTAATCCTGTAAGCCACCATTTTAAATGTCTGATTCATATTTTCAACTACTTGGCAACATTAAGTGAACAAGTTCCATGTGTATACAAATAGGTTTGCCATGATTACAAATTTTACCTTCATTTTAGAACAAACTTATATACACAAGAGGCTTTTGTGCAAGCTATTTAGGTATTTGCAAAAAAAATCCATATATATATATATCAAATATAATCCTGTCTTTTATCTCTATAAAGTATTTCTCCTACTTTTCTCACAGTTTCTCTGCCTCCATTTCCCCTACCTGAGAACTAAATAAAATAATTTATGTAAAAGCACTTTTATGTAAGTAGAAGGCACTATACAGATGTCTGATATTACTATTGCATGCAGCCTAGCTGTTACAATTTCAAAAAGATTTGTTTCATTGTAGCTAAGTCCACAGATGCTAAAGGAAATATAGCACTGAGGCAATCATTGGATATTTCAAGCCAAATCAATAGTTATACCCTAAATCGATAGAAAATTGAAGCAAATGTGTTTTGTTTTAAATTATTCAGACAGTTGTTTCAATTCTAAACTTTGTATAGGTAAAAATTATGTCAGATAACCTTGCTTTTAATACAATCATAACTTCACTTCAAATATACAATCATAACTTCACTTCAAAAATAAAATACTGTGGAAAATTACATTCTAAACTTTCTAAAATGTATTTCTTTGCCAGTTAAAAAATGTTTGCTCTTTTCTTTTAATATCATTACCCTGAATAATGGTTTACATGTTTAAGTTTTTGGATATGTAAATGCAATTCAATTAAAACCAAACACATTTAACAAATATTTAGTAAATGACAATGTGCAAAGTCGCTTTGCTATGTGCCATGTATTAAAACAAATTATCACAAGATCTCTATCACTTGAGAGCATTCAAAAGAAACAGGAATATAAATAAACTGTAATTGAAGGGATGATAAAATAAGGCCTATAGTCAAATTATAACCAAAGACAGTGTGATCAGTGCTGATTAGATGGGGCAATAGATGGGGCCAAGTATATTGCAAGGAAGATATCATAGAGGAGATAGCCTTTGAATTTGTCCACATATTTTACTTTGGGTCTATAAAAATGTTCAAGGTCAGAAGGAGAGCAACTTTTGCTTTTCCCATTATAACCATATTTTTCAACTTAGATGGAAACAGTTCCAGGGCAATTCACCCCCTCGTGGCTTTATATCTATGTGTGTGTATCTTTGAGAAGTGGGATTAGAGAGAAACCTGCAGGCATATTAATAAATAAATTTCACATGCTGTTAGATATTAAGTAAACATACAGATAAATATTCCTCTAGGGGTTATGATCTTATAACCTGGAGATTTCCAATTTGGCACCAGTGACATATAGTTACTTCCCATGGGGGTTTTCAGTATATTAATTCTCATATTTTCAATTTAAAAATCCATTCTATCCAGGTTTACTTGATGTACTTCATAGATGATTTAATGTATTACTTCTATATAAACAAAGTAAATTACAAGAAGTTTGCACTTTTCATGTCGGTTCTTATTTTCTATCATTTGAAACATACCACAATGTCCAGTATAAATACTCAGCACCAAACCATTGAAAACACTAACGATCATCTATGTAGCTAAAAGGGCTTAGGCTTTTGAAATGTACACATTGGGCAATAGGCAATCATTCAAAGCTCCAATATTAATTAATTACATATTTGAAATTTTCAATAGGGATACAGAAAAGTCTGCCAAATTGATTATTAAAAAGTTTCAGTCGAGCGCTAGTATGCCAATTTAATATTGTGAAAGATATATATGGTTTTGTCGCTGTCCGCTAACATACAACTACTTATATTCTTGGAATCTCCAAAGTGATAAATGTCTTTTGCATGCTAATGAGTCGACTGGTGGCTGGCAGCCCCCTAGGTTGCTTCTGGATCTGATCGAGCTGGTTACCAAGACCAAGGCAGGATTAGAAGGGTGGGACTTTCAGCCCCACACTCCAACATCATAGAGAAGAGGAGCTAAAGATTAAGTTGATCACCAATGGCCAATGGTTTAATCAATCATACCTAAGTAATAAAGCTTCCATAAAAATCCAAAAGGACAGGTTCAGGGAGCTTCCCGATAGCTCACCAAGTGGAGGTTCCTGGAGGGTGGCACACCAAGAGAGGGCATGGAAACTCCACACCCCTTCCCCCATACCTCATCCCATGTGACTCTTCATCTCTATCCTTTATAATACCCTTTATAATAAACTGGTAAATGCATTTCCAGGAGTTTTCTGAGCTGCTTTAGCAAAATAATCAAACCCCAGGAGGAAATTGTGGGATCTCCAATTTACCGCTGGTCAGTCAGAAGCACACGTAAAACAATCTGGAGCTTGCGATTGGCATCAGAAGCGGAGGCAGTCCTGTGAGACTGAGACCTCAACCTGTGCACGATCTATCTTCATACGCTGTCTTAATGTGGGTAGTTTTGGAATCAAACTAGGTTGGAGGAGACCAACCGGTGTCCACTACAGAATTGATTGCTTGCTTGATGAGTGGGAAGAAACCCTTCCACATTTGGTCACAGAAATCTTCTGTGTTGATTGTTGTATAAGAGCAGAAGAAAGCCAGTTTTGTTTGTTGTTCATTTTTTCTTTTGTTTTGTGTTTTTTTCTCAGAGTTCTGAAACTGGCTGGTTTAGAAAAGTGATTTCAGCATACAATGACTTTAAATATGAACTTAATTTTCTTGGGTATATTTACTATGAGTATGTTATAAACTATTCTTAGATTTAAAGAACAGCAAACTGTACCTAAGGTAGAATGAATTCCATAGAAGGTAATAAATGCTTTTCAGAGATATTACTTCATCCAATTATTTTAAACTTAACTAAGTTTATGCATTGGTAAGAATATTTTCTTCTTTAAAAAACAAAGAAAGAGAACCAGACTATATGAATTATTAACAATGATCTAATCTAGTTATTAACCACAGGCATAATTGTACCTGGCATAATTATGCCTGTACAGACATAATTAGGGTGAATACTAATAAAATATATTGTGTTATGGGGCCAGATGAAGAGAAGGGTAAAGAGCAGAGTCAACTGTTATCTCCTGCCATTCCACTATTCTTCCGGCACATGCATAGACAAGAAAGATAAGCAAGAGAATGTGTCCAATAGCCAGGCAAAACAGGACAGAAGGGCCAGGAAAAGGGCAAATGTGAAACAAACCAACCAACAGAAACATGGCAGAGAGTGGCCAAATATCAGTAGTTAAGAGATACTGAGGAACGACTTTCTGAGGCAAATTCCTGCAGAAAATATTATTTGTATTTAGAAAGAAAAAGTATTAAACTTATAATCAAAGAGCTGAGTTCTACTCCCAGTTTTGCCATTTAGTTGGACAAATTACTTACTTCTTATATCTCTTTATTTCATCAAGAAGGAAGGGATAATAATACTTGCTCTTGTAAAATGTCATAATACAAATATGAGCACTTAACAGACTATTATGTACTATACAAATGTAAACTATTATTTTTCTTAGAGTTAATATATATTTGCTAATATAAATCCCCCAAATATGCTTAAGCATGACAGTTTTTGAAATTGGAAGTTTGATACTTCTAACTTACCATTAATATGTGGAAGATTATTTGTTCAGTGGTATAGGGAGCTCCAAAGTATCAAATTATATGCTGTAAACCATGGAAACTCATTTAAAAATAATGAGCAAGGGCTTAAACAGATTTACATACTAGAAACTTTGGGGGATGAATTGAAAATGAGCAACATTAAAAGAAAATAGATCAATCAAAATAATGAGAGAGAACAGAGGCCAGAAACAGGACAGTATCAGGTACAGAGAAAACCAATAGAAAATGCACTTAGAAATAAGAGCTCTTAATGACCATTTGTATATACAAACTGAGCATGGGACAGGGAAGTATTTAGAATGGCTTTCATTCAGTTGTGAGTTACTAAGACTTTTATCATGAATAGAAGTTGAATTTATCACAACTGGAAGATGCATTTTTTTCTTCACCTGTTGAGAGAATTATAAGATTTGTCTATTTTAGTCTGTTATTGTAGTAAATTATATTGATTGGCTTAGCAGTGCACCAACCTCTCTTTGGTCTCTATGGGTCTTTATATCTGGCTGATTCTCCTAATCTGTATACCTTACAAAAAAAAAAAACTGTGATTTTAAGTATAGTACTTTCTTGAGTTCTTTGAGATGTTCCAGCAAGTGATCAAAACTGAAAGGCCTGGGAGAACCCCTGAATTTATAGCCAGCTGGTCAGAAGTGTGAGTTTGGAAACGTGGGAGCCTCAAAGTGTTGCTGGTGTCGGCAGTAAGAGCAGTCTTGTTGGGAACTCTGCCTTTTAAACCTGCGGGGTCTGTGCTGATTCTAAGCAATTAGTGCAAAACTGAATTGCAGTATGTTCTTGGGTTTTTACGAGAGATGACCTATTATTTTTTCTTCAGATTTTTCTAGATTTCATTTGCAAATATTTGGCTTAGGAGTTTTACACTTATATCCATGAGTCAAAGTGGTATGTATTTAGGGTTTTTTGAAATACATACTCTTTTCAGTTTTTTCAAGGTTATACTAACCTCACAAAATGAGTTGGGAAGTATTTTCTTTATTTCTAGTTTCAGAAAGTTTGAGAAGATAGAATTATTTCTTCCTTGAATATTTGGCAGAACCTATTAATGAAGCCATCTGGGACTGGAGTTTCTTTGTGGGAAGGCTTTTGATTAATGATTTAATTTCTTAATGTCTATGTATATACTATTTATGTATTCTCTTCCTTCTGGAGTCACTTTTGGATGATTAGATGTTTCTAGAAATTTATCTATGTTATCTAAATGTGTAAATTTATTACTAAAAGGTTCTTCATATTATCCTATTAATATCTCTTTCATATCTTTAGAATCTGGAGATATGTCTCCATTTAGTTCTAGATATAGTTTGCTTGGGACTTCTTTCTTTTGTCATAACTAGTCTAATCTGAGGAATAATCAATTTAAGCAGTCTTTTTAAAATCAATTTTTTATTTTTATGATTCTCTTTATTATATATTTTTCTGATATATAATAATAATTTCTGACTCTATTTTTGATTTTGCCTGTTCTGTTTCTAATGCATCAGGATTGCTAGTTCATTAATTTCCAACACTTTCTGTCTCTGTCTAAAATGTTATACATAAATATATTTAAAACTTTATATATATGTATATAAACTGTGTTCCTGTGTGGCTTTAGCTGCCTTCCATGTGTTTTGTTATGTGCTAACATTTTCATTATCATTCAGCTTTTTCTACTTTCTTCTTTTACACTAATATTACTTAGTCTTGATATTCAAATAAGTAGACATATGTCTAGCTATTTTTATTTAATTCTAGCTTAATTGTCATTATTTTTACTCTTAACTATTAGATAATATTCATTTTATGACCCAGAAAAAGAACACTTTTGACAACTGTTTCATGTGTGCTTAAAACAATTGTGTATTATCCAGTTGCCAGAGAGAGCATTTACATATATATATATTATATACATATATATATATATGTCTGTGTGTGACATATATATACACACATACATACATATAGATGTATGTGTATCTGTGTATGTTTGGGGGGTGTATACATATATACACACATACACATATTTGTGTGTATATTACATATATGTATTTTATTTATATAGATAGATGGATACAGTGATAGCAATGTGTAGTCAATATGGTTTTTTTATTCAAATCTATATCTTTAATGATTTTGTGATTATCTTTCTTACTATTTATTGGGAAAAGTATTTTAAAATATCCCATTATGTTTATCCTTATATTTCCATTATGTTTAGTTCACATATTTTCACAGTTACTATTGATAATATTTTCTTGGTCAATCAAAAATTTTTACATTAAAGTCTTTATTTCCGATATAACACAACCATTTTAATTGTATTTAATTAGTATTTGCATGGCCTATGTCCTTTATTCTTTTTCTTTCTTTCTGTGTTTTAGATGTGACTCTTGTTAATATCATGCAATCTTTTAAAATCAAGTTATGTAATCTTTATTTTTAAAGTAGACACTGGTTTCTTTAAATGTAATGTAACTACTTGTTCTGTTGTATCAATTTATATGCTTCACTTAATCTATTTCCTTCTATTGCCTTCCTTTTCTTCTTTCAGATTAATTGATGTTATCATTTCATATTTTTTTTGGTAGCATGTTTACAATACTATTCTCCTGTCTTCTGGCTTCCATTATCCATTGAGAAGTTAGTCTCCAATCTTTTGAAGGTATCATTTCTCTTCCTCTAGGTGTTTTTAATTTCAATTTTTTTAACTTTGGGATTTTCTATTCCACTACACTGTGTCTAGTATGAATCTCTTTATTCTGCTGCAGAGCAGATTTGTTGACTTCATGAATCTGGATGGATACATTAGCATCTTTCATTAATTCCAGACATTCTAAGCTTTTATCTCTACCAATGTTGCTTCTACCCCATTATGTCTCTTAGCTCCTTCTAGAGCTTTGTTGGAGGCATATTAAAGTTTCTCATTCTATCTACCAAGTCTCCTATTTTTTTCAAGATGAATTCCATTTTGTTTGTTTCTCTGTATTGCCTCTATACTGTGTATACTATTTCCCATCTTCCAGGTCACTAATTATCTCTTCAGCTGTGCTTCATCTGGTGCAAATATGTGTATTAAATGTAAAATTTTAATTATTTTATATTTTTATCTCAGGAAATTATATTTGAATATTTTTCAACTCTGTTATGTAATTTTTGTTTCTTTTCATGTACCCTGGTGATATTTTAAAGCTTATCTTTTTATCTTTTTATTCTTTAAACCTTTTTTTTTTTTTTTTGAGACAGAGTCTTGCTCTGTCACCCAGGCTGGAGTGCAGTGGTGCAATCTCAGCTCACTGCAACTTCTGCCTACCAGGTTCAAGCCATTCTCCTGCCTCAGCCTCCCAGGTAGCTGGGATTACAGGTGTGTGCCACCAAACCCAGCTAATTTTTGTATTTTTTTTAGTAGAGATGGGGTTTCATCACCTTGACCACGCTCATCTCGAACTCCTGATGTCAGGTGATCCACCCACCTCGGCCTCCCAGAGTGCTGGGATTACAGGCGTGAGCCACTGCGCCCTGCCATTTAAACCTTGTAAATATAATTTTTGAAATGTTTATTTATATTGATACTTCCAATATCTGGAATATCTTTTCAAGTTTGTTTCTGTTGTTTCTCATTCAGATGCCTTTTATTCTTGATTTTTTTTTCTTTTTTGAGACAGAGTCTCGTTCTGTCGCCCGCGCTAAAGCAACCTCCGCCCCCAGTTCAAGTGATTCTCCTGCCTCAGCCTCCATAGTAGCTGAGATTACAGATGCCCGCCACCACGCCCGGCTAATTTTTGTATTTTTAGTAGAAATGGGGTTTCACCATGTTGGCCAGGCTGGTCTCGAACTCCTGACCTCAGATGATCTGCCCGCCTTGGCCTCCCGAAGTGCTGGGATTACAGGAGTGAGCCACCGTGCCCGGCCATATTCTTGATACTTAATTAGTTTTTACTTTGCCTTGTTACTGCCCTCATGAAGTTTTTCGAAGATTCAAAAGTAGAATACAGACTGAGCTTAACTCTCAAGGATTTGCATTTGCTTCTGCTGGGCACTAGGGGGTACCACCAATCTGGGAGCCCCACAAACAAAGGAAAGGCGTGAACTCTCGCTGTTGGGAACAAGGCTGCAAACCCTTGTGAGGGCCAGCCCATAATCACAACTTCTTCAGGACATTAGTTTTTTTTTTTTTCTCACTGGCTGTTTAGTGCCAAGGTACCCTTATGCTTTCTTGCAGTCATCTTCAAAAGGGGTTATAGTGTTTTGTTTCATTTATATTTGGTTTTGCTTTGGTTTGCAAAGACCTCCTCTGAAATCCCTCCTTAACATGAGAAATTCTTATATTAGACTGTCTACTTTGTAAAGGTACTGCACCTTGTTTCTGCTCACCACCACACCTGAGAAGTAGCCAAAACCAAAGCCCAGGCTAGCCCAGATCAGCCTATAATCCAGGCATTTATATTCTGGATAAGGAATATAAACACCTGGATTATAGGAATACACACACACACACACACACACACACACACACACACACACACACACACACATATATTCCTCCATGTAAAATCCCATGTATTTAACTGCTATGACTAAAACTATGTAAATTTATTTTCTCTGCAGTATAAGGCACTTTCTTAGCTTGAAAGAGCTTGCTTCTTTTTTCGAGAAAATCTATTTTATTATCTCAGCAGCTGCCATCTTCACATAGATTATTACTAAAACATTTTGTTTTACAAGGTAACTTTTCAAAGTTTTGGATGCACAGATATGTTCACTAGTATTTGGTGATCAAAGCCAAATACAACAGCTACAAGGCATTTACACACACTAGTAGAATCAAGAATTTTAACTCTATAGAAAATATGCATTTTTAAAAACAACAAAAAACATATTCTAAAATTTAGTACCTTAGCATTTTAAAGAATGGAGTCAAAATTTACATGTAAATTATGATTCATTAAAAAGTAATGAATTTTTGAGTGAGTATGATACTAGCTGGAGGAAGATGACTAAGCCAGAAGAATTACTAGATGATATTAACACTAGTAAATATAAAGAAAAAAACGCTTTGATCAGCCTAACCTCCTAATTTCCTTGATAAGTTCGAAATCATCACTTTTCTAGACCTATGGAGTCTACTTGGACTCTATGAGGCATGTTTAATGATTCCACATTATAATGTTTGAACACATTTAATTATTCCTACTCCTCTACTTTACTAACTTGATATGAGGATTTAGTGAAATTATACACTATCTCTATTTTCGCTACTTAAAAATTGAGTAGGACATAGTAATACAAGGAGATGTTCTAGAGGGATTCATTATTTAATGTTTTTAAAGTCCTACACAAATGCCAAACTCATTACACTCTGCATGCTGGCAAGTGGCTAGGGTTTAGGAGATAATGCAAGAGCACACATAAATCAAAATTTCAACATGAACGACCTTCTTTTTGGACCAGGGAATGATTAATCACATCACTGGCACTGTGTATGCAGGTTCTTGTTCAATAAGTAAGAGTTGACACCCTTAGGTTGTACCTTCAGCCCCCTCCCTTTGCTTTCACACAGCGGTGGCAGGGGGTTGGGGGAAAGCTAACAATTCTGTGTAGTAGCTGAGTGCCTTTCAAATAACAATCTGGAAAGCACCCAGACTGTCTAACTTTCAACCTCCAGGAAAAAAAGGTGGAATTGCTGTGTCATAGTAAGTTGGTCCCAGACTTCAGTTGGATTACTTCCGAAGATGATACTTAGAGTATTTTCTGTAGATATCAGTTCCATGTCTTGGTAAATGTTATACATAGAAAGTTTCCTTGGACATTTCTTACTGTCTTCTGATTTCTGCTAATACAACTACGACTCTCTTTCACAGTGTTATTTAATAGATCTTAACTTCAAAAATAAAGGAAAGCATCTATATTTGAAAACGTTAACTTCCTTTTTAGTAACTGGATTTTAGAATAAGATATTTAATCATCCAAATAAGGACTTCATTTGGGCCTTAATGATTTATACCAATTCTGCCTTTTCCTAAATTCTGGATGCTTTTTAAGAACAGTGGCTATATGTGTATAATTGATTTTGTATGTATCAATAACACAAGTCACACCTGAGAAGGCTTCATCTGTCCAAGAAAATGGGACACAATACAAATTTTATATTTAATAAAACCAATTGTGAACATTGATAAGCCACTTCTTCCTCATGTTCATAGAAGAGTGGCCTAATTAACCTCTAATCATACATCCAACACAAGATTAACTTTAAAAAGATGATGGAAATGTTTTCCTGCTTCCCTGCTTACCCAGGGCATAAATGCAGCAATAAGAGGCTCTCAATGTTCACCTTCAGCAACCAATTTAAAAGAGGGCCTGACCTGATAGAAGTGAGTGTAGTGGTTCACAGTATAATGGATATTGTGGTGTGCCACCCACAAAAAGTCCTTTATCCAAGAAAATTATCCACTCAGATTTTGGAAGTGTTGACTTCTGAAACCCATGGATATATTCCTGTGTGAGTCAGGATTCTTCAGAGAAACAGAACTGATAGTATGGAAGGATGGATGGAAAGATAGATGCCAGATAGAAAAATAGATAGATAGATAATAGTAATTGGCTCAAATGATTCATTATGGAGGCTGAGAAGTCCCATGATCTGCCATCTGCAAGCTGAAGAGTGAGGAAAGCCTATAGTGTAATTCAGTCCTAGTCCAAAAGCTTGAGAACTAAGAGTGGGGTGCCCATGGTGTAAGTCCTGGGCCCAGTCTAAATGTCAGAAAGTCAGGAGCCCTGATGTCCAGGTGCCAAAGATGAATGTCCTCGCTCAAACAGGAAAAGGAAATTACCCTTTCCTCTGCCTTTTTGTTCTTTATTTTTATTATTATTTTTTAAGAGACAGGGTCTTGCTCTGTCAGCCAGACTGGAGGGCAGTGGCATGATCATAGCTCATAGCAGCCTTCTGAGCTCAAGCAATCCTCCTGCCTCAGCCTCCTAAGTAGTTGGACTTCAGGTGCACACCATTGTCCCTGGCTAATTTTTTGGTTTTTTGTTCAGAGACAGAGTCTCGCTGTGTTGCCCAGGTTGGTCTTGAATTCCTGATCTTAAGTGATCCTCTCACTGAGGCCTTCCAAGGTGCTGCGATTACAGGCATGAGCCACCACACCTGGCCCTGCCTTTTTGTTCTACTTGGACCCCCATGGTTGGATAATGTCACTTACATTGGTGAGGGTAGATCTTCTTTATTCAGTCTATCAATTTGAATCCTAATCTCTTCCAGAAACACCCTCATAGACACAGTCAGAAATAATGTATTCAAAGCTACCTGGGAATCTCTTAGCCCAGACAAGTTGACACATCCTATTAACCAGCGCCTCCCACTTTCAGACTTGCTCTCTAACTAGAGGGAGCTGCCTTACCAAAGTTTATATGCCAAAGATTAACACCCTGGGAGCAGCCCTCATCCAGTGACTAGATGGACATTTCTTGTGTTAACTCTTAATTACCCAGTATTGTGTGTACTTGGTACAATTTGATATTCAGTAATGGAATAATACAAATACTTTTTAAATGGTTTATTAAGAACTTATTATCAGGCTCTGTGCAAAATAACTTGCAAGTATCATCAGTTTTAAGTTTCATCAATCTGAGTGAGCCTGGCATTTTTTTTGCCTACTTTTCATCAGGTGAGAAAAGTTAGCCTTATAGTTAATTAATTTGCCGAAGTTTACATCATTCTATTATTGAGTACAAGAATATCTTCCTTCATGATACCCAAATAGGTATTTTTCAAGTTAAATAAATGCTAGTCATGATAGTCACACCTAAATTGATCATTTCCTGATGTCCCTGGATTCAGGAATAAAGTTGACTCAGGCACAGGCAGAAAACCTTAGAACCCTCCTTGATTTTTCTCTTTCTCTTACATTTCATCCCAACCTGTCTGGAAATTCTGAAGTAAATAAATCCAGAATCAAATGATTCTCACTACCTGCACTATTACCATCCTGCTCCCAGCCACCATTCTATTTTGCAACATTGTTGCAATAGCCTCCTTTATCAGTCAAGATTGTCCAGAGAAACAGAATAGGCTATGTGTATATGGCTGTGTGTATATGGGTATGTGCATATATACACATTATAAACATGTATATACACATGTGTGTGCATACATCATCATATATTTATAAACATATATATACATACATATTAGGTGAGGCCCACCCACATTACTGAGGATAATCTCCATTAATTAAAGTAAACTGATTATAGGTATTAACCACATCTACAATATGTCTTCTCGGCAACATCTAGATTAGTGATTGAATAAATAAATTGGCACTATAGCTTAGACAAGTTTACATATAAAACCAACCATTGTATCTCCTACCTGGTCTCCTTGCTTCGCCTTATGTCCTACTACCCACAATCTATTTTTCAACATAGGACCACAGTGATTCTTTAAGATATAAGCCATATCATGTTATTCTTCTGCTTCAAACTTTCCAATAGCCCTTCATACTACTCTCAGTAAAACCCGAGGTCCTTACAAAGGCACCCAAGGCCTTGAATGATCTGGTTCTCTATTCTCTACGCCCTGTTTTCATCTCCTGCTATTCCGACCCTGGTCACACTCTCCTCTCTCCTGTTTTCTCAACACACCAGGTACATTCTCAATGCCTTTGAGGTATTTATTCTGTTTACAATATCCTTCCCCTAAGATGTAAACATGACTAATTTCTTTCTTCTTCAAGTTTTTATACTCTCAATGTAGTGTATTCTTACTAAGTATTTAAAATTCTACCTGATGCATTCCTTCTCTGATATTGCCTATCCCTGTATTCTGTTCTACCTTTTGTCCTCATAGCATTTAAACCTTTGTAATATAGCTGTTATATATTGACTTTGCCAGAAGAATGCATCCCCGACAAAGAAAGTAATCTTTGTTTATTGGTCTCTACACTAGCCCAAATGCCTAGACTGGTATCTGGCAAATAATAGCTATTAAATAAACATTTGTTTAATGAATGAATTTAGGCTAGTAATGTATTAATAACTTGCCAATTTACTATAATACATCTAAAAACAGCAATTTTGTATTCTCTCCCTTTCCGAACCTCACACTGCTGTATATTTTTTTATTTTTAGGTGGATAATACCATCTTTTTTCTTTTTATTTTAGCACTATTTCTACTTTTAAGGGAAATGATGTAAGAATATAATATACATGTCACACGTGTATTAACTAGTTAGAATGGAAATAAGAATGTGTAATTAATATTTTACTTTTATTTTAAGTTCAGGGACATATGCGCAGGTTTGTTACATAGGTAAACTTGTGTCATGGGCATTTGTTGTACAGATTATTTTAGCACCCAGGTATTAAACCTAGTACCTCTTAGTTATTTTTCCTGATACCCTCCCTCCTCCCACCCTCCACCCAGTAGGCCTCAATATCTGTTGTTCTCCTCTATGTGTCCACGTATTCTCAACATTTTCTCCCACTTATAAGTGAGAACATGTGGTATTTGGTTTTCTGTTTCTGTATTAGTCTGCTAAGGATAATGGCTTCCAGCTCTATCCATGTTTCTACCAAGGACGTGATCTTGTTCTTTTTATGGCTGTCTTCCATGGTGTATATGTACTACATTATCTTTATCCAGTCTACCACTGATGGGCATTTAGGTTAATTCTATGGGTATATTCCTTTGGGTATACCCAGTAATGGGATCGCTGGATTAAATGGTAGTTCTGTTCTTAGGTCTTTGAGGAATCGCCACATTGTTTTCCACAATGGTTGAACCAATTTAAGAATGTATAATTAATTAAATAATTGGATTAGGGAAATCAGGCTTCTTAGATTATAAGTGAAAAACACCCATGGACTGCCGAGGTAACCATGCCCAGGAGTATACATTTTCAAGGCTATAATTTTAGGAACTCTTTGTTTCAGGTATGGTACTTAACCTAGTATCTATTATATAATATGTTTATCAGATTGGTTTAAATGGTGATAATCTTCTTTTTCACTGACAACTCATTTTGATTGATGATAATTGTAATAGCTGGAGCTAAAGAGAAGACAAGATTTGCAAAGTTGAAGGTTACCTAATATCTTTTCCTTTATGGCTTATTTTTTCCCTTGTATCTTCATTCTCATGGTATTTCAAACTAAAAGTAGAAGCAACAAACCCATTTGATGGACTTTGTATCACAATGCAGTCTTAAGTTCTTCTTTGCCCTACAAGAAACACCTTTGGAAGATGCTCCTCAGCTTCAAATTTGAAAAAGAAAGCATCTCTCAGATTCCACAAAGTTTCTTGAGTCATGCCAACCAGGAGAAACTGAAATAACCTTGGTCTTGCAAAATTCCCTCATCTCTGTACCTCTCTGATAGGGGTTACATAGAAATATGTCTGCTATGGAGAAGATAAGTAACATCTAGGAAATAACATTTCATCCTATTCACAGGTATCTACTGTCTAATTTTTCTCTCTCTGTCACAATATATATATTTTTGAATTGATTATCATACACATAAAGTTGCTGATATTAAAAAATATAGCAATAAGAATTAAGGTCTTAAAACCTCTGGCCCACATTCACTCTCCTAGAGCTCTTATTTAGGTCTTTAAATGTGCCAGGCTTTTTCTCAACTCAGGGCCTCTGCACATCATATTTTTTTCTGGCTGAAACACTCTTCTTCATTTGGCTAAAATAATCTGACATTAGCATAGATTTAAATTTCCTAAGAAAGCCTTCTTAGACTCCTCTGCCTGGGTGCAGTCTTTTATTTTTTTTTCTTCCCAAAAACCATTTTCCTCTTTCTTATAATTGAATATTTATGCAATACAGGTGCTTGTGGAACAAATTCCTGGGTCTCTGTTGGGTATTAATTGAAACTGTTCCTATGACTGAAGGACATAAGATAATCTTGAAATCTGAAACACCCACAATGTCTTGGGAGATGATGAAGAAACGTTTTTATAAAGAGGGTAGTGTCCAGAAGAGTTTCATAATAAAATAAGTATGGTTTGTGCAGAAACATGTTACTGAGGGAATGCAGGATGGTAATTATTGAGCCTTTTTTCCCATAGGTCTGACTTGGAACCACATGAGTAACTGACACATCCTATGGTCACATGGACAGTGCCCTATGAACAGCTCTCTGTTGACCAACAAAAAGATGCTTCGTTTATAGATGGCATTTTCAAGGTGGAAACACAGCATCCTATTTGGAAGACTGCTGCACTAAGACCAGCATATGAAATGACTGATTGAAGAAGGTAAGAACAAACCAGTTCAATGAGTTTATTTGCATACCGTTTTCCTTGCTGTGATGAAAGAATTGAATGGTGATAAAAGTCCACTATGTTTGGGCCTTTACTGACCCATGAGTGGTAGCCAGTGGTTTGGCCATATGGTCAGGCAGATGGGCAATGGAAAACTGCATTAGAAAAGGGATGCCTATGTGGGGGATGGCCCTATGAAAATCACTATGGGAATTTAAGGAGCACATTAGAGAAGGAGGTACTGAAGAGAGTATTCGGTAAATGACACATGGGGAAAAGAGTGAAAAGAATATTAAGGGCAAAGGGAATAACAAGTTCAAAATTCCTAAGACAGATACATGCTTAAAATAGTCAAGGAAAGCCAGTTGGGCTGTAGCTGTTATCTTGCCAGGAAAAATAGTTGGCTCTGAGATCAGGCAGTTTGCAAAAGACTGTATTATATATGTCCTTTGTAATCCACGTTAACAAATCTGGTTTTTATCCTATAAACTGAAAAATCATTGGAGAGGTTTGAGCAGAAAGGTAAAATGACGTACTTTTTAGAGAATTTCTCTAGCTGGTAGTTGGAAAATAGATTGTGGAGGACAGTGGCACACACAGTAATGTTCACCAATATTTACTTGCCCCACGTTTCTTAGCCCCTGAAAAGTTAGAGAGTTCCCATGCCCACTCTCTCTGACAAGACCTGCAAGGTCGGGGTTTCCCAAAAACCAATGATTTGCTAAAATGACTAGCAGAACTGATGGAAATTATTATACTCATGGTTACAGTTTATTGCAGTGAAAGAGTACAGATTAAAATTAATCAAGGGAAGAGGTACATAAGGCATATTCGAGAGCTCCACATGCAGATTTTCCAGCGTCCTCTCCCAGTGTATCTTGAACAACACTGTCTTCTCCCAGAAATGATTTTTGACAATATGTATGGGGTATTGCCAACCAGGTAAGCTTACTTGAGCTTTGGAAGACAAAATTCAGCCTACAAAGTAGGAGCTTTGATTTGCTCATTCCAATGACTGGAAGAATTCCTTACAAATAATAACTACTTAATCAGTATTTGCTGAATGAATGAATTCAAGTCAAGCATAAAATTGCTGTTGAAGACAAAGATTTAAGACACAATCCTCACTATCAAAAAGCTCACATCATGCTGGAAGAAATGAGTACAATGGGCATCATATTATAATATTATGAGTGCTGTGCTGAAGGTATACACTAGCTGTTATAGAGAAACCAAAATTCATAGCATGGAGATCTGGGAACACTCCTCTATGGAGTGTTCATCTCACTGTGTTAAGTGAAATGTTGAAATTGATCATGGGGAAAAGGAAGATAACATTCTATGTAGAGGAAATAGTACATATAAATGGAAAGAGGCAAGAAAAAGTATGGAACGTTTGAGGAACTGCAAGTAGTTTGGTAAGGATCCAATAAGGATACAGGGAAAGGTAATACTGCAAAGGCATAAGAAGGCAGATCAGGAAGGGCCTTGCGTAAGCTAAAGAGTTCAGATTTTATATTTAATGAGCTGGTAAACCATTGATACCTTTAAAATAGATGAGTGACATACTAGTGTGAAATTTTGGAAAGATCATTGATAATTGTGTACAGAATAAATTAGAAAGAAATGAAGAAGACCAAAAAAGGTAAACTTTTGAAATATAATCAAATGAAATAATCAGTAACCAAAGGGAAAAACACTGAAAGTCTAAACTTAAGGGGTGCCAGGATGGTGAGGAATAATGAATGGAATTGAGAGCTATATCAGATGGAAAATTACTAGGTCAAAATGACTTGATTTGCAGTAGAGTATGGAGAATAAATCCAGGATGGCATCCAAGTGGCTATTGTCAGCAGTAGATAAATGGTGGTACCATTCACTGAAAAAAATATATATCTGTTGGCAGAGTTCAGATGAAGAGAGGCAGGAGTTTTAGTGCATAAGTAAATGCAAGAGTAAGAATTATTATTGGAGATTTTTTTTTTTTTGAGACAGGGTCACTGTTTGCCCAAACTGGAGTGCAGTGGTGTGATCTTGGCTCACTGCAACCCCAGCATCCCCAGCAGCTGGACTACAAGTGCACACCACCATGTCCAGCTAATTTGTAGAGACAGGATCTCGTCATGTTGCCCAGGCTGGTTTCAAAGTCCTGAGCTCAAGCAAGTCACCTACCTCAGCCTCCCAAAGTGCTGGGATTACAGGTATGGGCCACCATGCCCAGCCTATTATTGGATGTCTTAATTCTGAGCTAGATCATCTAAGAGTAATATTCCATAAGCAATTAATGGGAAATTTTGGAATTCAGGGCAATTCTGGTTGGAAAACAATGATAATGTGTTTTGAATATCTACAGAGTGTCAGATATTTTTAGATTGTAGGAAACCCAGAACTTCACCTTGTAGAATTTAGAAAGGTAGCTCAAGTATTATCATTATTCAATAATTTCTTATTTTCAGTGAATTTACTGCATTCTTTATATTTTTCTTGTGCTTCTTTGCATATATTGCCCCTCTTATTAATACGGATGCCCAGGGCAACATAATTTCAAAAGTTTAAGTTTCATCATTTAAAAGTTTTAGCCTTGAAATATCTTCTATTCTATTCTTTCAGGTGGGTTTATAGAAGCTGTCAAATCACACAGACATATGCACACACACACACACACACAGAAACACATACACACACACACACACACACAGAGAGAGAATGAACTAACTTCAATAGACCTGGCTGTTCATTTAGGCCACCTTAGCAATGAAAGTGAATTGCTGCATGAATGATTTGGCAGTGACAACCAGTGTCATGTCATGCCAACAGCTGAAACAAACAGGTTAATTGGATGGGATTCTAGCTCAGCACTATGGTTTTATAGTTTGACAAAATATTAATTGTACCTTTGTAGAGAGCTTTGTATATATTTTCTTAATCAAGTAAAGGAAAGAATGATTGAGATTTCCATTCCTTTAGCAGGTTCTCCATCATATCACTAAAGGCTGTGAGAGTTTCTAATGGCCGAGATTCCTGAAATATTAGGATTCACTGCCACAGATGCCTTTGGAAGTACCTATCTCAAACTCTTCCTTTTTATTTGAAATTTCCATTGTACGTTTTAAATTACAGCATAGCACCACAGTGGCAAATGGAAGGCCATGGTTCTTGGAAAAAAAATAATAAAAAGAAAGGGCCACAAGGTCAAAAGATATTTTTCTGGAGAATCTTGCAATATACCAAGTGATGCCTTGGGAAAAAAAGCAAAGCTGTTTAAAAAGACAGCAGCTGCTATAATGCTGCTTCATTACAGACCCAGTGGAGCAGAAGCAATGCATCCATTTTGCCTTTTTCTTCATTGATGATATCAATGGAGCATTAATGGAATTCTTATAGTCTACTGGTACAGTATAAATTTAGCCTGACTAAATCTTATATTGTCTATATTATAATACTTTTTTATACTAGAGAAGAGCCTCACTAGTTTCCTTTTTATATAAAAAAAGTCACAATTAGGATATATTTTCAGATCCACAATAAATAAGTCATTGATACAATTTTTTTAAAAAATGTATTTTACCATTAGGAGAATAGGTAGAATTTCAGTCTAAATTAAAACCCTTATTAACAAGCTTGTTTCACAGAAATGTCACACAGCCTTTCTCCAGTTAACAAAGTCAAAGTGCTTTTATTGTTGTTTATTGATTTCACTTATTTAATTCTCCTTTAACAGAAAAAGGTTAGTTTCTCTTTGTTCTTTTATTTTGTTAACAAAATAGGTTGTGCTTTCGAAACCAACAAATTATGCAAATTACTTAGCATTTATCTTGATTTTTAAAAAATCGTGTCCAAACTATGATCTTAGGGTTGTCCATTTATATAAGAATTTTAGGGCTAGACAGGAACCCAGATGTTTCAAGTGGATTTGCAAATGGCAAAGTGCTGCTTGTTGGATCTGCCTGTAAATCTATTTGCAAATGCAAATCCTCTTTCCAAACAGATCAGAGTTTTTTTAGGTCCAACAAAAATCCTTGAGCAAAGCAAAAATGCTGATGGAATGTACATGTGTCACTTCTGTGGATTTCTATCCAAATGCTTTTGCATCTTCCTAGTGTACTTTCTAGGATGGTAGCATAAAAGAGAATGCAATGACACTTATTTTCAGGGGATTCTGAATGCATCCTACTGCTATTTAAGGGACAGCAGAAGCTGTGGTTAATCCAAACATCTCCCTTTTTTCTGCATGAAGTGACTCAGAGCACTCCCTACTTCCGTTGTGTCCCCTTGATGCATTGATACAGCTTGAAAGGTAGTTTCCATTTGTCTACAGCTACTGAGACTCTCTCATAGTTTCCATTTGTCAGCAGCTACTGAGACTCTCCCTTTTGCATGCCTTATCTTCTCTGTTCATGACTCTCTAAAAGATCCATGTCCCCAGGATCTAGACCATAAGTGCAGCTTTCCACTGATGCCTGTATGTTAAGGTCAGTAAATCATTCTGAGTTTTACTCTCCCTTGCCCCCAATAATAATAATAGCAAACACTTTTATAGTACTGATCATGTGTATTAACTCATTTAATCTTCAGCACTACTCCATCACATGCACATGGGTCTCCTTCTCCATGTCCTGTGCTCCTCTAATATAAAAGGTTAATGGTGGGAATAAAAGGCATGGATAGCTTTTTTTGCTCTCAAATATGTCATCTTCTCTCCTTACATTTTACCGCTGCCCTTAATCAAGGCTGCACTGTTGCCATAGCCTCCTACCCGTTACCTGCCACATTGCAGACTTGCCCTCTTTGAAGTCCATTCCTCTGAGCTTTTGCTAAAATGACTACTCTGAACTGTAGACCTAACCTTGTCATTATTCTGCTTTAATGTTACTCTACCACCTACAGAATAAAGGCCATGATCCTTAGGATGGAATATAAAGCCTGTTATGCCCTGACCACATCTACTTATCTAGTTTCTTTTCTCACTACTTTCTTCTTATCCCCGAGTGACTTTTGAATTCAATCCCTTGTACACAATATTATTTCCATGCCTTTTTAAACATGTTAATATAAGTTACATGGACTTGGCTGAAATGTCTTTCATCTCCCTACCATCCATTGGCCCATTCTCCATGCCCCCAACACACACATGCATGTGCACAGACACACACATAAACACACATACACACACACATACAGACAACACACACACACACACACACACACACACACACACACACATACTCTGATACCAGGCTAGCATGTGCTCACCCTTTAAGAGCCCAGATAATGGTCATATCATCTACTGTCTTCCCCAGGGCTGTCCCCAGCCCCAGATTACAGTAAGTGGTTGATATGGTTTTGGTTCCCACCCAAATCTCATCTCAAATCCCCACTTGTTAAGGGCAGGACCTGGTGGAAGGTGATTGGATCATGGGGGCGGTTTTCCCCATGCTGTTCTCATGATAGTGAGTGAGTTCTCACAAGATCTAACGGTTTTATAAGGGCTCTTACCCCTTTGCTCATTCACTCTTCTCTCTCTTGCCACCATGTGAAGAAGCTTTCTTTCTGCTTGGTCTTCCGCCATGATTATAAGTTTCCTGAGGCCTCCCCAGCAATGCAGAACTGTAAGTCAATGAAATCTTTTTCCTTTATAAATTACCCAGGCATTGGTATTTATTTAAAGCAGTGTGAAAACGGACTAATACAGTGAGTTTCCTCTGTGTTCCCTTAGTACATATGCAAATATTTAAATTTCCATTTAAAGATTTGCCTTCCTCATTACATTGTGAGCTCTTTAAGGGCAGAATCTGTGTCATTCTTTCCTTCCCCACAGCTCTCAACACATGTTTATTGAAGTAAACTAAATTCCCACATGTATGTACCTGATAACAAATAGTTCTCAGAGGCTTTGACCCACAAAGAGGAATTTGTGAATGAGAAACAAGAGGTCTATAGCTAGGGGTAAACAAGATACTTTGAGCCAATGGTATCTTTTCCTCATGTCTTCACAACATCTTAGTAGATTATTTAGTCAGTTTGTGAATAAGGCTGATTAGAAGTGAAAGTTGAGACTATAACTACCCAGGCAAAATTATAATGAAAAAGAAAAATAGGGAAAACAATCTGAAATCTGCCGATTAGAAGACTAGTATCCTGAGGAAGAGTTGAAAAGTGCAGATTTATTTTTAAGTAAGCAACCCTGAGGCTAGGTTTAACATGATGCCAAAATAACTTGTGTGTTCAATCAAAATAATATTCTGTTCATCTGTAAAAAATCATTTAAACCGATATTTTCTTATAATAAAGAAAAAAACAAGCAATTGATTGAATTGTTTATCTTTGAACTCCCTTGATGAGCCACCAAGGAACCAAAGCCTGAGTGTATTTATTTAGAGAGGCAGGTGCTTTTATTCTCTTGTAATGCAGAGATCAGTGCAATAAGATGGAGTTGCTCAGGGGCAATGGGAGAGAACGATAATTGTAGATATGGTATTTAAATGTTATGTATTTAAGATAAAAATACTGTACTGAGTTTATGATTTGGGGAAAGTTTCCAAGGCATTTAACATAGTAAGAACTTTTTCCATCATCCTTGCTAAGGCTGAATTGCAATGTTATGATCTTTTGAGCCCCAAAAGTAAATAATTGTGTCCACAGATTTTTGATGCTTTAATCTCATGTGTTTCATTAGACAGTGAATATTTACTTAAAATAAACCCCTGCCATTTTCCAACTTGACTCACAAATTGGAAAAAAAAAGTTATATATGCTTTTATTATCTTTAAGCCTACTTTAAAAGAGAGACTTAAATTTAGAAATACCAGAATGTATTTACATGTTCGTAATTCAAATCTGACTGGCTGCAAATACTTATTTCCAAATTATATCAATGATATTTAAATAGATTCTAATTGAAATGTAATGATGGGGTAATAATCATAATGCAACTTGCTTAAAAAATTTATGACTATGTTCAAATATTACTGTCTTATAAATTACTTCTCTTATAAACGTTATGCCAAAGTTTTGACACCCATTTAAAATTCAGTTTTTTAGAGATTTAAGCATTATCAGGAAATAAGAATACTCTCTTCTTGCATAAATGTTAAATAAAATAACTTGTTTCCCTTAAAGATCCAAGAAATTTAAATAGACAGCATTTTATAAACATGACTTATGCTAGTTAACAATCATGTCTTTTTTTAAATAAAATTCCAAAAGTTATTTGAATCCAGGAATGTTTGCTTCTCTCATTTTTCCAAAGCGATATTAGACTAATTTTTGAAGGTCAAAGTTGATCCATCACGTAGTTCTGAATATTAAAGGTAAAACTAATAGAAGTAAACATTCTATGGTAATAAAATGTATAGGTGAGAATTGAACAATGAGATCACATGGACACAGGAAGGGGAACATCACACTCTGGGGACTGCTGTGGGGTGGGGGGAGGGGGGAGGGATAGCATTGGGAGATATACCTAATACTAGATGATGAGTTAGTGGGTGCAGTGCGCCAGCATGGCACATGTATACATATGTAACTAACCTGCACAATGTGCACATGTACCCTAAAACTTAAAGTATAATAATAAAAGAAAAAAATTAAACTGAAACTGAAAAAAAAAATACACACTGGCCAAACGTCTTAAATTTATTTTCTAAGTTATTATTAACTCCTCCACATGAAATAGTAGTCAGTTATACCACAGGAGTTTTACTTAAGTAAAACTCTGAAGTAGGATCTTACTGAAGTAGGATCGTTAACAACAGAGTAAGCTCTGCTAACTTACTGGTAGACATAATCTTTGGTTTTGATGGTTTCTTACCCATTTTTTTTAGCCGTTTCACAGTACGTATCTACAGAGCAAATATCACTAAATGTCTTTTTTTACCTGTAAGTGGTCCCTGTTCTCCAGAAAACACGAAATTGTCCAACAAACACATGAGTAAACAAAGGGCAGACATTTTGTGGAGCAGAAATAGCTCTGAAATGCCTGTTTTAGTGCCCTCTCAATCATGAGAAATATTAAATAGCTGGCAGAAATAATTTTGAGATACATTAAAATACATCTATTCCACAAGAAAATGCTTTAAAAATACATGGCACAATTAAAAGTGTTGAATTTTTTTTTAAAGATCAATGCTATAATCCAAATTCTTTATTAATTTCTGAAATGTAGACAAAATTAAAATACCTGATTTTTATCTTACCAGGAATAATGTAGTATTTCCAAAAGATTCATTTGCATTAATTAAAAAAATTAAAACCACACAGTTTACTAAACTGCAAACCTACTGGTACAAAAGAACAACTCCATCAATGGCTGCTTGAAAAAGATTGCAGCTATTATAAGCAAATTACAGGGCAAACGTAATATTTTTAAATGCAACATCCAAAAATAATGACTTATTTCTCAGTACAAGAGAAATAACACGTCTCCTACACCAACCCCCAGAGTACTATGTGTTCAAAAACAAAAGTTCAGGAACTAAGTACTTCAGTGACACCTTTACCTTAAGGATCAGAATTGGAGTTATACTTGAGGTCTTAGGTGAAATGAGTTTGACGGATTAGGTTCGGTTACTGGCTGTCAGTGCACTACATAAAAAACACCACACATACAGAGCTTAGTGAAACTAGCTGTTTTCTGCACAGGAAAATTCCTTGATAGAGTTAGCATGAAGACAAATGAACTGTTATCCCCCAAGAAAGGTGTCCCTTTAGGTTAGGATTGAGGTGAGCAATACCAAACAGTAAGAGCACTTGACTTCCCATGGCTGACAGACTCATTACCTTTGTAAATATCGAGGCTTAGCTTTGAATCCTGGAACTCTTCTTTGAGTTTCTGGAGAGTGCTAGTAACTAACCAATTACCAAAACAATAAAGACATTAAAATGGGAGAAGACAAGAGTAGTGTAAACAAATTTCCTTCATTTTCCACCATCAAACAAAGTTGTTTAAATTTTCTCTCTCCTTTATTTTTACATCCTTATCCCTTCAATTTATCCAAAGCACTTAAAATATATTCTTCTTATTCACCATAATAGGTGTCCTGTGATATACCGAGTTTTATTATTATTATTATTATTAACAGGCAAGAAAACGAGATCCTAAGCAGGATTAACTCCAGAAGAGCAATGGCATGACTCAAAATTTGTATTTGTCAGTGTCCAAAACCACTGCTCTTCCGCAAGTCTTTTTCATATACATTATTTCTCTGTAATCTATTTCACTTATGATAGCTATACATTTGGTGTCACGTATATTAGGTATTTTCCCTTATTCCTTTTATACTATTTTTTTCTCTTTGTACATTCTAATCAATTTATTCACATGGTCAAACACTAACAGAGGATATTTATGAAAATTTCTATTTAAAAACTTTAAACATCTAATACGTTCTCAATTATTTTCTTTATACAGGCATACTTCAGAAATATTGTGGGTTCAGTCCCAAACCACGACAGTAAAGTGAATATTGCAATAAATTGAGTCACACAGGCTTTTTGGTTTCCTACACATATAAAAATTATGTTTACACTATACTATAATATATTAAGTGTGCAATAGTATTATGTCTAAAATTCAATGTACATAACTTCGTTAAACATACTTTATTGCTAAAAATGCTAACAATCATCTGAACGTTCAGCAAGTCATAACCTTTTTGTTGGCGGAGGATCTTGCCTCAATTTTAATGGCTGCTTACTAATCGGGGTGGTGGTTGCTAAAGGTTGGAGTGGCTGTGGCAATTTCTTAAAATAAGACAACAATGAGGTTTGCTGCATTGACTGACATCTCATAATGAAAGATTTCTCTGTAGCATGCAGTGCTGTTTGATAGCATTTTACCCCACAGTAGAATTTCATTCAAAGTTGGGGTTAATCCTATCACACCCTGCCACTGCTTCATTAACTAAATTTATGTAATATTCTAAATCCTTTGTTGTCATCTCAACAATGTTAATAGCATCTTCACCAAGAGTAGCTTCCATCTCAAAAAAAAAAAACATTTTCTTTGCTCATCCATACAAAATAACTCCTATCCATTAAAATTTTATTATGATATTGCAGCAATTCAGTCACAACTTAAGGCTCCACTGCTAATTCTAGTTCTCTTGCCATTTCTACCACATCAGCAGTTCTTTCTTCAAATAAAGTCTTCAGTCCCTTTGGGTATATACCCAGTAATGGGATTGCTGGGTTGAATGGTAATTCTGCCTCTAGGTTTTTGAGGAATCACCACATTGTCTTTATGTGGCTGAACTAATTTACACTCCCAGCAACAGTGTAAAAGTGTTCCTTTTCCTCCACAACCTCACCAGCATCTGTAGTTTTATGAGTTTTGAATAATAGCCATTCTGACTGGTGTAAGATGGTATCTCATTGTGATTTGGATTTGTATTTCATTCTGTTATAAAATGCATGCATGCCTATTTTCATAGCAGCACTATTCACAATAGCAAAGACATGGAATCAAGCTAAATGCCCATCAATGATAGACTAAATAAAGAAAATGTGATACATATATACCATGGAATACTATGCAGCCATAAAAAGGAATGAGATTGTGTCCTTTGTAGGGACATGGATCAAGCTGGAAGTCATTATCCTCAGCAAACTAACACAGAAACAAAAAACTAAATACTGCGTATTCTCACTTGTAAGGGGGAGCTAAGTGTTGAAAACACATGGACACATGATGGGGAATAATACACACTGGGGCCTGTCAGGGGGTGGGGAGGTGGGAGGAGGGAGAACATCAGGAAGAATAGCTAAGGGATGCTGATGTTAATACCTAGGTGATGGGATGATCCATGCAGCAAACCACCATGGCACACATTTAACTATGTAACAAACCTGCACATCCTGTACATGTACCCCTGAACTTAAAAGTTGAAAATTAAATAAATATATAAGTAAATAAAGAGTAAAACAGTCTTGAATCCCTCAAAATCATCCTTGAGGGTTGGAAACAATTTCATCCAAAATCCTATTAATGTTGATATTTTGACCTCCTTCCATGTATCACAAATGTTATTTGTAGAGATGGGGTCTCACTATGTTGCCAGGGCTAATCTCAAACTCCTGGGCTCAAGTGATCCTTCTGTCTCAGACACCCTAAGTGAGGGGATTACAGGCATGAGCCATGATGCCTAGCAAATTACAAATGTTCTTAAACACATCTAGAACAGTAAATTCTTTCTAGAAATTTTTCAATTTGCTTTGCCAGATCTATCTGAGGAATCACTAACTATGGCAGCTATAGACTTATAACCTACTCTTCTTTCTTTCTTTCTTTCTTTCTTTCTTTCTTTCTTTCTTTCTTCTTTCTTTCTTTCTTTCTTTTTAATTTTTGTGGGTATATAGTTGGTGTATATATTTATGGAGTTCATGAGATGTTTTGATACAGGCATGCAATGCGTAATAATCACATCATGAAGAATGGAGTATTCATTTCCTCAAGCATTTATCCTTCGTATTACAAACAATCCAATTATACTCTGTTATTTTAAAATGTACAATTCAGTTATTATTGAGTGTAGTCACCGTGTTATGCTATCAAATACTTGAAATTTATTTATTAAATAATACAACCTGAAAGTCAAATTTACTTGTTGATCCATGGGCTGTAGAATGGATATTGTGTTAGCAGGCGTGAAACAATACTAATCTCCTTGAACATCTCCATCACAGCTCTTGGGTAACTAGGTACATTATCAATGAACAGTAATATTTTGAAATGAATCTTTCTTTTCTGAGTGGTAGATCTCAACAGTGGGCTCAAAATATTCAGTAAACCATGCTGTAAATGGATATGCTATCATCAGGCTTCATTGTCCTGTTTATAGAGCATAGGCAGAGTAGATTTAACATCATTCCTTGAGGGTCATAGGTTTTCCTGAATGGTAAATGAGTACTGGCTTCAACTTAAAGTCTTCAACTGCAATACTGCCTAATAAGAGAGTCAGTCTGTGCTTTGAAACTATGAAACCAGTTATTGACTTCTCCTCTCAGCTATGAAAGTCATAGGAGTGATCTTATTCCAATACAAGGCTGTTTGGGCTACATTGAAAATCTGTCATTTGGTGTAGTCGCCTTCCTCAGTGATCTTAGCTAGATCAAGATAATTTGCTGCAACTTCTACATCGGCTCTTTCCGCATCACCTTGCACTTCTTTGTTATGGAGGTGACTTTTTCCTTAAACCTCATGAACCAACCTCTGCTAACTTCAAACTTTCTTCTGTAGCTTCCTTACCTCTCTTAGCCTTTACAGAATTGAAGAGAGTTAGGGCCTTGCTCTGGATTAGGCTTTGGCTTAAGGAAGTATTATGGCTTGTTTGATCTATCCAGACAACTAAAACTTTCTCCATAACAGCAATAAGACTGTTTTACTTTCTTATCATTTGTTCATTCACTGGGGTAGCACTTTCAATTTTTTTCAGGAACTTTTCTTTTGCATTCATAGCTTAGCTAACTGTTTGGTGCAAGAAGCCTACCTTTAAGCCTGTCTCAGTTTTTGACATGCCTGCCTCACTAAGCTTAATCATTTCCAGCTTTTGACTTAAAATGAAAGAAATGCAACTCTTTCTTTTATTTGAATACTTAGAGGCCATTTTAGTGGTATTAATTGGCCTAAGGTTAAAATTGTTGTGTGTCTGGAAATAGGGAGGCTGAGGGAGGGAGACAGATGAACGAGAAGAATGGCTAGTCAGTGTAGCAGGCAGAAGACACACAACACTTAGCAACTAAGCCTTACATGGGCTGTCTTACATGGGCACAGATCATGGTACCCCCAAACAATTACAGTAATGACATCAAAAATCACTAATTACAGATCACTGTAACAAATATAATAATGAAAAATTTGAAATATTGTGAGAATTACCAAAATGTGACACAAAGCCATCAGGTGCATACATGCTGTTGAAAAGTTGGTTCCAAGAGACTTGTTCAATGCAGAGTTTCTAGAAAACTTCGATTTGTAAAACACTCAGCATCTACAAAGCACATTAAAATGAGGTATGCCTGTATACTATTTAATATTTTTTTAACTCAATATATCATGGGCACAATGCTTTTTTATATAATTAAACTTTTTCAAGATGTATCTAGAGTTCATCATAGGGATATACAATAATTTATTTAATGTGACGATTATTTTTAATTTTTCCAAAATATACACTAATTTTTTTAATTTCCCATAATATCATTACTAAAAATCATGTAAAGCAGTAAAAGCCCTTTCTCCTGCTCTTGCTGTAATATTCCCAAAGTTTAATCTTCTTCTGTGGATCTTTCTCAATAATTTTCTAAATAGATAATTATATATCAATCGGTATATATGTAGATCTAACACAGATCTCACTCAACAGCTCTATTTTCTTTGATGCTACCTGTCTCATGTATCCTTGGCCACCTACTCTGCCATAGCCACCAGTCATAACCTGTGGTACCTTGTTCAGGCCCAAATAGCTCTGCTGCTGTGACAACCAGTAAGCTGTCTTAGGAATATAGCCTCTGATACATAGCCAGGTCCAGCAGTGATTGCCCAGAGACTCCAGCTCTTTCCTCCACTAGGAACCCACAGCTGACATGGGGCTCTGGCATTCCATCTCACCATTAAAGGGGCAAAATGATACAGTCTGGAGGTATGAGGGAGTTAATGCCCTCTGGGGAATGCTTTGTCGGGGGAAAAGAAGACAGAAGGAAGCTGAAGAAATAAATTCCTCTCTCCATAATCTACTCTGAGGCTGGGTATCTATTTTTGGCTCACCTGGAAGTGTTTCATTTCAAGCAGATATTCCTTCTAACTAATTCACTATAGTTTCGTGGCTTCTTATAAAGTAATAACTATTGTCTCCCCTTTCTAGCCACCCTTAGTTCTCTTTTTTCTTACCCATGCTGCCCTTTGTTTCATCTTCAAAACAAAACATCTAATATTTGTATCAGAAAACCCAGTCTAAAATAATAGATATGTCTATATATGTGTTGAAAAATTAAACAGAACAAATATTAAACAAAATAGCTCTGAATCATCCATTTTTCCAACAACAAATCACAAGGGAAATTAGAAAATAACTTAAGTACATGGAAAATAATAACAGAATAAATCAAAATATATGAAAAGAAGCTAAAATAATGTTTGGAGAGAAACTTATAGATTCAAATGTTTTACTAGAAAAGAAAGTCTCAAATCAATTATTTACCTTTGAACTTAAGAAACTAAAAAAAGGAAGCAAGGAAATAGAAGAGAAGAAATAATAACAATCAGAACAATAATTAATGAAACAGGAAACAAAACGAATAGAGAAAACAATAGAACTCATAGTTGTATATTTGAAATAATCAATAAAATTTGCAAATATTTTACTAGAATCATCAAGATGAAAAAGAGAAGACACAGATTTTTACTCTCAGGAATGAAAGATAGAACCTCACAACAGATTGAACAGAAATATAAAAAGAATTCAAGGTAATGTAATGAACAACTTACATTAACAAGTTTAAAAACAGAAATGAAATAATCAAATTCCTAGGAAGTTATTAAGTAGCAAAATTGACTTACAAATAGGAAATCTTAGTAGATCTATATAAAGTAAAAACAATGGAATTAGTAATTAAATATATTCCCATGAAGAAGAGCATAGTACCAGATGGCTTAACCTGTGAATTCCATCAAACATTTAAAGAATAAAGTATGTGAGTCATACACAAACATTTTCAGCAAATAGAGAATAGAACATATGCCAAAGCATTTTAGAGGGCCAGTATTAGCTTGGTATAAAAGCAAGATGGAGACATCAGAAGAAAAAAGTGCCAAACAATCTCTCTCATAACTATAAATGCAAATGTTTAACAAAATGGAAGCAAATTAAATCCAACAATATCTATAATTGTAATACATCATAACTCTCTAGATTTAATCCTAGTAATGCAAATTTGGTTTATTATCTGAAACCCAATGAACATAGTACATCATATAAATAAAATAAAGTAGAAAATCCCTAGAATCATCTTGAAAGACTTGTAAAAGAATTTTCACAAAATTCAACACTAATTCCTGATTACTTACAACAAACGTGCTGGAAAAAATATATGTGACAAAACTAGCATAATAGACAGAGGAGAATTATTGGGATTATGCCATTTTTAGGTTCTTACCTGAACAAAAATGTTAAAATATTAACTCAAGGTATACTGTGATAAAGATACATATTGTAATCTTGCAACTAACAATTTAAAAATTAAAACAAAGAGGTATAGTTAAAAAGCCAGTAGAAGAGATAAAACACAATATTAAAAAACAATCACACTAAAGAAAAACTAGAGAAAAAAAGAAACAGAAACAAACATAAAACAAATAGCAATAGGGTACACTGAAACCTAATCATCTCAACAACCACATTAAGTATAAAAGTATAAAAAGTTACATTAAGTATAAAAGGGCCTGGGCTTGGTGGCTCACACCTGTAATCCCAGCACTCTGGGAGCATGAGGGTGGAGGATGACTTGCCACCAGGAGTTTAAGACCAGCCTTGGCAAGAGATGGGTAGTGAGATCACATCTCTGCAAATATTTTTTTAAAAATTAAAAATTAGCTGGGCACAGTGGCATGTGCCTGCAGTCCCAGCTACTCAGGAGGCCAATGTGAGAGGATCCCTTAAGACCAGTAGATATGATCATGCCACTGCACCCCAGACTGTGTGACAGAGCAAGATCTTGTTTCTAATACATAAAAAATATAGAAGAACTGGAAACCATACAAACCCTAGAAGAAAACCTAGGCAATACCATCCAGGACATATGCGTGGGCAAAGACTTCATGACAAAAACTCCAAAAGCAATGACAACAAAAGCCAAAATTGACAAATGAGATCTAATTAAACTGAAGAGTTTCTGCACAGCAAAAGAAAGTAACATCAAAGTGAACAGACAACCTACAGAATGGGAGAAAATTTTTGTAATCTACACATCTGACAAAGGTCTAATATTAAGAATCTACAAGAAACTTAAACAAATTTACAAGAAAAAACAGACAACCCCATCAAAAAGTGGGCAAAAGATATGAACGGACACTTCTCAAAAGAAGACATTTATGTGGCCAACAAATATATGAAAGAAAGCTCATCATCACTGACCATTAGAGAAATGCAAATCAAAACCACAATGAGATACAATCTCACACCAGTCAGAATGGCAATTATTAAAAAGTCAAGAAACAATAGGTGCTGGCAAGGCTGTGGAGAAATAGGAACACTTTTACCCTGTTGGTGGAAATGTAAATTAGTTCAACCATTGTGGAAGATAGTGTGGTGATTCCTCAAGGATCTAGAACCAGAAATACCATTTGACCCAGCAATCTCATTACTGGGTATATACCCAAAGGAATATAAATCATTCTACTATAATGACACATGCACATGTATGTTTATTGCAGCACTATTTACAATAGCAGAGACATGGAACCAACTCAAATGCCCACCAATGGTAGACTGGATAAAGAAAATATGTTATATATACACCAGGAATACTATGCAGCCATGAAAAAGAATGAGATCATGTCCTTTGCAGGGACATCGATGAAGCTGGAAGCCATCATCCTCAGCAAACTAACACAGGAACAGAAAACCAAACACCATATGTTCTTACTCATAAGTGGGAGCTGAACAATGAAAACACATGGACACAGGGAGGGGTACAACACACACTGGGGCCTGTCGGGAGGTGGGGAGCAAGGAGAGGGAGAGCATTAGGACAAATACCTAATGCAGGTGAGGTTTAAAACCTAGATGATGGGTACAGCAAACAACCAAGGCATATGTATACGTATGTAACAAACCTACGTGTTCTGCACATGTATCCCGGAACTTAAAGTAAAATAAGATAAAATAAATTTTTTTAAGAAGTACAGATTTTCAGATGAGATTAAATAAATAAATAAACAAACCAACAAGACCCAACACTATGCTGTTCACAAGAAACACACTTTGGAGATAGACACAACATTTAAGCAAAAGTGTGGATATAAATGTGCCATACTAATACTAATCCTAAAACAGTCTGTGTGTGCATATTAATATTAGATAAAGTGGTCTTTAAACTACGAGTACTACTACTAAAGATAACGGTGTCAAGTCATAATCAAAATAGGGTCAGTTCAGGCCGGGCGCGGTGGCTCACGCCTGTAATCCCAACACTTTGGGAGGCCGAGGCAGGCGAATCACGAGGTCAGGAGATCGAGACCATCCTGGCTAACGTGGTGAAACCCCGTTTCTACTAAAAATACAAAAAAATTAGCCGGGCGTGGTGGCGGGCGCCTGTAGTCCCAGCTACTCGAGAGGCTGAGGCAGGAGAATGGCGTGAACCCGGGAGGCGGAGCTTGCAGTGAGCCGAGATCGCGCCACTGCAGTTCAGCCTGGACGACTGAGGGAAACTCCATCTCAAAAAACAAACAAACAAACAGAAAAGTAGGGTCAGTTCAGAAAATTAACAGTCTTAAAGGGGTGCGCATAATGAAACTTCAAAATGTGTGAAAGAGACATCAAAAGACTAAAGGTGGCAATAATCAAATCTACTTTTCAAGTGGCCATGGAACATTAATCAAGATGGAGCAAATACTGGACCATAAAATAATTCTCAATAAATATAAAAGGATTTAAACCATACAGAGTTTGTACTCTGACCAATACAGAAATAAATTAAAAATCAGTAATAAAATTATGTGCAGAAAAACCTTACTATTAGGCAATTAAGCAAAGAACTTTTAAATAACCATGGATATAAGAATAATTATTAGAAAATATAAGAATATCTCATATTTTAAATTTTTTATGGTATTAAAATTTCAACAACTTTACACAATTCAGTAGCATTAAGTACATTCATAGTGTTGTACAACCATCATCTCTATTTCCAGAAGTTTCTTGTCATCACAAACAGAAACGAAGTACCCATGAAGCAATAACTCACCATTCCTTCCTCTCCCCAGTCTCTGGTAAACACTAATCTATGTTCTGTCTTCAGAAATTTGCCTGTTCTAGATATTTCATATAAGTGGAATGATTTTTTTTTTGGCTGTGTCCCCACCCAAATCTCACTTTGAATTTTAATAAACCCCATGTGTCAAGAGCAGGGACAGGTGGAGATAATTGAATCATGGGGCAGTTTCCCCCATACTGTTGTCCTGGTAGTGAATAAGTCTCATGAGATCTGATGGTTTTATAAATATGAGTTCTCCCGCACAAGCTCTCTTGCCTGCGGCTACGTAAGACTTGACTTTGCTCCTCATCAGCCCTCTGCCATGATGGTGAGGTCTCCCCAGCCATGTGGAACTGTGAATCTATTAAACCTCTTTCCTTTATAAGTTACATAGTTGGGGTCATGTCTTTATTAGCAGTGTGAGAACAGACTAATGCATGGAATCATACAGTATTTGTCCTTTTGTGTCTGGCTTACTTAGCAACATGTTTTCAAGTTTTATCCAGGTTGTAACATGTATCAGAACTTTATTCCCTTTAATGGCTCGATAATATTCTATTATATACATGCACCATATTTTGTTTATCCATTCACTTGCTAATGGACACAGATTGTTTCTGTCTTTTAACTATGGTGAGTAATGCTGCAATGAACTTTGGTGTAAAAATATCTGTTCCAGACCCTACTGTCAACTTTTTTTTTGGGAGGGGGCATAATATTTAGGAGTGGAATTTCTGGAAATTCCAGCGGAAGGTTAGAATTATGTCTAATTTTGTGAGGAACCACCAAATGTTTCCCACAGCAACTGCATCATTTTATATTCCCAGCAGCCAATTCATGAGCGTTCCAATTTCTCCACACCCATACCAACACATTTTCTGTTTCACGGTTGTTATGATAGCCACAGTACTAGATGCAAAGTGGTATCTCATTTTGATTTTGATTTGCATTTTATTAATGAATAATTGAGTTTAGCATCTTTTCTTGTCCTTATTGGCCATTTGTATATCTTTTTTAGAGAAATATCTGTTCAAGTCTTTTGCCTATTTTTACTTGGAATTTTAGGCTTTTGTCGTTATACAAAAAGTTGCAGAAGTTGCAGGAGTTGCAGGAGTTCACCATATATTCTAGATATTAAGCCTTTATCCAGATATATGTTTTGCAAATATTTTCTCACATTGTCTTTTCATTCTCTTGATGGTGTCTTTTGATGCATAAAAGTTTTTGATTTTGATTAAATCTTATTTACATATTTTTTCTTTTGCTATCTGTGCTTTTGTGTCATATCTCAAAAATCATTTAAAAATCAAAGGTCATAAAGATTTGTCTGTGTATTTTCTTCTAAGAGATACATAGTTCTAGTCTTTAAGTATTTTATTAATTTTGAGTTAATATTTTTACATAATGCAAGGTAGGGGTCTAACTTCACTCTGTGCATGTGCATACCCAGCTCTCCTGGCATTATTTATTGAAGACATTGTTCTTTCCTCCATTAAATGGTCTTGGCCCTTTTGTTGAAAAGTCATTGACCATATATGTGAGGACTACTTCCTAGGATCTCATATGGTTCTCCATTTTACTATTGTGGTATATTACATTGATTGATTTTTTAATATGTTGAAACACCCTCACATTTTTAGGATAAATCTTACTTGCTGACAGTATACAATCCTTTGATTATACAGTATTGCTGCTAGTATTTTGCTAGTACTTGCTGAGATTTTTTGCGTATATAATTATAAGGGATATTGGGTCATAGCTTTCTTTTTTTTTTTAACTGTCTTTGGCTTTGGTATCAGGGTAATGCTGTTATCAAAGAATGAATTAACAAGTATTCCTTCTTCATATGTTTTGTTGGAAGGGTTTGAGAAAAAATACTAATAATTATTCTTTAAATGCTCGGTAGACTCACCAGTTAATGTGGCTATTTGGTCATAAATCTTTCTTTGTTGAATTGTTTTTAATTACTGATTCAATCTCCTTGTTTGTTATAGGTCTTCTTAGATCTTCTATTTCTTCTGGAGTCATTTTGGTAGTTTGTGTCTTTCTAGAAATTTGTCCATTTCATCCAGGGTACCTAATTTGTTGGTATACAGTTGTTCACAGTATTCTCCTATAAACCTTTTTCATTTCTGTAAAGTTGGTAGTAATGTGTCCACTTTCATTTATGATTTTATAATGAGAGTCTTCTATCTTTTGCTAAGTCAATATAGTGAAAGGTTTGATCTTTTTAAATAATTGTTAGCTATATATATTTCCTCTATTGTTTTTCAACCTTCTATTTTACTGATTTATGCTCTAGTCTTTATCATTTTTTTCCTTCTGTTAGCTTTGGATTTCATTTTCTCTGTTTTTTCTGCTTCCTTAAATTATAGAGTGAGGTTGTTGATTTGAGGTTTTGTTAATGAGGTTGTTTATACATTTTTCTCTGAGATCTGATTTCACTGCATTCAATAAGTTTTGTTATCTTGCGTTTTTATTTTCATTTGTCACAAGCAATTCTCTAATTTCCCTTGTGATTTATTCTTGCATTCACTGGTAGTTGAAGAGTGTACTGTTTAATTTCCACATATTTGTGAATTTTCCAGTTCTCATTCTTTATTGATATGTTTCTTCCATTGTGGTTGTAAATTATATTTTGTTTAAATTCAGACTTTTTAAAAAGATTAGGAGATATTTTGTGGACTAAGATATGGCTGATATTAGAGAAAGTTCCATATCCACTTGAAAAGAATGTATATTCCGCTGTTGTTGGGTGGACTGTTCTTTATATGTCTATTAGATCTAATTGCCTTATACTGTTTTTCAAGTCTTCTATTTTTTGTTACAATTCTGTCTAGTTTTTCTATTTGTCATTTAAAATGAATTATTGAAGTGTCCAACTATTATTATAGAACTGTATGTTTCTCTTTTCAATCCTGTCATTTTTTCAGCTTTATTGAGGTACAAGTTCTGTCTCCAGAACTTATTCCTATTGTCATTGCCTTTGACAAACATCTCCCCATTTTCCCTGCCCTGTCAACCACCTTTCTTCTCTCTGTTCCCATGAGTTCACCTTTTCTAGGTTCCACATATAAGCGACATCATGCAGCATTTGTCTTTCTGTTTCTAGCTTATTTAAATTAGCTTGATGTCTTCCAAGTTCTTTCATAGTGCCACAAATGATGGAATTTTTCTTTTTAAAAAATAAATAGTAGTCCATTACATATATAATATGTATGTATATTTTCTTTATCTATTCATCTGTTGGTAGACAGTTAAATTGTTTCCAAATCCTGGCTATTGTGAATAGTGATACAATGAACATGAGAGTGCAGATATCTCTTTGATATAATACCTTTATTTCTTTTAGATATATATTCAGAAGTGGGATTGCTGAATCATATGATAATTCTATTTTTAATTCATTGAGAAACCTCACTGTTTTTCATAATGACTATACCAATTTACATTTCCTTCAACAATGTATAAGGATTCCCCTTTCTTCACATCCTGGCCAACACTTGCTATCTTTTGACATTTTGATAATAGCCCTCCCAACAATTATAAGTGGCTATCACACTGTGGCTTTTATTTGTGTTATTCTGATGATTGCTGATGTTGAGTGCCTTTAATATATCTGTTTGACATTGGTAAGTCTCTGGGAAAATATCTATTTTGGTCGTTGGCCCATTGATTAATAAGGTTAACATTATTATTACTATTATTTTTACTATTGAGTGGTATGGTTTCCTTATACATTTTGGATATTATTCCCTTATCAGCTACATGGTTTGCAAATATTTTCTCCAATTGCATGCTTTGTCTTTTTATTTTGATTATTGCTTCGTTGGCTGTGAAGAAGATGTTTAGTTTGATGTAGTCCCACTTATTTATTTTTGCTTTTATTGCTTGTGTTTTTGGTGTCATATCCAAAAACTCATTGCCAGGACCAACACCATGGAAATTTGCCACTTTGTTTTCTTCTAGAAATTGTATGGTTGTAGGTCTTATGTTTAAGTCTTTAATTCATGTTGCATTGATTTTTGTATATGTAAAAGATAAGGATTGAGGTTTTTTTTTCATTTTGATATCCAATTTTCCCAACACCATTTGTTGAAAAGACTATCCTTGGCCCATTGTGTTTCTTGGTGCTGCTTTTGAAAATTAATTGGTCACATGTGTGGTTTTATGTTCCATTGGTCTGTTTCTGTTTTTATGCCATTATCATACTGTTTTGATTAGTATAGTTTTATAATGTCGTTTGAAAATAGGAAGTGTGATGCCTCCAGCTTTGCTCTTCTTGTTTAAGATTACTTTGGCTATTTGGGGTTTTTCGGAGTTCCATACAAATTTTAGGATTTTTTTTTTTTTTTTTTTTTTTTTTTTTTTTGCTATTTCTGCAAAAATTGCCCTTGGAATTTTCATAGAAAATGCATTGAATCTGTAGATTACTTTGGGTAGTGTGGACATTTTAACAATAATGATTCTTCTAATCTATGAACACTGGTTTTCTTTCCATTTCTTTTTGTCCTCTTCCAATTCTGTCAATTTTTTTTTTTTATATATTTTGAGGGTCTGTTGTTAGATGAGTATGCGTTTGTAATGTTATATCTCATGGATGACTGAACCTTTACCAATATATAATATCCTTCCCTAACTCTTGTAAATTTTTGACTCAAATTCTATTTTGTTCATTAATTATATAGCCACCCATACTCCTTTTGGTTGCTATTTGCATGAAATATCTTTGTCTATCCTTTTACGTGCATCTTTTTTTGTGTCTTTCTATCTACGTATACAGCATGTATATATAGACAGCATATAGATGGGTCTTGTTTTCTGTAATACATTCTACCTTTTAATTGAAGAGTTAGTTGATTTACACTTTAATTACTAAAGAAGGACTTACTTCTGCCATTTAGCTATTGTTTTCTGAATATCTTATATTTTTTCTCAATTCTTCCATTACTGTCTTCTTTTTGTATCTGGTTTATTTTTGTAGTATACATTTTGTTCTCCTTTTTTCTGCATATTTTATGGTTATTACTTTACTGGTTTCCTTGAGTATTACAATTACATCTTATAACAACTTACAACAAATCTATTTTGAATAATGCAAGTTTAGTTTAAATAGTACGTAAGCCCTCTGCTCTTATACATCGTGGTACCTCTCCCTTAATATTGCTATATTCACAAATTACATTTGTACACATTGTGTGCCCATTAATATAAATTTATAATTGTTTTTCTGTGCATCTAAATTTTAAATTACATTGAAAAAAGAAGTTATAAACCAAAATACAATAAAGTACAATAATGCTGGTTTTCATGTTTACCAATGTAGTTACTTTTACCAGTGTTCTTTGTTTTGTCACATGGCTTCAAGCAATGATTGTCACTTCATTTCACCCTGAGGGATGATCTTTAGCAATTTTTGTAGAGCAAGTCTACTTGTAACAAACTCCTTTAGATTTTGCGTATCTGGTTATGTCTTAATTTATCTTTCGTTCTTGAAAGATAGTTTTGGAGATACAGAATTCTTGGTTAACACATTTTTTTCCTTTTAGTATTTTAAACATGTCTTCCCACTGCCTTCTGGCTTCCATGACTTCAGATAAAAAACAAACAAAAAAAATCAGATGAAAATCGTATTGATTCTCCCTTGTATAAAACAAGTTACTTCTGAGGCCGGGTGCAGTAGCTCATGCCTGTAATCCCAGCATTTTGGAAGGCCAAGGTGAGCAGATCACTTGAGGTCCAGAGTTTGAGACCAGCCTGGCCAACATGGTGAAGCCCTGTCTCTACTAAAAATACAAAAATTAGCCAGGTATGGTGGCACACACCTGTGGTCCCAGCTACTCAAGAGGCTGAGGCAGGAGAATTGCTTGAACTTGGGAGATAGAAATTGCAGTGAGCTGAGATCATGTCACTGTATTCCAGCTGGAGCTACAGAGCAACAGAGCAAGAAAGAAAAAGAGAAAAAAAAGGAGGGAAAGAAGGAAGGAAGAAGGAAGGAAGGAAGGAGAGAGAGAGAGAGAAAGGAAGGAAGGAAGGAAGGAAGGAAGGAAGGAAGGAAGGAAGGAAGGAAAAAAATGAGTTACTTTTTTCTTGCTGCTTTCAAAATTTTCTCCTTGTCTTGCGCCTTTAACAATTTAACTATAATTTCTCTCAGTGTTAATCTCTTTGGATTTATCCTGCTTGAAGTTTATTGAGATTCCTGGATGGATTGATGGATAGATAGATCTGTCATCAAACTGGGAAAATTTTAGCCATAATTTCTTCAAACACTTTTTTCTAATCCTTTCTATCTTCTTCTCCTGGAACTCCCATGACACATATGTTGGTACGCTCAATGATGTTCCACAGTTCAGTTAGACTTTATTTTTCTTTCTTTTATTTCTTCTTTCTACTCTTAAAACTGGATAAATTCACTTGCCTTATCTTCACATTAACTGATTCTTTTTTCTGCCTGTTCAAATATGCCATTAAACCATTCTAGTGAATTTTTTAGCCCTTGTACTTTTTATCTCCTGAATATCTACTTGGTTCCCTTTTATAATTTTTATCACTTTATTGACATTCGTTATTTGTTCAACACTATATACATATGTTTTGGGCAGCATATTCATAATAACCAAGTGCCTATTAATGAATGAAAGGAAAAACTGGGGTATATACATATAATGAAATATTATTAAGTCATAAAAAATGAATGAAGTGCTGATACATGCTACTCTTTGCATGAAACTTAAAAACATTCTTTGAATTGAAAGAAATCAGACAAAAAGGTCCTATTTTGTAGGATTCCATTCCTATGAAATATTCAGAGTGGGCAAATTCATAATGACAGGAAGCAGATTAATCATTACCAGGAATGAAAGGAGGTAGAATAGGAAATAATTACTTAATGGGTTCTGGGTGTTTTTTGGAGTGATAAAAGATTTTTAAAACTGAAAGAGGTGGTGGCTGTACAACATTGTGAATACACTAAATATTATACCACTACATTGTACAGTTTTAAATGGTTAATTTTATGCTATAAGATTTTCATCTCAATTTTAAAAATAAAGAAGGCTAAAAAACGTAATTACATTAAACCTAAGAGACAAATGAAAAAACCTTGAACCCCCAAATGACAGAATACATATTCGTTTCGGGTACATATGAGATATTTACTAGAGCTGACAATATGGTGGACCATTATGCAAGCCCACAGTGGAGTTTAGGTAGAAACCCATAAGAAAAAATATAGAAAAGGCTTTGAAATAAATCCATATACTCCTAAATAACCAAATAAAGTAACTTCTAAATAAAATATGGTTTTATGTGGGTGTCTCACATAATATCCATATTTGCATGTAACAAATTGATGCTCAGAGAGAGGCTGAATAAGTAACATTTCCAGATTACCTAAGTAGTAAGTAGTCGAGTCAGAATTTGATCCCAAGTCTATGGTACTTAATCAGTGCATTACTGACTATACTGACAATCAGTTGTTTGGAGAAAGACACAAATAAAGGTAAAGTGATATTTATAATCCCCATATAAGCCTGTTAGTTAAAGTTTGTTCAGTATCAGGGTTAGAACATTTAATTCAAGCCAACTATATTATGTGTGTCATTGCTCTAAGGGGAACCAGGTTAAACTATAAGTGTGGATTAGTGTAATGTAAAAAACTGATACCAAAAAAAATACACTTTGAAAGACATACATTTCCTGTGAGCCATGAATAAAAAGATTTTCAGAGAACACTGCAAATTACAAACTGGAGGTTTCATATTTATATTAGAAAATGTGTTGAAAGTGGAAAGGGTATTGTAATTGAATACATAAGCAGGTAACTTCATTCAGAGAAGCTATAATGGTTCCGAAAGAGGAAGTTACATCCAATCCTTAGAAATCATTGAAGAAACATGTCTGTAAATGAAAATACCTAGTGAATTTATTTATTTACACTTAAAAATTATTGACTAAAATTATAACTAATTGTTAAAATTTTTTATAAAGTCAACTAGGTATTAGGGAAGAATTTTAATCATAGGTTTGGCACTAATTATGAAATAGGAAATAATATAAGCTAACAATATATACATACTGCTTTCCATCAGTGCTCTCAACCAAGTTTTCCTACTTTGATCATGATGCTGATGCTGATTGCTCTAAAATCTCTATCAAGCTCCAACTTAGAGATTTATTTCTGACTACCTATATGTATCTCCTTCATACAAACTTTTCAAACACAATGTGTCTAGTGAAAGTTCACTTTTTCTACTCATATCACACTTACGCTAACTCTTTTATATTGGTTAAAGCAGTAACATCTAAACCATCTCCTTCAACATTAAAATTCCAGAAGCAGCCTAGAAATTTTGCTCTCTTGTTCTCCCTGTATTCAAGTGGTAATGAAACCCTATCTAAATTTTTTCTTTTCCTCACCCCTCCCACACTTTTACCATCTCCCTTAAGATCCTCATGATCTTTTACCTTGTCTATTCCAATAGCTTCCTAATTGATATACTTCCACTAATCTCTTAAACTTAATTAAGTTTCCAAATGGATTCCAAAGTTATCTCCCTTTAAAAAAATATAATCACGTCACTCTACATTGAAATTTCTATTAATTCTGCATTAGTAAGGATTAAATCCAAGGCAAACTGTAAGATCTCCTCAGCCAAGCCATATCTTCTTCTTCAGCTTCTCCTCAGGACAATCCTTTCCAGGATTTCCATGTTGCATTCACACTGAAATTTTTACCATTTCCAAAATTCTCCTTTACTTTTTACGTCCCAATACCTTTATACAGTTACACATTGTTTCTCCAGCATGTATCCTATCCTACCCTTCTGCTTCATGAATTTACCCTCATATTTTAAGATCAGGCCATCTCCTTTGCAAAGTCTTTGCTAGCATCTCCTGGGAGAATTTGGCATTTCCATGCCTATATGCCATCAGCATTTTGTTCATTCTTAATCATAACATTTATATCAATAGCATGTTTTAATAATTTATGTTTGTCTATCTCCTCTACACAATAACTCTCTGCCATAGGCATTTTATTTACCTTTGTACCCTAACGTGGTTGATAATATAATAGGTTCTCAATAAATATGGTTGATCAAAAAATTGATGGATTGATGTTGTAACCTCAAAAACTGGTATTAAAATTGAAGAACATTATCTTATATTAATATCTACACATTTCCAGATGGCATCGGATTTTTCACGGTGTTGAAATTGTAAGATGACAAATACAATGAGTGAAGGATTATGAAGCTCTGATTAACCAAATTTGGAAAGCACAAAATGAATCAAAAAGTAAAAGGCATAAAGAAAACAAACAAGATTCTCTTAGCCTGCAAAAGGAATATAAAAGGAAGAGAATGGGGAAGGCAATCATAGAGCAGTATTTTGAAAATCATGGAGGATAAAAATGTAGTTACCATAGACTTGATCTTAAAAACCCGGAATATTGAACAGTTTGAGGCTTGGATAAAGACATTTTAGAATGATTTCACCTAGCAGTTACACTAATGGAACCATCTAACTCTTAGACTTGGATGAAACTAAAAATAAAAGCTATTTCAATATGATCATAAATTACAAAATGAACACAGAGAGGGCGGCAACCTGTTTTTACATTTAAGAGTTGTCATCCATTCCTAATCCACTTTTCCTCAAAGCCCAAAATAAAATTCCCTAATTTTGTGTCAGAAAAAAATACTGCTGTACTCTAATATGGCATTTATTGTTGATCACCTTGCTTTTTTTTTTTTTTTTTTTTTTTTTACTAATCTATCCTAGTCACAATACAGTTTCACAAAAGAAAGTTCCTGTTTTGTCAAAACTCTACGTCAAAATCTTGCACTGACTTGCCCTAATGCTTATTAAATTGAGTTTAAAAAATATTTTTACAAAGCTTCTCAATGTCATCTACCTCTTCCTTGCTTGACTCAAACCAAGCAAAGGCATTTTAGGATCTGTAAGCAATCCTCATGCTTTCTCATCTCTTACTGCTTGATTTTTCTCCTTCTTTCTAAAACTTTGTCCAGGTTTTTCTCCTTTCATATTCTTTATTATATCACATACAAAGCTTTTCAAAAATTATCTCCCAAAGTATAAGTTTTCTATTCTGGTTTCAGACTCAGTTTGTATACTTACTCTGCCACTTCAGAGTGGACAGTCGCAAAGTCCCTAGTTTTACTTCAATGTTTAATTCAATGTTTATACTTCTCCACACACAAGAATTCAACAAATATGCGTTGAATTTTAAAAATATCTACTAAATATTTAATAACTGAAGTATGGCTTTCTTTGTCATCAACATCCTAATAAGAAACATGAATGTCTACACAAACTCATGGTTTTCCTGGTGTATGTTATAACGCCAGACACCGTGTAATAACAATGCTAACATCATTTTATTATTTGGCCTCATAGGATGAACCCAAGTTAATCAAATTACTCAGGTTAAAATACTAAACGTTAAAATCTAACTTACTTTGCTAAATTACCTTCATGGTTCTCACTTCTTCATGTTTGTGATGTCTATGTTCAAATCACCTCTTCTGAGAGATCTTCTGCAATCACTCTGTGGATCACAGAATTTTTCATATCATTTCACCACTTGTAATATAGATTTATTGATTTATTTTATATTTCTTACCTCTAGAATGTAACTCCATGAAAGCAGAGACTTTGTTTTATCTCTGCATCCCAGCACTTAGAAGTGTGGTTGGATTGTGATAGGCATTCAAAAATTATCATTAAGTTAATGAATGAGTGAAAACAAAGATGTCTACATGAACACATTTTTGGTATATAGAACACGACAGAACTATTAGAATGATTCAAGAGGCTTTAATTTAAATTACAGAAACAGAAAAAAAAGAAATCAACATGGCAATTAATAAGTCAGCTAGTTAATTTTTTTAGCTAATCCAGTCCTTACTGTGAATTTAATTTTTAATTTGTTTAAATTATTCATAATAATAAATTAAATTAAATTAATTTAATAAAGCGAATGGGTTTTTTGCAGCTTATCAGAAAAGAAAAAATGGAAATAGCAACATGACTTCTACATCATTGCTAGTTACTTGTTCAAAATATTTGAATTTAGGGCTATGGTATAAGTGCTGAGAGGAAGAAAGGAGGGAGCATATGCAGTTAGGAAGCTGCATTTTGTTTAGCCCTCTCGGAATGGCATATGATCCGCACCAGAACTGACCTTCTAAGGGTCTTACCTACATATAAATTGGAGAAAATGGTACTCAAAATACAACTCTAAGCTACTTAAGCTTGCTCCTCTTAAGGCACTAGGCATATACATTTAAAGGCATGAAAAGACCCAATGATCGATTCCTGTGTGCTTACACTCTACATATGTTAGATCTCTACAAGTTGACTATAAACTAATTTTCTGATTACCTAGGTCAGTGGTCCCCAACCTTTTTTGCACCAGGGACTGGTTTCACGAAGACAATTTTTCCATGGAGGGGGTTGGCAGGGGCATGGTTTCCGGATGAAACTGTTCCATCTCAGATCATCAGGTACTAGTTAGATTCTCATAAGGAGCATGCAACCTAGATCTCTGGCATGAACAGTTTACAATAGGGTTCCCGCTTCTATGAGAATCTAATGCTGCAGCTGATCTGTCAGGAGGCGGGGCTCAGGCCATGAAACTTGCTCACCTGTCACTCACCTCCTGCTGTGCAGCCAGTTTCTAACAGGCTACAGACCAGTACAGGTCCATGGCTTGGGGTTGGGGACCCCGACCTAGATGATATTTATTATATATAGACAACACATCCAGCAACCAAGCTGCATCATTTCTTAAGTCCTTCAAATTCAATAACTTATTTTTAAGTTAACAAGAATTTCAGGTACTGACTCCTATGTGCAAAGAACTGTGTCACACTAGAGATTTACCAATACACAAGATGCTATCTTTTTATAAGTAAAATGCTGACTAGTGGAAAAATGTACAAGGTAACAGAAAATATAACGCAACACAAATAGTGTGATAGAACTAAGCAAAGTATGGTACACAAACGCATAAGAAAAGTACAATTTTTAAGATAGCATCAGGGAAAATTATGAGGAGTAGTGTGTAGACAAGAATAGTTGGACAATGCACGGTATATATACCACCATTCTCCCAAACTGTTGGACTTTGATAGTCCAATAGACCCTAGACTTGTTCTTACCCTCCTTTGCTTAGTTCTTTGGGAAGCCATGGCCAGTTTATTAGACTTGTCATAGATTGTGAAATCCACCTGCCATCACTCTGATTTAAGCAGATATGTGTAGGACAATAACAAATGGTGCGAAACAAAAAGAAACACGCATTCACTCACGTGTTCATTGTGGCACTTTTCACAATCACAGAGACATGGAATCAACCTAGGTGCCCAGCAACAGTGGATTGGATAAATAAAGTGTGGTGTACATAAACCATGGAATACTATGCAACCATAAAAAAGACAAAATCATATCCATGGCAACAACATGGATGCACCTGGAAGCCATTATCCTAAGTGAATTAACGTAGAAAGAGAAAACCAAATACCTCATGTTCTCACTTGTAAGTGGGAGCAGACCACTGGGCACTCATGGACATATAAATGCCATCAATAGAAACTGGGGGCTACTAGGTGGGGGAGGTAGGGAGGAAGCCAAGAGTTAAAAAACTAACTATTGGGTACTATGCTCACCACTTAAGTGGTGGGATCATCACCTCAGATCTCAGCATCATACAGTATACCCAGGTAACAAACTTGCCCACGTAAACCATGAATCAAAAAGTTGAAAAAAATGGTGTTAAAGAAAGTTGGGGGGGCAAAGGGATGACAGATAAATAATGGTCCAAAGTCAGTGTAGATGCTCATATGAAGGAAAAAGAATGACACAGGAAATTTCAGGTAGTTCAGTATATCTGGAGCATAAAGTCTGAAGAAAAAAAATGCTGAGATGAAGCTAGAGAACTAAGCTAAACAAGTTGATGAAGGGCATTGTAACTGATATTAAGAAGGTTGGATTTGATAATGAGGGCAATGAGGAGTGAACCAACTCTTGTGTCCTTCTGGTTTTCACTCATTCTAATCACACCAGCTCTTTGACCTGAAGTATACTTTTAGTTTCCTTTTTCTCCCAATTCATTGCCACACCCATGATTTGGCCTTTGTCTTGAAGCCATGCTTCACTAGATTGGCTTTTTCCTAAAGGCTGCATTTTAGTGCTCTTACTTTTAAATTGATGTTAACAATTTCATTTTTCAACCTCCTATTTCTGGTCTTTCTGTAGGACTTGTATATTATACTTAAAAACGAACTCCTTCTCTTGCAGAATCATCAATTTCTTATCGTAACTAATCAATTGCAGTATGACCAGAGTCATGCTTTCAACATTTAGCTTTGATAAATTGTCCCCCTGCATTACTTCAGATCAGGTATATTTTCTACGTTCTAGACTTAGACCATAGCTTTGACAAATGTTTTGCAACCAGATTTCAAGGGTTGATATTGCCCTAACCTCTTATACCCAGTTTCCTCATTTTTTCCAGGGTCCACTAACAGTTTCCTCCCTGACTAGCAACCTGACCCAGTCAATGCTATACAGTTTAACTGTTTCTGCGCATGCTCCCTCAATTTTGCATCATCAGGATCCAGCCCATGTGCACTCTCCCAGCTTCCGCTAATACATGTTGATTAGGTTCTACAACTCCTTTGGAGTTACTTTCTATCCTTAATAGGCCCAGTACTTTCTCAGCTGAATTATATAGTACTTTAACTCTACTTAGTGGTCTGGTAACCAAGGAGGGAGGTGAATGCAGGTAGATCCTGAGATGGGAAGCACTGATTTTCTTGCAAAGCGGAGTCCCCTGCAACTACCTCAAGCAAGGTAAATCGAAGGGAAAGTTGACCTTTAATATGAACTAGTGAGCGACTTTTAAAACACAAATGGTTTGGGGAGATCTTGAAAATCAAGGTTTATGATTGCATTGGCTAAGATATTGTAATCACAATTCTCAGGGCCAATTCTTAAAGAAGGTTGAATTCTCAAGACCCCACTCTTCCCCCACCATAGTTAGCAGACTTTCTAGAGCTGAGAATTCAACCTTCTTTGGAGCTATGCCACTGTCACGGTTAATTCCCAGGCTTTTTCCTCACCTTGCTCCACTCCGGTTTCAGATGAATCCCTTTATATGCCATTAAGGAGGCCTTCTGACTTCCATACCTTTCCTTCAATTGCTAAATGGTCACCCGCAACCTTTGCTGTCTTTTTGTTTTGTTTGGTTTGGTTTGGTTTGGTTTGGTTTGGTTTTCAGACGGAGTCTCACTCTGCCGCCCAGGCTGGAGTGCAGTGGCGCCATCTCGGCTCACTGCAAGCTCCGCCTCCCGGGTTCACGCCATTCTCCTGCCCCAGCCTCCCGAGTAGCTGGGACTATAGGCGCCCACCACCACGCCCGGCTAATTTTTTGTATTTTTAGTAGAGACGGGGTTTCACCGTGGTCTCGATCTCCTGACCTTGTGATCTGCCCGCCTCGGCCTCCCAAAGTGCCAGGATTACAAGAGTGAGCCACCGAGCCTTTGCTGTCTTTTTTGAGTGACCTCACTGGCCCTCAGAAAGGGCCTCCGATTCCATTGTTCTTGTAATTACCGCTCCCTTCACTGTCTCAAAATCCGGAGACATTTCACTCACCAGTGAGTCGTCTTTCACTGCTCTCTCATCGGTGTTTTTCAGCAACTGCACTGCTACAGCATGTGTTCTCTCCCCAGTGCTCCACCTCCAACATCTTGTTTTATGGTTTTCTTCCCTAAACAATTCTTCATGCCAACTGTCTTATATTGACTCCCCAGAGAAACAAACTCTGTGTTAAGATTTGCAAAGTGAACTTTTTGGGGGAGCACCTGAAAGAGTAAAGGTAGTAGGATCTTCCTTTAGGAGTACACTCTTGGCCGGTGTGGTGGCTCACGTCTGTAATCTCAGCACTTTGGGGGGCCGAGGCAGGCAGATCACTTGAGGTCAGGAGTTCGAGATCAGCCTGGCCAACATGGCGAAACCCCGTCTCTACTAAAAATACAAAAATTAGACAGGTGTGGTGCGCGTCTGTAATTCCAGCTACTTGGGAGGCTGAGGCACAAGAATCGCTTGAACCCAGGAGGCAGAGGCTGCAGTGAGCTGAGATCGTGCCACTGCACCCCACACTGCATGATAGAGCAAGAATCTGTCTCAATTAAAAAAAAAAGTACAATCTTATTTGCAAAACCTAGTTGGCAAACGACAAGCCTATAGAGAGGGGAGATGAATTGGGAATACTAAAGCAATCTATCACAATGCAGTATCTAGAGTTGGTAAATAAAATTTCTGAAAGAACCAGGGCATAAAATATACTTGATCATAGGGGAATAAAGTATGATGTGTTGCTGGTTCTTGGCAAAACACATCACATTTTTGTCTGTTTCCTTAATCCATTTATTAAATAAGCTATAATATTTCTACTTTTGCTAATTTTAAATTGATCCCAGAGCAGGAGAAGTCTCTGTAACAGATTTAAGCATACAAGCTGACTTCCCATGTAAACCTTATGATCTAGCAGATACCAGTAATGCTCAAGGTTTGGCATTCGATAAAGATGTTATGTGGATCCTCTGGTAAGCCTCGAAAGGAGAATCACAATGCACACTCCTAAGATTCTGGAGTAAAGTCACAGCCTCCTTTTGTTGTTAATGCTGTTCTTCTTAGAAGCAACTTCTGGCCTCTAGTGGACCTTTTTAAAGAGTAATCATGAGATGCCAAGTGATTTGGGCTGTCCAACAAGAATGTTATTAGAGGGTCAAAGAGAGGATGTAGTTTAGATTTCCCTGGGAGAAATTGACAGCAGTTTTCTCTTTATGACAGAGCACTAAGTCATTTTTTAATTGACCCATTTACGCTAAATTATGAAGTTTGTATGAAATGCAAGTGTGGGTAGAAAACTGAGAATCCATCCCGAGTAGTAGAAGAAATGCCTAGTACTGATCCTGGACATACACCTAGGAAGATCTTTCTCACTCTCCCCTCACTGGACTCTGTATCATGGGAAGGCTGACATCTATGGGTTTTATTCCCACGATTCCAAATGAGCTGGCTTCTAGTTAAAGTCAGTCAATGAGCATCCTTGGCTGAATAACGGTGAGTAGAAGGAAAGGAGGAGTCAGGGTTTTCCTCCTTTCTCTCTGCCAGAAGTGTCTCTAGCAGCACCTGCATCTTCTCAGTGGCTCGTGCTCCTGCCAGACAAGCCCACTGTTGAAGCCGTTGCAGGTGAACCTTGTCCCGAGGCTCTAACACCATGTCTTCCCTTTAATGCTTAGTGGTGGCTTCTGTTCCTAATCTGTAGATGGTCTTACCATTTTCTATTTGGCTTTTCATCTCTTCCCTCACTTTTAAATCCATTCATCGCTTTACACTTCTCATGTTGGAATAATTGAGGTGATTTCAGATTTACTGGAGAGATCTCTCAAGGGTAAAATAGCTATTGATAAAGTGTTTTGATACCCAGGAGTGACTTTCACAGTGTAACAAGAGAGGATCCTTATTAGTTGGGAAAGTGTTAACATAAGAAAAACTGATTTAATATTACTTTCATTCTCATAATTTCCTTTTCCAGAAATAAAAGTTTTTCCTAAAGTCTTAGGCAGGGTACAAGATTAAAAGGTAGCATTATGTGGTTATTATAACTTCAATGACTGAAGCAGAAGGTTAAGAACAACACTATAGAGATAGGATTTCTACTTGCAAAAGTAAAAATTTGCTTAATTCAAATGTATTCATTCAATTCAAGCACTTTTGTTTTCTTTTGTTTCTAATGATAAACAAGTTGATAAAAAAGCATTACATTCCTTATTTTTTGACATATAACATAGGCCAAATTATGTATTGACTAATATTCAAAAGGTTATTCTAGATTGCATTGGTACTATGTAGATAAAAAAAAGTATGTAAAACAGCAAAGTACATTATTGCTGTAATGAAGTATCTAATAAAGGAACCACCTTTTCTTGATTTTAGATAAAGATCTATGAGTGTGAGACATGTCTAATTTCACATGTGTTTCTTTCTAAATTAACTAGAAAAGAATTAAAGAGTGAGTATCTTTCTTGCCAAAAATCATCCATTAAGTGGAAGAGCATTTATGGTATTCCATGATTCTACTTGTTTTGGGATCGACAAAGTTTTTGTGTCACTATATTTTTTTCTTTTTACATTTTACTAGATTTTTCAGCCAGTATGGTGTACTGTATGTGTAAAAACACCTTCTTTCTCTATTTTCTATTAGAGTCATGCAGAATGTTAAAACATACATACCTCCCACTAACCTCACAAAGCATCTAGATAGCTGGAAGTAGGGTGCAAAATTCAGAGACAGAGTATAGCAAAGACTGCACCCAAAGAAGAGAAGGAAGTTGCTGAGGCCAGAATTAATTGTAGCTGTTTTACTTCTAACCAAAGCAGGAAATGATTAAAGAAGCTAAGGGAGATGAAAGTACAAAGAGCACTCAACAAATAGCAATATGTCCCTATTATCCATAGAATTAATTGTATCTCATTTATGTACAATTAGCAATTGTAATAAGAATATTTTTAACTTTAAATACATTCTGTTTACTTGTCTTTTAACATTGAATTCTATTTCAGAATTCTACTTATATATTATTTGTATTGTTTTATTTGAATTACCACCAACCAAAATGTTTTTATAAAGATGAAAGTCTACAAAACATAAAGGGTAAAAGTAAAGGGCATACCCCGATTTTGAAATATTCACATTTATTAAAGATAAAGAAACTGAATTTAAAACTAACCTTTAAACATTCTTTCTCCAGACCAAAAAAAAAGTAAAACAAGAAAAATTGTAAGTTTCTTACTACCAGTACAAAGTTTTCTTGACCCTGAGTTAAAAAAAAAATTAAGTAAACAGTAATCAAGATAAGGAATTAGTGCCATGAGGGCAGTTTTTAGGACATGCAGAGACATTCATTCCACAGAGGGCTGTTGTTGTCTTTTATCACTTTTAGATACACACTGTGATGATGTGGTTCAGACATACAGCTTTGTGATGCTAAAGTATAGAAAATACTGAGAAAGAATAACTCTCTTAGGCTTCCTTTTTCATAAATGCTTTGTCTCAGCTAAGACTTAACAATATTGATTTTTCTCATTACAAAATTAATACTTGGGACTTCCAATTCAATATGGTTGATTGGACACTGTTTCTTAAAATTTATTACCTTCCAAAAGTCTAAACTAATAAAAATCTTAAAAATATTAAGGAGGTGCTCAGGGAAAAGACAATAGCAAATGAGAGTGGTCAACAAATTTTTGGAACATAAAAGTAAATATAAGGGTGCTAACTGGCTAAGTAGATAAGAGAATGCTGAAACCTATGTGTATACAGAGAAGAGAGTGGAGAGAAACAAGCCCATTCTCCCTGTAGGATGTTGAAAAATATCAAGTATAACGAAACCCAAGGGCTATAATGGTTTGTAGCCTGAGAACTGGCTGAGAGTTTATATAAGAAGCAGTTGGACTCTTGGGTAGGTCCTAATCACTTTGCACGTATCCAGTCTCCCAAGCATTAATCTCCACCCAGACAGTCAGCCCACCGTTATCCCCCATTCTCCCCAGACATGGAACCAGAGAGTTTCAGGGCCAAGAGAAAAAGTAGTCAGAGTGAGGGGGGCTGATAAAGAAAACAAAGAAACAAAAAAAAAACCAGATGGGCGAATCAATCTTTGAAGTTCTCCAAACAACATTCAGACTCTTGACCTGCTTACCCCAGAGCAGGGGTTCTTGAGGGAGTGGTTGGAAATGGTAGGGTGCCATGATGTTTGGGGGAGCACTGCTGCATTAAATAGGTAAGAGTCTCTGATGCCAGACATTCTCTCATGTACAAAACTCCCTCACAATGAAGAGTTTTTCCACAATGAAGAGTTATTCCATCCCTAAAGACTTTCTGATAGCAAAGTAGACAATAATATAGAAAAAAGAAAAAATAAGTTATATGAATCTAAGAGCGAACTGCATTTTACATATAAACATACAGATTTTGACATATAAAATATATATTTTGACATATCCTTAACATAGACTACATTTTTTAAGATTGCAATTTTTAAATTGAAGCAAGATTGTATATTGTTTGGTTTCGAGTTTAACCAAGAGTTTTTCGCCATTTCATAAAATCACATCACATGAACAATGCTACATTGCCTCTCCTGGGTATATACCCAAATGAAATGAAATCACCACTTTGTAAAGATATTTGCGCTTCCATGTTTATTGCATTATTATTCACAATAGCCAAGCTATGAAAACAACCTAGGTTGTTTTTATTTAACATAATGAATATCAATAGGCAAATGAATAAAGAAACTGTGGTGTTTATTCATATAGTGAAATATTATTCAGCCTTTAAAAAAGAGGTGATCCTGCCATTTATCACAACAAGATTGACAATTTATGCTAAATAAAATAAACCAGACCTGGAAAGAAAAATACTGCATGATCTCATTTATGTGTGGAACCGAAACAAACAAATAAAAAAAGGTCAAGTATACAGAGATAGAGAATAAAACAGTGGTTAGTAGGGTCAAAGACGGCGGGCAGGAAATAGGAAGATGTAGGTCAAAGGATGTAAAGTAAGTAGCAAATATGCAGGATGAACAAGTCTAGAGATCCAATGTACAACATGATAGAATGTAGGTAATAAAATTGTAGTGTATATGGGATTCATACTAAATGAGTAGATTTTAGCTGCTTTTGCCAGAAAAAAAAAAAAGAAATGGCTAACTATGCGAGATAATTGATATGTTAAATTGTTTCACTATAGGAATCATTTTGCCATCTGTATGTATCCCATAACATCATATTGAACACCATAAATATACACAGTAAGATTTATTTTTAAAAAACAGCAATGCTAATCAAGATATTTAAGATGTCATTATTAACCATCAGCACACCTATATCAGCCTATATTTATAGCTGCCACCCGCACAGAGATTCTGCATGCATATGCAAGCATCTATTTCATTATAGCCACAGTAAAGCATAAAGTAGTTATGCCTGATGATTTACAAATTGAAATCATATTATTTTATTATAAGTCACTTTTTGCTTATTTCCTTTTTACATTACAACTGTGGCATGATATTGTTGTTGGTGAAATTATATGTGTTGGTATGTTAAGAGTATGCTATGATTAACATCTCAGGGTAATAAATACAGATTTATAAAATATTGGCCTTTTTTTAAAAAAAAATTGAGCATTATGTTTAAATGGGATTGAGAACCACTGCCCCAGAATGAACTCACTCCTTGAAAATTCTTTCTCTAAACACAGTGTTCAATTACTATTTTATTCTAAAATGTGGGCTGTCAGGCAACTGCTATCAAATTTGAGAAGTCTCTAATGAAAAAGAGAGACCGAAACAAAACCAACAAAAGCCTTTAAAAAAATAGTGGAGAGAAAAATAAAACAAAAGAAAATGAAGACTAGATAACTTTTTTAGAAGGGCATGTGTCCACGCACATGTGATCGTACAAACAGGTTCAGATCCTAAACTGTGTGGTCTGGAGATCCTAGGGAGTCCCTGAGGCCTTTTCAGGGAGCCTGCAAGGTCAAAACTATTTTCATAATAATACTAAGATATTCTTTTCTTATTCACTCTCATACTCTCCTGGGTGTACAGAGGAGTTTTTCAGAGGCAACACAATATGTGATAACACAACAAATTGAATACAGAAGTAGCTATGAGAATCCAGCCCTTTTCTGTTAAGCCAGATATTCAAGAGATTTGCAAAAATATATATATTCAAAAAGCTACTCTTCTCATGATATTCTTTTTGTATTAGAAAATATAGTTAGATTATAGAAGTAATATTTATGTTAGCATGTAATGGGTTTGTTATGTTTAAATGAATAACTATTTTACATACTGCTCAGCTTTAATTTCTAATATATTAAATATAAATATATATAACCTACATAAATAAAAGCTCTTTGAAATCCTTAAGAATTTTTGGTATTTGGGTTCTTAAGACCAAAATATTTGAGGACCATTGATATATAGCATATAAAGTATATATCATTCATATGTATCTATACCCATAATATATGTATAGATTTGTGTACATATATACAATGCATACACACATATCTATTTACAATTTTAAAAAAAGTTATTTCAAACATGAAATAAAAACAGAATATCATAATAGAGAAACAACCAGAGATAAATATGTATATTTCTTGTATATTCAAGATAAAGTAACTAAAAAAAATTCTTTTTAAAAAGTGAGAGTTGAAAACCATGATTAAACTTCTCATAATAAATAGAAAAGATGAAGTGATGGAATACATGAGGGGTGAGATAAGGAAATTAGAGAATAAGTCCAGAGGTTCCAAGTATCCAGTAATGAAAATTTCAGAAAGAAAATGCAGACCAAGAATTCAAAGATCCATACGTAAGATTCAAATAACCAAAGGACACAAGTAGCCAGATCAAGTGCCAAACACAATAAATGAAAAAATATCACCCATATGCATTATCATTCAGGCTCACACATTGAGAATAAAAAGATCCTAAATCTTCCAGAAGGAAAAAATGTGAAAGATCAGAAATAAAAGTGGCAATATTTGAAACTAGAACAAAATGGAGAAATAGCATAACCTTTGGATTGAATATGGTTTCATGCTGGAATTGTGTATTCAAACTGTCAATCAACTGTTTAGATAAAATAATGACATTTTTACACAGGCAGTATTACCAAAATTTCACCTTGTGTACCTATTTCTAAGTAATATTCTGGAGGAACAGGTAGCAAACCCAGAAACAGGAAGGTAATGAATTTAGAAAATCAAGGAATCACCTCAGGAGTGGCACACACTTCCAGGGTCTGCAGCAGGCTGGGCAGAAACCTGGTCAGAGAAACCAGGACATGGAGCTCCAGGAAACTGCCTCAAGGAAAAGTAATTCAACCTGTGAACTTTCTGTAACCAGGTGCAAAATCGTACTGAGAAGATATTTGCAGGGTGGGAAGAATATTGTCTTCTATAGAAAATTAAACACATTTAGAAATGAGAAAATAATTAGCCAAAGAAGGAAAGGTTGAAATGAAAGAGAAAGCAATCATAATACAGCACTCTCAACTTATGGGGACTGTAATTTAACAAAAAAGGAGTATACCCTTTCAAGTCTATTTCAGCCAAAGTCTTGTAAACTTTCTGGACAATAGAAATGCGGACAAGGTCTATAGACAGAAATAAGAGCAGCTAACGTGAATGCCTGGAGACCTAGATTCAAACATGTACCAATCTGTGTGTATGAATTTCAGAATATTTTAAGTGAAAGTAGCAAGGTATAATTTCATATTTATGAAATTAAAATAAAATTTTACATACTCTTTTATAGTATAATAATGATGATACTTCATACTTTTAATCAGACAATCTGAAGCACTTTATAAACATTAGCAAATTAAGTCTCACAATACCCCATGCAGTAGTTAAGAATAATCATTCATTATATACTCAATAGTTAAAATGAGACATCAAGAGATTAAGTGATTTATTTCAAGATCATACATTCCCTGAGTTCTAGAGAGAATATTCAGCTACAATTTTCCCTCTTTTGCTATAGCTCTTAATATTCTCTTGCCATTTGTATCATTATAGAGAATATGCTGTGCTCTCTATTTAGTGTAATTATCTAGGTGCAAGGTCACCTGCTCATCTTATTGCTTTATTTGTGAAGTTTCCATATCTCCCCATTGGTAGGATACAAATTAAACACACTTCTTACCAATTTCTCCTCTAGAGTAGTTTTCAGTGTATTTCTTAATATAAGTTTTTCCCACATAAGCATATTACCAGGATAGAAATCTATATTTAACAATTTCTGCTTTGGAAAATCCATTCAACATTTATTAACCAAATATTTATTAAGTGATTTTCTATGCCAAGCCCAGCAGACTGGATTCTTACCATCACAGGTCTTAGTGTCTACTAGGAAAGAAAGAATATTTTTAAAAGCAATTATAGTCAAGTCAGCCAAGAGCTACGAAGAGGTAGTATAATACCAAACAACTAGGAACACTGTACCTAGATTAGAAGTTACTTCAGAATAGTCTTCCTAAAGCAAATGACTTCAAAGCTGAGGTCTGAAAGATGAATAAAAATTAGCCAAGCCAAAGCAGACAAGAGAGCTCCAGTTAGAAGGGAATACTCACGTAGCAGCCCAGAGATGAAACAGCCTGCTGTGTTCAAGAAGTTGAAAGATACTCAGAGCAACTGGAAACAGAATGAACATGAGAAGTGGGTGGAAACAAGGCTGTAGAAATGGAGATAACAGCATGTTAAGACATGTTAAGGAATTTAGATTTTTCTAAAAGCAATGGGCACCTCTGAATGATTTTAGGCAAGAGGTCATGTTTGTGTTATGAAGTACCATTCTGGCTGCTGTGTGGGTACAATGGGTTAGAAATGTGCATACTGGTGGCAATTAAGCGCCCCCACTGTGCTCTGGGCTAGAAATAATGGCAGCCTTTACTTCTGTGAAAGAGAGTAAAATGACAGTGGAGAAAAAGAAAATATATTCAAGAGATATAAAGAAATTGAATCAAGAGTGATTGATTAAATATGAGAATAAAAGAGAAAAGAGAGGCTCAGAAAACTTTCAATTATTCCCAACAGAATAAAAGACTACAGAAGAAAAGAGAAGCTTCTATCTTTGACTATGAAACAAAAGTTAGTTCTGTGAAGTTCAGAAAACAGGAAGAAATTGAAATGCTACATAAAAACACTAAAGATGAAAGAGGGGTATTGGAGTTAAATATTTAAGGATTTGACATTGTTTGTGGGGAGAATAGAATGGGAATGAATGATTTTGGACTTAAATATACATGTTAAAATGTAAGGAGAAGCATTAAAATAATTGAAACATAATGATTAACTTTCAAACCACAACTGATAAATATGTAATCAAAATTGTTAATTTTTCTTACACCGTAATCAATGAATAGAGACTATACAATTTTTTTCAAGTCTACTTAGGACATTCATAAAAATTGGCCATCTGCTATGTAAACTCAACAGGATACTCACAATGAATTCAAAGAGAGAGCAGAGTAAGCTCAACGTTGAAGAAAGAGAGCATAACATTTCAGATAAAAAAATTCAAAAAGTAAAAAATGCCAAATAAAAACCAACAAAATAATTATTAAAACTAAAGATGTTTCTTTGAATGTTAGTAAAATATGTATTTTTAAAAATGCTAGTAAAACTGATTCAGAAAAAGGGAGAAAAGTCGCATTAACGATAATTGTGTATATACCTCTATACTTCGCTTTGCTTTAAGAAAGATGAAGTCCTTTGGAATTCTTTTGTGATGTGGCTTTGAAGTTGTTTTGTATAGTTTTGGCTGTCCTCAGACAAGGTTAAGGAGAGTGTCTCTGTAGTGTTTATATTCTTATCACAGGAAGCAAAATATTGGTTCACCTTACCTCTCAATCCACAACCCATCGTTCAACAGATACAGGAAATAATCAGGTTTATATGGTAGAAATACAAATGAACTATACTACCACTGTCTGGGTCACCAGGAAGAAATGAATGTCTTTAAAAAAAAAAAAAAAACTGACACAAAGGGTTAAGAAACCTGAGCAGTATCCCAGATTATAAAGGCGTGCCACAACATACGAGAGTGTTCTGATTACATTACCCTTTCTTGCACAAACCTCAATTCCTTCCCTTCTCATGAAACACTGCATAGAGGAAAGAGTATCATTGTTCAGACACCCACATGAACTGCTTTAGTTTCTCTCACCTTTTCCAAAGTTACAGGCAAAAACCCATAGTACTTCTATAGTACTATAGTACATTGCGTTTTTTTGTTGTTATCTTCCCAACTTTCTATTTTTCTACTTCTAAGAATTTGTAACACAGATGCTGAGAAAGAAGGATAAAACTCAACCGGGATATGTGAGGTGATATTAGAGCAGGGGTCAGCAACGTTTTCTGGAAAAAAAACTCGTTTGTAAATACCTTAGTCTTTGCATGTCACATAGCCTTTATTGTAACTACTCAACTCTGCCACTGTAGTGCAAAAGCAGCTTTGGACAATATGTAAACAAATTGGTGTGGCTGTGTTCCAATAAAATTTTATTTACGAAAACAGGTGGTGGGACAGATTTGGCCCAGAGGCCCTAGTTTGCCCGCTCCTGTATTAGAGGCGTCTCAAAAGTCCTCTGGTTTTTAGAAAACAAAAATACCTTTTTCTTCTGAATTTCTGAGATCAACATTTCCTTTATCAAAGACAAAAGTTTTATTTCAAAACCGTGGATAATATTTGAATTGCTAACACTCACAGTAAGGTATGTGTGACTAATAGCCAAATTTTTCCTGAAAGAAGGCTTCTGTATTCAAGAGGACTGTACCCTTAAGCTGGGAGAAGGGACTGCTAAATGGTGCAGCACCACTCAGATAGGGGAGGTTCAAGAGCCCTGAAGTCCAAGTAGTGAATACTTAGACCAAAACTCATGTAAGTGATGCATGATGGACAAAGGATCTTATCAAAATAAGATCTAAGGGCCAAGTAATTTCTAATTGCAACCTCCTATCTTTTCAGCTTACTCTCATGAGTAACCACTTCTTAGGAACCTTCCTAAGAAGTGAGGAAGCCTCACTGAGATGTTCAGCTGGTGGAACACAAGTTTTCACTGCATATTACCCTGTCTGCTCCTCACTTCCCTGCTATCTGTTTAAATAACTTGGTTTAACATAATCATCATTACTTTGCATATAACTTTCTCTCCCTTGCCTCCTTCTCTTTACATGTGTTCAACTGGCTAATCCGCTGAGTTAAATCTAACTCCTAACCTATTCTGTGTCTTTATCTAAGCTCCCAATTCTAACGAATCTCACTTTAAATTTTCAACTGCAAACTTTGAATGGGTTCCCTATCCTGCCCAGTATTCTCCATATTCTTCAGTCAGCTTTTTCTCCTTTCTCTGAGATGCGTTTTTCTTTGTATTTACACCTCTAACACCCTGTATTAGTTTTTCTATGGTTATGTAACAAATTACCACAACCCTAGAGGCTTAAAACAACACATGTTTATTATCTCACAGTTTTTGTAGTCAAAAATTCAGGTATGGCCTGGCTGAATTCTCTGGTCAGGATCTTACTGAACTGATATGAGGGTGTTGGCCAGGGCTGCGGTTCTCATCTGAAACTGAGGGCATCTTTCAAGGTCACTGGTGTTGGCAGAATTCATTTCCTTGCAGATGTAGGATGGAGGTCCACATTTCAGCGCTGTCTCTTGGCCAGGGACCACTTTCAGCTCCTAGAGGCCATACACAGTGCCTTACCATGTGGCCACCATAGGCAGCTCATGACATGAATGTTTATTTTCTTAGAGATCAGCTAAAATACATCACTCTAATTTTCTCTTCTGTGACAAAATGGGGAGGAAAAAAAATTCTGCTTGTAAAGAGCTAACTACATTAGGTCAAGGTCCACTCCAGACAATCTCCTTTTTGCCCTGTAACAACAGAGTGACAGGAGTGGTATCTCCTCATATTACTGGTTCCACCCATGCTCAAAGAGGAGAGTATTATGCAAGGGTAAGCGTCACTGGGTATCATCTTAGAATTCTGTCTACCGCATACCTCTTCCTCACTCTTAGCTGATGATTTTACTCCTTAATTCTTTAATTAAAAAAATAAGCACTATGAAGGAAGGAAACTTTATTGTTTTACTAGCGAGTCTACCAACGTACCTTCATTTAACCCCCTCTGTACTTTGCCTTCAGACCTGTAGCTATGGCTGAATTGCTCATTAAGCCCATCTCCTGTTTATTGGATCTTATTCCAGTTTACCTACTCAAAATTTCAGTTATTCTATAATAATTGTCTCTGTTTTCTTCTGTGTCATCTCTTTTATTCCCTCCTTGAATTAAATGATTTCTATCTACATATAAACAGTCAATAATAGAACCATCTAAAACAAAATAGAACCATCTAAAACAAAACTCTTTTTGTGGATTCACATCCCCTTCCAAGCATGAGCCCATTTCTCCACTGCCCATTAGAGCAAAAATCACTATTCTTAATTATCTTAACTTACTCACCTACCCTTTTCTCTACAGTTTACTTGAATTAGGTTCTTTCAACACTTTTAATGAAGGCAATAACAAAATCCATTTGCCAAATAATCCATCCTCAGCATTCATCTTACATGAACTCAGTAGAATTTGTCACAGTGGATCACTTCCTTCTTCTTGAAACATTTTCACCTCCTGGGTTTCTGAACCCTATTTGTCTTGGCTTTCCTCAATGTGGTTTCTTCAGTATCCTTTGTGAATCTTCCTTCTTGTCCAGATCTCTAAATACTACAGTACTCCTCATGTATCAGTTATATGTTGCTACAATAATGCTCATTGAATACCATTCTAAAACTCAGACTCAATAATCAATAAACAGTTATATCTCACTTACCTGTAGGGTTTAGTTGATCTCTAAGACTGCACTCAGCTGGGCTCACTCATGCACCTGTGGGTTGACCTTGTATCTACCTTCCCCCTTCTGGGATCAGAGGGGCTAGCCCAGGCATATCTTCTCATGGTAAGGGCAGAGTATAAGGAGCATGAGCAGAAATGTACAACCCTCTGCTTGCATAACTTGGCAATGTCAAAGCAAGTTGCAACTCTAAGCTCAGAGTTAGGATGGAAGGGTCCCACAAAATACATGGTGAAGATTGTGTATAGGAGAAGGGATGATGATCTGAGATCTTTAATGCAACCAATCAGTTACAGTGAGGCTCACTCTTTGTGTCTCTTTTTCTTCTTTGCCTATACTAACCATTTAGGTGATTTCATCTAATCCCATTCCCTTAAGTATCAACTCAACTGTTGACTTCCAATATAAATTTAAATCTCCATCTCTGAGCTCTACTCTCAACTCCAGACTAACTTATCTAATATTTACTTGACAGCTCACTCCAATTGCACATCTGTCTAATAGATACCTATATCTAAAATGTATGTCCAAAACAAACACTTGATTTTTCTTCCTTAACTTGCCCCTACTTCATTGTTCTCCATCTGTATTTGTAATATCATCTTTAACTACTTGCTCAGGCTAAAAAATGTGGAGTTATTCCTGACTTCTCCCTCTAATGTATTTACAAGCAATCTACGAACAAACCTTTTGGCTCTGCTTTCAAAATGTATCCCTTATCTGATTATTTCTTACCAGCTCCACTGCAACCACATATCCCAAGCCCCTTCTTGTCTCATCTAATGACAGTCATGCCTATCCAAGCTGCTTCCACTCTTGTCCCACTACAGATTTTCTTCCACATATAAATCAATATGTTTTTGAAACACAAAATATATACAACCTCAAGTGGTAACCTTTCATTCACACCCAGAATAAATGGCAAAGTCCAGAAAGGCCTAGAAAAACCCTTTGCAATCTGGGCTTGGCCTAACTTTCCAAAATTATATCTGATCCTTCTTTCTCTTACTAATTCCATTTTATCTACAATAATATCCTTATTTCTTTTCTAAATCAGTAAAAATATACTTGAACCTTATCGTCTTTGATTAGAACTCTTCTTTGAGATAAACACATGAGCTCTTCCCTGCCTTCACTGATATTTCTATTTAAATGCCATCTCCACAGACAGATCTTTCCTGTCTATGCCATCCTAACTAGAAATGCCTTTATTCTCCATTCTTTTATTTTGCTTTGTATTTATCTATAGATCTATAGTGAGGTAATGTAGGTACTACTACCTCATAGAATGCTGCTTATTTGTATATTTAATGTCTATGTCCTATAATAGAATGAAGGCCTCATAATAGCAGCCACTTCTGTTTTATTCACTGCTATATTCCCTACAAACAGAACAGTCTTTGATACCTGAAGAGTACTCAAAAAATATTTATTGAATTTTGAATGCTAAATAATTTAGATAACATCGAACTAATGATCCTTTTCAATCTGCAGGGCATCTCTACAACCTTTCTAAACCCTCTTATTTACACTATTGATCATGTTGGTTGTAACAATAATATGTAATTATTAAAGATTAATTACAAACCATAATTAAGGGATAATGCACTTATAAACATTCTACTATAAAGACATTTCTATATATTTCTAATGAAATTGCTGGGTTATAAGACGTGTGCATTCTCAGTTTTAGGACAATGCAAATTGCTTTCCAAGTGATCAACAAAGGAGTAGATACATGAAGTTTATCCATGCACAGGAACGTTGTTCAGTGTGAGAGTATATGCATTAATGCTATCTGCAGCAACGTAGATGAGTCTTGGAAAAGTTATGTTAGGTGAAATAAAGCAATCTTCTAAAGGCTATCTATAGCCAGTATTCATTATAATATGTTAATTTAGTTAACAAAACTAAGTAATCTCTTTCAGTGGTACACACATGTGTGATAAAGAATGATAAATATAAAATCCAGGGTAGTGTCTAACTAGTTGAGCTGGGGTAGAAAGCAGGGCAATGGGATGAGTGATGTACAGATAACTTCAATGCTATCAGCCATGTTTAGCTCCTAAGCTTTGTGGTGGATTAATGAGGGATTATTTTCTGCTTTATCACATATATATGTTAATCCTACTCTTTTACATATAGCAAGTATAGCATAATAGGTTAAAAATATATAACTTATCATCATTGAGTATAGAATTGTGCTAACCTGTCCACATTTAGTTTGTTATCAGCTTTTACAACCAATTAATGAATTTAAAAAAAATTAAAAAAGGAAAAAATCAAAGTGAAGGCAGAAGAACCAGATGTGAGAAGACCTACTCAATCATGCTTCACTTTTCCAAACCAAACTTCCATAGAAAAAATTTTGATATTAGGTGCAATGCCATCACAGGGCACAAAACAGGAAGATTTATTTGTAGGATTGTAAAATATGAGCCATATATATAAGAATGAAAGCTTCAGAAAAGTCATTGAACAATAAACTGTTCATATTCTCATCTCTTCTTCTTGTTCAAAGCTAAAAGATAGATACTATGTTTTGAAATATTTGCCATATATGGCCAGTAGCTGATATTATGTCTTCTGAAGCCATCAGAAAGCAGGGCAGGTTTTTATACAATTCATGTATACATGGAAGAATGAGTTCTCTGGTATCTTTAGCTCTCTTCTGGTCAAAAAAGTTCTGTGATTTGGAAAGTCCCAGGGCCACAGCAGCTTAAAATTAACCTGGTTTTGGGTTTGTGGGTGCTGACCAGCACCGAAAGTGCTGAAATGATAGAGAAAGCCTGATTTGACTACATTTCTTCAGCATTGTGGAGGAAAGGTCCTTGACAGTCCATGAAAAGACTTTCTATTATTATTATTTTATTACTATTCTTAGTCTCATTTCTCAGCATCAAAAATTTAGCTTAAGAAAGTCTTCAGATCTTGTAGAATGGCACCTGATTTGCATCTCGATTCAGTGCCACCAGCGCACGCTACGTTTCAGCACCGTCAGGCTCAGAAGCGGCTCTGCTATCTAAGCCATTTTTACATGTCCCTTGGCAGTGATTACGGAACCACACATACAGTACAGTGTAAATTAAACTAAGTGAAAAATTAACTTCCTGAAGAAAAACCACATGCTGTCCTCCTCCAAAATATGTGTTCGCCCTGACCTTTTGGAGGCATCAAGACGTCCCAGCCCTTTAACTTCATGAAAATCTCTTCAGATAGCTTACTCCGAGGGCAGATTTATGTCTGGAAAATTTGGAGTTGCTTACCAAAAGGATGAGAGTCATTTATTTTCCTGTTACTGGTCTGCCACATGAATGAGATAACATCAGCTAAAATATTCAGCAGAAGCTATTCCTGGTTTTTTCCCTTTCCCTCTTTGAGACCAGTTACCTATTTAACTCCATCCTGTCAATTAAACCAGAGAAAAAACGCAAAGAACTAATTAGGGAACTGTGTAATTTTAATTAGCTGTTTTGATAATTAAACTAATTAGTTCCCCTGTGTTTCCACAATATGTGGTGGACTGGTTTTGATATCACAGCTTCAGAGTTCCATTCCATTAGTTAATTAGTCACTTTTGCATTAGAAAGCTTTATTAATGGCCTTAATTTGCAGTTGAAATGAGAAATCTGCTGTCAATAATTTGGATAATTGCCTACTGTTTGATTATAAAGTACAAAAGTAGCAGCACACCATTACATATGCAAATCCCAAGGGTTATTTCCTGGATGCTTAGCTTTCTTGATCTACATTTCATCCTCTCTCGCTTTCTGTTTTTTCTTGACCCTGTTAGGGGGAAGAGAATCCAGCTTATTAAGAAAATGAAGGCCTGTTTTTTTCTTCCCCTTGTCCTGTACTGCATGTATGCTTGTGCCTGCAATTGTTAAAGTTATTGCTTGCTTTGTACCTAATTAGTGTCCTTGGAATTAAATGAACAGCTCTGTATACACCTCTAGCTCCTGCAGCCATGTTTGTGCATTGAATAATTGATTCTACTCTGCTAATCAGATAGGGACATAATGAGCCAGTTTAATTAAATGGGGATCTAACCTGGTGAACACTGGGAAAATATTTGCTCATTTACTTAGTAAAAGGCCACAGTTGCTTTTCATTGGATAGAAAGGAAGGTTATGGAAAGTAAAGTAGGCTCTCCAAGCAGAAACAGTTCACTGGTTGTCTACCACTACTTGAATAGCAAAAAGCTTTAGTTAGTTTGGGAGTGGGGGTGGGAAGAGTTTAATCAAAGGGCCAGAAGACGCTGAAACTGCTGACAGGTTCCCCATCTTCTCCCAAAGGTGTCAGCATCACTGCTCTGCTATCCTTTAAGAGGCAGATTTCCTGGTCGTACATGGTCTTTAGTGATTTGCAGGAAGAATTTCAACTCACTTCACTGCCAGTTGGTGCCCGTGTAACTGCATAAAGGTAAGATACAGTTGTAGTTTATCTTCTTGGCAAGTGACGGGACTTACTTGTTTGTTCTCCAAGGATCATGTGGACTTATGTTGAGGATTACTGCTAGAAACTAGAAACCAAATATCTAACTTGTGCAACCTTATTCCTGTGCTGTGAAAATAGACCAAGGCATGGGAGGAGTTATACAAATGTAAAGTTCTCTGAATTTTAAAAAGCTAACTTAGGACTTCAGGAATAACAGCTGATCATTTTCAAACTGCAAACTGACTGGAGGAATAATTGTGCTTTCACACAGGTGAAATCTTTGAAATGGGAAGATGATTATGTCTTTAAATGTAAAAGATTACCCACATCTTCAATGACAGCTTAAGTGAAACACACCGCATTCAATATAATCTGGAAAACCCAGCTCTAGTTCACTGCAGATGCGTACCATCTCCTGTAATTCTAATTGCACATCAGACTAAGTTTACCTGCAGGGATCAAGAAGTATGGCAAGGCCAATATAGCAACAACATGGTGCTCATCTGCTCTGGTGTACTAGGATGAAATAGCGTATTGACCCTGAATCTATACTCTGAGTAAAAGCAATTGTCATTCTGCCACTGTAACACCTTGTTGCCAGTGGCGATGTAATTAAAGCTGTGAGGACTCATTTTCCATTCTTATCTCTTAAGCTTCTCTGAATCAGAAACTGTTTGTCTGTGGTAACTGAGAAAACCTACTACAAGGCTACATGTTTATGTATGAATTTTTGGTAGCTTTTCCTTTTTTAGGGGCTGAAGTTATATGCATAATTACCTACATTCATCCAAATAATGTGTATATACAAATGTTGATGTGTATGTGTCTATACGCATATGCATGTGTATACTGTGTGTATATTTATATTTATGCACACAACCTCACAGATACAGATATATATATAAATACACACACACACACGCACAGAGTCTAAATTTTACTCACCCCCTTTTCTCCTCTATTAAAATTCCAAATGGCTAAGAGGATTTTCTCAATTTAGTCATACTTTTAATCTTCACTGAAATGAGTGATGACTTCTTATAATAAAAAGTTGACAGGCTTACATTGCGCACCGGTGGATTAGTTTCCCTTGGTGATGAGGTTTTCTTTTGTGCGCCGTGTGTCTGTTTGATGGAGGTTTAACAGAAAGCATTTTGGCAGAAATTGGATGCAGCAGGGATCATCTGGAGATGGCTGCTGTTCGATATTAACTGCACACAGCAACTTTTTTCTTCTTCCCTTTTTTTTTTTTTTTATTCTTCAGCCAGGTGACAGAGAGTGCCAAAACATTTTTCCTCTTGAAAGTAAATTTTTTTTTCTTTTTAAGAATAAAGTATATGCCCATTCTGCAAACACCTCAAAAATTTAATGTGCTTAGGCCGTTGTTTAATGTAAGCATGGTAAAAAGCTTTCTCTGCAAAGAGGTATTAATGCACAATTATCTGAAAGGTGTATTTCTAATAATCAAATACCTTTGATCATTCAGAAATTAGCACATAAACAGGAGTTGGTTCAATATTAGAATTAGATGTTTTACAGCAGATACATACTTGACACTTGCCTAAATTCAAAGAAAGAGGCTCGTGGGCCATGATTTGCATTATTTACTCGCCATCTTCACCCTCTTCTTGTAATTCCATTTTATTACTCATTGGAAGCCTTAAAAGTCTCATAATAGAGACTTGCCAGATGTCAAATGTGGTGGAACATGCTCCAAGCATATGTATATATTTCTACTTGTGAATATATGCACACAGAGCAAATAAATAACTGAAAAGACACATCTCATTCCACAGGAAAGCTCTGGCCAGGTGGGTGGGAGCTAATAACATTCACTAGCCCCTAAGCACTACATCCAATGATTCAATGCATGTTGATCTCTATCTGATATGAATGCACTAAACCTGCAATCTAGTATGCAGAACAAATGAATATTTCCTTTAATAAAGGGATATATCTGTGTGTATGTACATTTCATACATATTATGCTGTTCTGCCTAATAACAAATATTTATTGCTAAAAGAGTAATCTTACTTGGAAAATGTGAAATTTTAATTATTGCTTTAACTTTCCAATAATAAAGAAAACCTTAAGTCTGTTCATAGTGTTAAGTTCTTGGATCCTGGCAAAATGCTTATGATAAAGATAGGACAAGCCTAATCTGTACTTACCTCTGCTTCAGACAGCAGCAGTGACAATCCTGCCTGGCTTGTCAAGTTTCAAGAACTTGCAATCCTTAATTTAAACACTTGAGAGATCTATGGAGCCTGTCAGTCTGGTTAATTAAGCTCTGTCTTCTTTCACCCCTCCTCTCGACCAAAACAAAATCTGGCTTTAAAAAAAAAAATGCCACTTAAGACTTTATCTACTGATTAAGCAGATTCTAGTTTAAGTAGTATGATCTTAGAAGACTTAAGTGGAACAGTTTTTATTATTAAAGAGAACATACTTCCAAATCTTCACTGGGAAGTATATATAGGTCGGCTACAGTGTACTCCACTTTTTCTTTTTCAGAACTAATTTTTAAAAACTTTGGATAACCCAGAGCAAGAAATAATGCAAAAATGATGTTTGTATTAGAATATATGTCAGTGCTTAATTTTTTAACATGAGTGTATTTCATTTAAGAATATGTAGCATTTCAAAGTCGGTATTATTAGTTCTTTCTCCAGAAGAACTGGGTTTGTGACAGTCTTTAGTATGAGAATTTGTGAATGAGGAACTTAGTATCCTATGGGAGAAATGGAGTTGGGAGATTAAGGATCTCAAGTATCTCTGTGAAAATCTATAAATGTTTAAAACATAAAATTCACTAATATAGCACAGTAAAGAAAGCACACTGAGTAAAGAGCCTACTAGTTGCCAAATACCAACTTATGTATCTTCAATTAATGTTAATGAATATTGTATAATCAATTTCAATTTACCTTTCCTAGATGGCCAAATTTGTTTCAGGATCTCACTGTCTGTGTTTCAACAATATATTCAGAAATTCGTGTGGTTTGTTACGGATAATATTTATAACAGCAGATGTTTTTCCCCATTTTTTCTTCATCAAATATTTAATGGCTACCTGATTTTAGAAATTGAAGGTCATACTCTCTGTGTCTTATTGTTGTCCCAGAGGCAAAGCGGCAGACTTTGCTGTTTCAGATGCCTCAGTTTTCTGTTTCCTTCCCCTAGAACACAAAATGATTGCCCTAGATAAGCTACTGTAGGCCAACCTCTCAGCTTCTCCTACCTAAATTATATGGGAATGTATGTGTATCATCTCCTATGGCCACCTTTATCCCAAGGCTCCACTTCTAAATATTTGTTTTTTTCATTTTATCTTTATTCCAATCTCTCCTCATTTTCCAATTATTATCCACAGAAATTAGTCACAGTTCATAGATATAGGAATTCAAATTCTTAAGGATAGAAGAATTATATACAATACTAAGTCTTGTATACTAAACTTTCTAGCAAAGTAATCATGTGATTTGGGAGGGGTTGCTGAGCAAGAGAATTCTAATTGTTCCAAAATAACTAAGAGGAATCCTTTTTTTCTGATTTAAGCCAAGGTAAAAATAAAGTTTATTAATTAGAATTTTACAACAGAGATCCACATGGAGGTGGTTGTTTTTCCCCTTCCCCAGCAGCCCCCTCCAGTTCTCTGTGCAGAGAACCAGGAGTCATTGAACAGGCATAATAGGTGTATTTGTAACAGTTGGAAACATGCTTATGGGTAGTCTGCACAATTTAGATACTGTTACTACTCTTACACTTTCTTCAATATGTACAAAGCTATTCTCATATTCACCTTACCTGTTATCTTGCTTTCACTCATGGCAGATATTTGTAAGCTACTTACTCTTTAGAGGACAGATGTTAATGTGCAACATTAGTCAATCTTCAATTAGAAAGGATTCTACCAAACATTGCAATAGCAGTACTTAGGTAATTTCTGAGGCTAGATCCACCACAACTGAGATTGGACCAGACAAATCAATGTCTTAAGATAAGGCCACAATGAACTTTTTTCTTTCTGTATGTACATTAAAAAAGTAACCAGACTTTCACACTCTCCTCATTTTAAGTTAACAGAGAGAAAGCAAGTCAGAATTATATTAGTAGTACTTAAATTTGCAAGCTCACAGGGTCATTCCTAGGGTGTGATTTTATCCTAATGATGCAAGATGCTTACTAATGTTTCAGCATCACATATGATTTCTATGAGTAGGATGAAAGATGGGTAAATAGTGTGCAGTCGATGTCTTTTATCATTGAAAGGGCACTTCGATAACCTCCTTTGCTAGAACTTAGTCATAAGATCACAAACGTCATGGAGGTTGGGACATGTAGGCTTCATTCTGGACTGCCATTTGCCAAGCTAAAAACTGGAGTTCTTTTGCTAAAGAAGGGAGATATTGAGACTAGTAAGTAGAAATCTCTGGCAGAACTCATAATCTCTCATTCTTGATAATTTCCAAAAGAGTGAAATAAACTATTCTGCAGCTACCACATCTGCCATGTTTTGACATAGTCAACATTCAATTGGGCCTTGAATTGTGAATCTGGTTTGTAACAAATTTGCAGCAGCAATATTTTTACCACATTCTCAAACCAATGCTGAAACTTATTTCTGAATTGAATTGAATTGAATTGAACAGGTAGCAAACATTGACGCTAAAACTTTGGTCGACATCCGAAATAAATTTTTTCATTAATTAATCTTTTTTTCTAGTTTCTTTCATGATTTACCACTTGTCCTTCAGAGTCATATCTGCTATTAAATTATGTATTCCATAGCCTTGCAAAACATTTGTCTTCTCATCAATTTTATTTTCAATTATTTTAATGTTTCTCCTTTTAATAATGTGCTCTTTCAACTAATAAATTAAATAACTCACTGATTTTTCACTTATCAAATATAATACACTTCAAAACTAGGTGCAAATGAAATGAGCATATTCCTAACTAATAAATCACTCTATGACCCTGTCTATTTTATTCATAAGATAGCCATGTATGACCATTCACTCCATCTCTTAATCAATAGCTACCTTACTTTCTTTAAATCATAGCTTTATTCAAGTGAAAGAAATTTTGTAACTTGAAATTTCATAAGTAGGTAAGTTTATCTGCTTACAAAAATTAAAATGATTGTGTTTAATTGGGGATATTTTTGCCTGCATGTATTGGTAAAACCATCCAAGAAAAGATTAGGTAATAAAGCTATTTAGTTATCTCACATTGCAAGAAGCTTGGAAGAGCAATTTGGGGTGCAACTGCTTCTTGATGGCGTCAATGGCCCAGGATCTTCATGTCTTTCTGATCTGCCATCCTTAGCACATCGATCTTTCTTATATATCTTTTTGCCTAGCCTCATACCAACAATATAGTTGCTGCAGGTCAAATTAACATGCCCAAGTACAAGGCAGGGAGAAGGAGGATAGTATAGAAGCAAGATTTATCCCTTTCATTAGAAAATATTTTTAAAAACCAATCTGTTTTGTCTCATTGTCTGAAAATATGTGACATGGTTACTTCTTTTCATGTAGGCTGAGAAAACAAATATGAACATCCCTGCCTCTCTTTTGACAAAGGAGATTGAAAATGAAGCCAGCCCAGCTAATCAAAACAGTCTGCCACAGTAGAATTTAAAACAATTTCACAATTATCAGACAAGAAAACCCACAAAAGTACATTAAATAGAATCCAATATTGTAAAAAAAAAAAAAAAACAATTTCACAATTATCAGACAAGAAAACCCACAAAACTACATTAAATAGAATCCAATATTGTAAAAAAAAAAAAAAAACAATGTATCCCATCTTTACTTATTACCCTACTACTGATGATTTTGCAGTGACAGAAGCTTACATTGAGCCTTGTCTGGTCTATAAGCACTACATGAAAGTACTCATTCATAAAATATTAGTGTGCAGATACATGCAGGCAAAAATCGGGAATGGGGGAAGACTAGGGAAGATCTACAAGCTTACCAAATAAGTAATGAAATTACCTAGGTTTTTTGTTTTGTTTTGTTTTCGAGATGGAGTTTTGCTCTGTTGCCCAGGCTGGAGTACAGTGGCACAATCTCAGCTCACTGCAACCTCTGCCTCCTGAGTTCAAGCGATTCTCCTGCCTCAGCCTCTCGAGTAGCTGGGATTAGTGATGCCTGGCTAATTTTTGTATTTGTAGTAGAGACGGGGTTTCACCGTGTTAGCCAGGGTGGTCTCAATCTCCTGACTTTGTGCTCTGCCCGACTCAGCCTCCCAAAGTGCTGGGATTACAGGTGTGAGCCACCGTGCCTAGCCTTACCTAAGTTTTAAATATATGCAAAGATAGCTGAGGAAGCTTTAATATCAGGCTATCATAAAAATTAGTTAACCTCATAGTTTATTTTAATATCTTGATTGTCAGGGATGCATTCCAACTTGATGTAGAGCATATCTAAATGTGAATGTATTGAAGGTTGTAATCACCACCTACATTTTGGTGAGGATAAAGGACTACTTACTCAAGACCTATGCTTGGGCTTGGTGATTTTGTATCATATTTGTCACAATGAATATCTTATTTTATTTTTATTGTTGCAATTTCTGTATTTTTTAACTCTTATTTTAGAATCAGGGGCTACATGTGCAGGTGTGTTACCTGTGTATGTTGTGTGATGCTGTAATTTGGAGAACTAATGATCCTATCACTCAGGTACTGGGCATAGTACCAAACACTTAATTTTCAACCCTTGTCCCTCTCCCTACCTCTCCCGTCTAGTAGACCCCAGTGTCTATTGTTTCCATCTTTATGTCCATGATTACCTGATATTTGGCTCCCACTTATAAGTGAAAAACATGGAGTCGTTTGTTTTTCATTTCTGCATTAATTCACACAGTATAGTGGCCTCCAGCTGCATCCATGTTGCTGCAAATAACATGATTTTGTTTTTTTTTATGGATGTGCAGTATTCCATGGTGTATATATATGATATTTTCTTTAATCCACTGTTGATGAGCATATATGTTGATTTCATGTCTGTCATTGTGAATAGTGCTGTGACGAACATGCAAGTGTATGCATCTTTCTTGGTGGAAACATTTGTTTTCCTTTGCGTATATACACAGTAATGGGATTGCTGAGTCAAATGATAGTTCTGTTTTCAGTCGAGAAAACTCCAAACTGCTTTCCACAGTGTCTGAACTAATTTTTATTCCCACTAACAGCGTATAAGCATTTCCTTTTCTACGTAGCCTCACCAACATCTGCTTCTGTTTTTTGTTTTTTACTTTTTAATAGTAGCCATTCTGACTGTTGTGAAATGGTATCTCATTGTTTTGATTTGCATTTCTCTGATGATTAGTCATGCTTTGTGTTTTCTGCATTTTCTCATACGTTTGTTGGCTGCTTGTATGTCTTCTTTTGAAAAGTGTCTGTTCATGTCTTTTGCCCATTTTTAAATGGGGTTATTTGTAGTTTGCTTGTTCAATTGTCAAATGTCTTATAGATTCTGCATATTGGACCATTGTCAAATGCAGTTTGCAAATATTTTCTCCCATTCTGTAGGATGTCTGTTAACTCTGTTGATAGTTTCTTTTGCTGTGCTGAAGCTCTTTTGCTTAATTAGGTCTCATGTGTCAATTTTTGGTTTTGTTGCAATTGCTTCTGAGGACTTAGTCATAAATTATTTCCTATGGCCCATGCCCAGAATGGTGTTTCCTAGGTTTTCTTCCAGAATTCTTGTAGTTTGAGATCTTACATTTAAACCTTTAGTCCATCTTGAGTTCATTTTTGTGTGTGGTGAAAGGTAGGGGTCTAGTTTCATTCTTCTGCACATGGCTAACCAGCTATCCTAGCACCATTTATTGAATAGGGAGTATAAGGATTCCTTTCCCCCATTGCTTTCAGTTGCAGACTTTGTTGATAATTAGGTGGCTGTAGGTGTGTGGCGTTATTTCTGGGTTCTCTTTTCTGTATGATGAATATTTTAATAATCATCATTATTCATGTTGGCTTTTTCAGGGCAACTTTTTCATTCCCCCAAGTCATTTTGATTTGTATTTAGTGTTGTTAGAGGTCATTGTTATATGATTTTTCTTTATATTGAGATTTTTTTCACTTGCATTTGACATAAATCCCAAATTCAAAAGAACCAGTAAAATGTGTGTTTATATTAGAATAACAACATTCAACTACAAAAGCAGATTAAAAGAAACTTTCCATGAATGACATTTGAAGATTATTGTTACTTGCTAGATTCAATCAACTGCAAAATCAAAATTACTACATTGCACAGTGTAACTCTGGAATGATGCTTAGACCATGATGGAAAAATCCAGATGATGAATAGGAAAAAATTACTATGGGGATGTGTGGTGCATTTATATGTTCCTCACTTGGTGAACATTTTCAGATGAACTCATTACTACTGCTTTTACTCAAATGTATCACTTGAGATTTGAAATAATCACCAATTATATGCTTACTTCTAAAATGCTAAGAGCTCTGTAGATGAAACTTCCTATATTATTATATCAAACTAAATGTGAACTAAGTTGCACTGGACAACTTCTTATTAAATTGATGACTTTCATCAACACTTGCAGGATGCAAGTAAAGTGGAGAATTCACTGGAGGTTTTAGTATTCACTAGGGTATTATATATCACATTAAACACTAAGGAAATAAAGTTTATAAACCTTTTTGCCTTGTTTGGTGGATTTAACCCATCAGTAAAAGCATAACATCTCCTAATATATTTTTCCTAATGAGATGACTGATGATAATTATATACAAGAGTACTAGCATTCCTCTAAATAAAAATTACATTCTGTTTTTTATTGTTAACCATCCTTATGATTCTTATGCTCCATTCAAATTGGGAGACACCTGACTATATCTTCAAAGAACCCCAGGGGAAATAAGAATTATAACCTGAGTGAGAAGAATCCATAAATACAATGGACTTAGATTATGTCCATCAGGTTATACAATACCAAAAAGCAAATAATTACAGTTGACATTCAAAATATAAATAGAAGATGTTTATGTAGGTAGGTAGGAAGAGAGGAGGGAGGGAGAGAGAGGAGAAAGGAGGGAAGGAGGGAGGGATGAGGCGAGGAAGGAAGGAAGGAAAGAACGAAAGAAGGAAGGAAGGAAGGAAGGAAGGAAGGAAGGAAGGAAGGGAACAGTTCTTAAGGTGAGAACATCAAGTGACTGGAAGCCACATGGAGAGTAATAAAAGTCAGAGCATATACTAATACACAGCATCAGGAAATGGTGGGAAAATTCACTGAAAGGAAGAGCTAATACTAAGACTAGCAATAATCCTTCACTTTAGAAGGCTTACTAGAAGTGAACAATGAGAACAGTAAAGAAATACAGATTTATGTGTCCAGAAATCTTTATATGCTAAACTACTCTTTAGGCAATATAATAAAGTTGTATTTTGAAATTCTATCTTTTTCTTTCTTTTCCACATATTAATATTTTCTCATTGGATTCTGAGTAAAATAATTTTTGGACAGTCCAAACCTTAAGTGACCTGACACCTAGGCCCAGGAAAAACAAGGAGAGCAAAATACCCTAAATTTTAATGATATCATTGCCTATCTACTATTTAGGGAATTGGGAAAAATAACAAGTAGAAAGTTACAAGCCAGGAAAGAAAAGAAAGGAAAAGGTAAATTAAATACAAATGTCCAAATAAAATGCTTAGCCCAATACCCAGCACAATAATATATAAAAATTAAGAAATAGAAAACAGTAAGAATTGCTGGTGATTCCAGCAATAAGCTCTCCTCAGATTCTGATAACTTTGGAAAAGCAAAGTCCCTTAAGGAAGAACTCAGGAAATAAACATACAAAATTTTGACTTTCCAGGTGTATAAAGAACATGAAAAAGAACAATAGATCAAACTAATCTCAATAATAATGAGATAAAATTGGCATATAGTAAACTTTACCTATTTAGTGTTCAATTCTATACATTTTTAACAGATGTATATACATGAGAAACCATCATCACAGTAAAGGAACTGAGTATATCTATCATTCCTCATAATATTCCCTCCCTCCTAAGCTTTCTCATCTGCAGGCAAACGGATGAGTTTTCTGTCATGATAGATCAGTTTTGATCTTGCAGAATTTTTTATAAATGAAATTCTATGGGAGATACTGTTTTATGTTTGGCTTTTCTTCACTCAGCATAATTATTTTGAAATTTGTTCTTGTTGTTGCACGAATTTATTGCTTTTTAGCGTTAAATAGAATTTCATTTTATGAATACATCGCAAGTCATTTATCCCTTCACCTATTGATGGATAATTTGGTTGTTCCCAGTTTGGCATTGTTATAAATAAAGCTACTGTGAACATTCATGTACAAGTATTTGGACATAGGTTTTCATTTCTCATGGGCAGATATCTATGAGTGGAATGACTGGATCATATGGGTGATGTTTAACTTTCTAATAAAATATCAAACTGATTTACAAAGTGATTGTGTCATTTATATTCCCGCCAGCAATGTAAGAGAATTTCAGTTGCAACATAGCCTAACCAACCCTCAGTCTTTTTAATGTTAGCCATTTTAATGTGTCTAGTGATATCTCATTATGATTTAAATTTACATTTTCCTGAAAAGTAATGATGTTGAGAATCTTTGCATATGCTTATTTGTCATCTATATATCCTATTTGGTAAAATGCCCATTCCAACTTTCATAAATTTTGGAGTTGTTTGTATTCTTTCTGAGTTGTCAGCATTTGCTCTCTATTCCAGATACAAGTTTTACATCAGATAAATGTTTTTCAAATATTTCCTTCCAGACTCTGGCTTATATTTTCATTCTTTTAATCGTGTCTTTCAAAAAACAAAACATTTTGTTTGTGATATAGTTTAATTAATCATTGTTTAATCAATTGTGCTTCCGTTGTCATGTTTAAGAAATATTTGCTTAGGCCGGGCATGGTGGCTCACGCCTCTACTCCCAACACTTTCGGAGGCCGAGGTGGGTGGAACACAGAGTCATGAGATTGAGACCATCCTGGCTAACATGGTGAAACCCCGTCTCTACTAAAAATACAAAAATTAGCCAGGCGTGGTAGCACAAGCCTGTAGTCCCAGCTACTCGGTAGGCTGAGACAGGAGAATCGCTTGAACCTGGGAGGCAGAGGTTTCAGTGAGTCGAGGTGGCACCTCTGCACTCTAGCTTGGGCGACAGAGCGAGCGAGACTCCCTATTAAAAAAAAAGAAAGAAAGAAAAGAAAAAGAAACAAATATTTGCTTAATTCAAAGGCAAAAATTTTTCTCCTGTCTTCTAGAAACTTTAGATTTTAAATTCATACCTGTAATGCATTATGAGCTAATTTTTGTATATTGTATTAAGTATGGTTCAGGTTCATAATTTTGCATATCAATATTCCAATCCTTTTAGCACCATTTGTTGAAAAGACTCTACTCTCTTTCTGATTGCTTTTGCATCTTTGTCAAAAATGACCTCTTCTTATGTGTGCTTTATTAATGAATTTGCTATGCTGTTTTCAGTGATCCCTGTTTATTGCAGCATTACTATAACACTGTCTTGATTATGGTAGCTTTATAAGCTTGAAAATCAGATAATGTCAGCCTTCCAACTGTGATTTCCTTTTTCAAAATTATTTTGGCTATTCTAGATCTTTTGCGTTTCCATTTAAATTTTAAAATCAGCTTGTCAACTTCTACAAAAACAATTGGTCAGATTTTGATTGAGATTATGTGCAATCAATAGATCAATCTGGAGCAAATTGGAATCTTAACTATATTTTGTCTCCTGACCCATAAATATGGGATATATGTACAATTATTTAGGTCTTCTTTAATTTTCTCAGCCACATTTTATAGTTTTCAGTGTTCAGGTCTCACACATATTTTTTAGATTTACTCCTATTTCATTTTTGTAATGCTATTATAAGCGGTAATTTAAAAATGTCATTTTATGATTTTAGTTGTTGCTAGTATATAGAAACACTGCTTTTTCTTGTAAGTTGATCTTGTGCTGTGTCTGGCAATCTTGCTAAACTAACTTAATAGTTCTATTAGCATTCTGGTTGATTTCTTCAGATTTCTAAATAGACAGTCATATTGTCTATGAATAAAGATGCTGTTATCTCTTCCTTTCTAATCTGGATTCCTTTTATTTTTTGTGTGATGACTTAAAATATAGGCCAGAACTTTCCTTGCAAAATTGAATAGAAGTGGTCAGAGTGACTATCTGGGTCTTATTGTTCATCTTAGGGAAAATGCATTTAATATTTCACTATTAAGTATGATGTTAGCTGTAAGGTTTTTGTAAATGGCCTTTAACAGGTTCAGGAAGTTCCTCGTCTTCATAATTTGCTGGGAGTTTTGAACAGAAGCAAATGTTCGAGTTTACAAAATGCTTTTCCCACATCTATTCAGACGGTCATCTATGTTCTTTTTTTTTTTTCTTAGTCTACAACTTTGATGAATTACATTGATTTATAGAGATTGTTGTCACATGTTAAATCATTCCTAGAATAAAACCCATTTGGTCATGAGGTATCTATATTCTTATATAATGTTGAATTTGGTTTGCTAAAAATTTGTTTAGAATATTCACACCTGTACTCATCAATAATATTATTCTGTCCTTTTGTTTTTGAAATGTCTTTGTCAGGATAATCGTGACCTCATAGAATGAGTTCAGCATATTTCCTCTTTAATTTTTTTGGAAATTATGTGAAATTAGCATTATTTCTTCCTGAAGTTTGGGGTAAAATTCACTAGTGAATCATCTGGGTCTGGAATTTTTTGTGGCAAAATTTGTTAATATAATTTTGAACTTTAATGGATGTATGCTTATTTATTTTTTCTTAAGTGAGATTTGACAGTTTCATTCAAATAATTGTTCATTTTATCTATGTTGTGAATTTATTAGCATAAGGCTGGATGTAGTGGCTCACACCTGTAATCCTAGCATTTTGGGAGGCCAAGGCAGGTTAATCACTTGAGGCCAGGAGGTCAAGACCAGTCTGGCCAACATAGTGGAACCCTGTATGTACTGAAAATACAAAAATTAGCCAACTGTGGCGTGTGCCTGTAGTCCCAGCTACTTGGAAAGCTAAGGCGGGAGAATCGAACCCAGGAGGTGGAGGCTGTAGTAAGCCAAGACTGCACCACCGCATTGCAGCCTGGGTGACAGAGCAAGATCCTGTCTCGCAAAAAAAAAAAAAAAAAAAAAAAAAAAAAAAACATAAACTTGCTTAAAATATTCTCTTATTATTCTTTTAATTTCTGTATAATCCTGTTATTAGCAATGTCACTTCTCTAATCCCTGATAATAGTAATTTGTGTCTTCTCTTCTTATGATTAATCTGGCTACAGGTTATCAATTTTATGTATCTTCTCAAAGAACTGGCTTTTGGTTTGATTTTTTTCACTATAGCTTCTCTGTTTTTTATTTTATTGTCTTTCACTTTGATCTTTATTTTTTCTTTGTTTACTTTGTGTTTCATTTGCTTTACTTTTCTCTGGCTTCTTAAGGCAGAGGAGAGACTACTGAGTTGAGACTTCTTTAATGTAGACATTTCTAGCTGTAAATTTCCCTCTAATATTGCTTTAGAAGAATAATACAAATTTTGATGCTGTTTATATTTTCATTTCATATAAAATACTCTCTAGTTCCCACTTGATTTCTCTTCAAGGATTATTTAGAAGTATATTTAGTGGGCATTTTTAATGAATTATCTTTTTAAGAGATTTAAATTTTAAAAAGTAAAGTTTTTTATATTTATTTATGTAGTCACCATTTTTATTTTTCATTTGTGTATTTCCATTACATATTATTTTTCTTCTTCCTGATAGAAATTCTTTGACATTTATCACATTGTAGATCTGCTACTGATAAATTAATTCTGCCTTTTGATGTCTGAAAATATATTTATTTTGCATTTATTTTTGAAATATATAAAAGAATGAAAAGGAATGAACAAAGCCTCCAAGAAATATGGGACTATATGAAAAGACCAAACCTACATTTGATTGTTGTACCTGAAAGTGATGGGGAGAATGGAACCAAGTTGGAAAACACTCTTCAGGATATTATCCAGGAGAACTTCCCCAACCTAGCAAGACAGGCCAACATTCACATTCAGGAAATAAAGAGAACACCACAAATATACTTCTTTTTTTGTTTTGTTTCGTTTTCTCTGTCTTTTTTTTTTTTTTATATACTTTAAGTTTTAGGGTGCATGTCCTTTGTAGGGACATAGATGAAGCTGGAAACCATCATTCTCAGCAAACTATCGCAAGGACAAAAAACCAAACACTGCATGTTCTCACTCATAGGTGGGAATTAAACAACAAATATACTTCTTGAGAAGAGCAACCCCAAGACACATAATCATCAGATTCACCAAGGTTGAAATGAAGGAAAAACATTGTTAAGGGCAGCCAGAGAGAAAGGTCGGGTTACCCACAAAAGGTAGCCATCAGACTAACAGCAGATCTCTCTGCAGAAACCCTGTAAGCCAGAAGAGAGTAAGGGGTGGGGGGCAATATTCAACATGCTTAAAGAAAAAAATTTCAACCCAGAATTTCATATCCAGCCAAACTAAGCTTCATAAGCAAAGGAGAAATAAAATTCTTTACGGACAAGCAAATGCTGAGATATTTTCTCACCACCAGGCCTGCCTTACAGGAGCTCCTGAAAGAAGCACCAAATATGGAAAGGAAAAACTGGTACCAGCCACTGAAAAACATACCAAATTGTAAATACCATCAACACTATGAAGAAACTGCATCAACTAATGGGCAAAATAACCAGCTAGCATCATAATGACAGGATCAAATTCACACATAACAATATTAACCTTAAATGTAAATGGTCTAAATGCCCAGTTAAAAGACACAGACTGGCAAATTGGATAAAGAGTCCAGATCTATCAGTGTGCTGTATTCAGGATACACATCTAACGTGCAAAGACACACATAGGCTCAAAATAAAGGGATGGAAGAATATTTACCAAACAAATGGAAAGCAATAATAATAATAATAATAATAATAATAATAATAATCAGGGATCACAATCCTAGTCTCTGATAAAACAGACTTTAAAACTAACAAAGATCAAAAAAGATGAAGTGTGTTACATAATGGCAAAGGGATCAATGCAACAAGAAGAGCTAACTATCCTAAATATATATGCACCCAATACAGGAGAACTCAGATTCATAAAGCAAGTTCTTAGAGATCTAAAAGGAAACTTAGACTCCCACACAATATTAGTGGGAGACTATAACATCCCACTGTCAATATTAGACAGATCAACAAGACAGAAAATTAGGAAGGATATTCAGAACTTGAAGTCAGCTCTGGACCAAGTGGACCTAATAGACATCTACAGAACTCTCCACCTGAAATCAACAGAATATACATTCTTCTCAGCACTGCATTGCACTTATTCTAAAACTGACCACATAATTGGAAGTAAAACACTCCTCAGCAAATGCAAAAGAATGGAAATCATAAAAAACAGTCTCTCAAACCACAATGCAATCAAATTAGAACTCAGGATTAAAAAAACTCACTCAAAACCACACAACTACATGGAAACTGAACAGCCTGCTCCTGAATGACTACTAGGTAAATAACAAAATTAAGGCAGAAATAAATAAGTTCTTTAAAACCAATGACACAATGTACCAGAATCTCTGGGACACAGCTAAAGTGGTGTTTAGGGAGAAATTTATAGCACTAAGTGCCCACAGGAGAAAGTGGGAAAGGTCTAAAATCAACACCCTAACATCACAATTAAAAGAACTAGAGAAGCTAGAGCAAACCAATTCAAAAGCTAGCAGAAGACAAGAAATAACTAATATCAGAGCAGAAGTGAAGGAGAGACATGAAGAATCCTTCAAGAAAATCAGTGAATCCAGGAGCTGGTTTTTTGAAAAGATTAACAAAATAGACTGCTAGCCAGACTAATAAAGAAGAAAAAATAGAAGAATCAAATAGACACAATAAAAAATGATAAAGGGCAGATCACCATTGATCCCACAGAAATACAAACTATCATCAGAGATTACTAGAAACACCTCTATGTAAATAAACTAGAAAATCTAGAAGAAATTGATATATTCCTGGACACATACACCCTCCCAAGACTAAACCAGGAAGAAGTCGAATCCCTGAATAGACCAATAACAAGTTCTGAAATTGAGGCAGTAATTAGTAGCCTACCAACCAAAAAAAAGCCCAGGACAAGACGGATTCACAGCCGAATTCCACCAGAGGTACAAAGAGGAGCTGGTACCATTCTTTCTGAAACTCCTCCAAACAATAGAAAAAAAGGGACTCTTCCCTAGTTCATTTTATGAGGCCAGCATCATCCTGATACCAAAACCTGGCAGAGACACAACAAAAAAAGAAAATTTCAGACCAATATCCCTGATGACCATCAGTGCGAAAATCCTCAATAAAATACTGGCAAACTGAATCCAGCAACACATCAAAAAGCTTATCCACCACGATCAAGTTGGCTTCCTCCCTGGAATGCAAGGCTGGTTCAACATATGCAAATCAATAAAGATAATCCATCACATAAACAGAACAAATGACAAACACCACATGATTATCCCAATAGATGCAGAAAAAGCCTTCAATAAAATTCAACACCTATTCATGCTAAAAACTCTCAATAAACTGGGTATTGATGGAATGTATCTCAAAATAATAAGAGCTATTTATGACAATCCCACAGCCAATATCATACTGAATGGGCAAAAGCTGGAAGCATTCCCTTTGAAAACCAGCACAAGACAAGGATTCCCTCTCTCACTACTTCTATTCAACATAGTATTGGAAGTTCTGACCAGGGCAATCAGGCAAGAGAAAGAAATAAAGAGTATTCAAATAGGAATAGGGGAAATCAAATTGTCTCTGTTTGCAGATGACATGATTTTATATTTAGAAAACCCCATTGTCTCAGCCCAAAATCTCCTTAAGCTGATAAGCAAATTCAGCAAAGTCTGGGGATACAAAATCAATGTGCAAAAATCACAAGCATTCCTATACACCAATAATAGGCAAACAGAGAGCCAAATCATGCGTAAACTCCCATTCACAAGTGCTGCAAAGAGAATAAAATACCTAGGAATACAACTTACAAGGGATGTGAAAGAGCTCTTCAAGAAGAACTACAAACCACTGCTCAGCGAAATCAGAGAGGACATAAACAAGTGGATAAACATTCCATGCTCATGGAGAGGAAGAATCAATATCATAAAAATGGCTATATTGCCCAAAGTAATTTATAGATTCAATGCTATCCACTTCAAGCTACTATTGACTTTCTTCACAGAATTAGAAAAAAACTACTTTAACTTTCATATGGAACCAGAAAAGAGCCCATATAGCCAAGATAATCCTAAGCAAAAAGAACAAATCTGGAGGCATCATGCTACCTGACTTCAAACTATACTACAAGACTACAGTAACCAAAACAGCATGGTACTGATACCAAAATAGATATATAGACCAATGGAACAGAACACAGGCCTCAGAAACAACACCACACATCTACAACTGTCTGATCTTTGACAAATTTGACAAAAACAAGCAATGGGGAAAGGATTCCCTATTTAATAAATGGTGTTGGGAAAACTGGCTAGCTATATGCAGAAAACTGAAACTGGACCCCTTCCTTATGCTTTATACAAAAATTAACTGAAGATGGATTAAAGACTTAAACGTAAGACCTAAAACCATAAAAACCCTAGAAGAAAACCTAGGCAATATTATTTAGGACATAGGCATGGGCAAAGACTTCATGACAAAAACACCAAAAGCAATGGCAACAAAAGCCAAAATTGACAAATGGGAACTAATTAAACTAAAGAGCTTCTGCCCACCAAAAGAAACTATCATCAGAATGGACAGGCAACCTACAGAACGGGAGAAAATTTTCATGATCTATTCATCTGACAAAGGGCTAATATCTGGAATCTACAAGGAACTTAAACAAATTTGCAAGAAAAAAACAAACAGTCCCATCAAAAAGTAGGCAAAGGATATGAACAGACATTTCTCAAAAGAAGACATTTATGAGGCCAACAAATATGTGAAAGTAAAAGCTCATCATCATTCGTCATTAGAGAAATGCAAATAAAACCACAATGAGATATCATCTCGCACCAGTTTGAATGGCGATCATTAAAAAGTCAGGAAACAACAGATGCTGGAGAGGATGTGGAGAAATGGAAATGCTTTTACACTGTTGATGGGAGTGTAAATTAGTTAAACCATTGTGGAAGACAGTGTGGCAATTACTAAAGGATCTAGAATCAGAAATACCATTTGACCCAGCACTCCCATTACTGGGTATATAACCAAAGGATGATAAATTATTCTACTATAAAGACACATGCACATGTATGTTTATTGCAGCACCATTCACAATAGCAAAGACTTGGAACCAACACAAATGCCCGTCAATGATAGACTGGATAAAGAAAATGTGGCACATATATACCATGGAATACTATGCAGCCATAAAAAAGGATGAATTCATGTCCTTTGCAGGGACATGGATGAAGCTGGAAACCATCATTCTCAGCAAACTAACACAGGAACAGAAAAGCAAGCACTGCATGTTCTCACTCATAAGTGGGAGTTGAACAATGAGAACACATGGACACAGGGAGGGAAACATCACACACTGGGGCCTGTCATTGGGTGGGGGCCTAGGGGAGGGATAGCATTAGGAGAAATACCTAATGTAGGTGACGGGTTCATGGTTGCAGCAAACCACTATAGCACGTGTATACATATGTAACAAACCTGCACGTACTGCACATGCATCTCAGAACTTAAAGTATAATAAAAAAAATTTTAAAACAAAAAAAAAGAAACTTTCCTCATCCACTGTCCTGCTAATGGGTACCAAGCACTGAGGCAAGCCATTCTTCCAAGTCAGGATCTCAATTCTTCATAGGGAAAATGGAAGGGCTTCCCATCCCTCCTAAAAGTTCTAAGGCTTTGTGACATGGTGACAGTGGATCAACCATTTTCCAGCCCAAGTATTTGCTGTTCTCTCATAGATGCAGCTTAGCTTCCATGGTGAAAATAAATCCTTTTTAAAAAATTATTTATCAGTTTGCCTATCATATTTACATGGTAATTACGACTACCGTCTTAAACATAAGTAATTTTTGTTGTAGGAAGTGATAAGTTTTGAGAATTTTTACCTTTGATGGATATAATTGTAAAAGCTTCCCCTTTTTGACATGTGGACATTTAAAGGTTCACAGCGGCTAGTAGAGGCAGTGAATGCCAGAGTGATGGAAAGCAGGGACCTTTGGCTACTCTTCATCAAAGAAGCAAAATGGCAAGTATGAGTTAAAAGGAGACAAATTGTAGTACTTGTTTAGCTTGGTTCCGAACCTAACTTCTCAGTGAAACAGATTTTATTTATTTTATTTTGATCTGTATAAGTTTGCGGGGTTTTTCCTTTAACTTTTATTTTAAGTTCAGGAGTATATGTGCAGGATGTGCAGGTTTGTTACGTAGGTAAACATGTGTCATGGTGGTTTGCTGCATAGATCAACTCATCAGCTAGGTGTTAAGCCCAGCACCCATTAGCTATTCTTCCTGATGTTCTTTCTCCTCCTACCCACCATGACAGGCCCCACTGTGTGTTGTTCTCCACAATGTGTCTATGTGTTCTCATTATTCAGCTCCCACTTATAAGTAAGAACATATGTTTTTCGGTTTCCTGTTCCTGCGTTAGTTTGCTGAGGATAACGGCTTCCAACTCCATCCATGTCCCTGCAAAGGACATGATCTTCTTCCCTTTTATGGCTGTATAGTATTCTATGGTGTATATGTACCACATTTTCTTTATCCAGTCTACCATCGATGGGCATTTAGGTTGATTCCATGTCTTTGCTATGGAAATAGTACTGCAATGAACATATACATGCATGTATTTTTATAATAGAATGATTTATACTCCTTTTGTTTTTGTGGGCTGTTTTTTTTTTTTTTTTTTTTTTGAGACAGAGTCTCACTCTGCCACCCAGGCTAGAGTTCAGTGGCACAATCTTGGCTCACTACAACCTCTGCCTTCAGGGTTCAAGCAATTCTCCATGCCTCCACCTCCTGAGTAGCTGGGATTACAGGTGTGCACCACCACTTGTAATTTTTTGTATTTTTTGTATTTTTTTTTTGTAGTTTTATTAGAGACAGGGTTTCGCTGTGTTGGCCAGCCTGGTCTCAAACTCCTGGCCTCAAGTGGTCCACCCACCTTGGTCTCCCCAAATGCTGGTATTACAGGCGTGAGCCACCACACCTCACCAAGTGATTTATATTCCTTTGGGTATGTACCTAGCAATGAGATTGCTGGGTCAAATGGTATTTCTGCCTCTAGGTCTCTGAGGAATCGCCACACTGTCTTCCACAATCATTGAACTAATTTACACTCCCACCAACAGTATAAAAGCATTTCTTTATCTCCACAACCTCATGAGCATCTGTTGTTTTTTGACTTTTTAATAATAGCCATTCTGACTGGCATCTCATCATGGTCTTGATTTGCATTTCTCTGATGATCAGTGGTGTTGAGGTTCTTTTTTTTCATATATTTGTTGGCCGCTTATATTCCTTGTTTCAAGAAGTGTCTGCTCATGTCCTCTGCCCAATTTTTAATGTTTTTTTTTTTTGCTTTTTTCTTGTAAATTTGACTGAAACTGATTTTAGAGACTTGTCTCAGTGACCTACGTTGAAAATATTCACCTTTTTTTCCCGAATGCCAAAGTATCATCTTGCAGCTCTTTAACAAGTATGCATTGGTCACATTCAATAACCTGTTCAGAATAGCAAGCACAATCTCTTTCTCTCCTTTTCTCTAATTAGTCAGGGGCCTTGCTTCAAAGGCATTAAGTCCCTTCTCCTCTGTTGCTCAAAAAGGTTGCCTAATGGTAAAGAATTTTAATCTTTTCTATTTAAGGAATTTGTGGTTTTAAGTTTAGCCTGCTGGCCTCTTTATTTATCATTGCTGAACTCAGCTCTTCTGATTGCTAGGAAGGTTTTCTAATGTTTCATTTCCCCATCTTTCTTAAAAATAACAACATTGCTCTATAAAGCAGCTAATGTTCTCACTGAGCAAATGGAAAGAATCCCACATCACTCCAAAACACATTCTTCCCAATAGAAAGTGTATAAATGGACTCTAAGCAATGTTGCACTTTTTCCCTATGAGTGATTTTCTTTAAATATATTCTACCACTTTCATATAGCCACCTGCCATTTTTGCTTTATTGCAGCCAGAAGGTTTAAAGGCTCTGCCTTTAAATATCTTGAAAGTTTTCCGTTGATAAGAAAAGGTAGTAAAAGCACTTTTAAGTGAACAGTAACACACACATCACAAATCAGGCATTTTGATACCATCTAGGTTCACACCATGTGGTATAAGGAACTCCAGTGATTGTGATTTAGCTGGGCTTCTAAGCTTTATAGAAGCTGTGTGGGGAAAATTCGGGGTTGTTGAAATTATTGAAGAGGTCATGGGTTGTGTTGTATGTGCATGTGTGTATGTAGAATGTCTGTGTGCACATGATGAGAAGCTTGGGTAATTTAAATACAAAATAGCCAAACATAGCTTAGTAGTAGTACTACAGAGAAGAAATAAACCAGAAAAAAATGCAAATATTTGTTAGTTATGTATTTCTCCTTTCATAAGGATTACATGTAAGCTATTTATTTACAGTATATTATTGAAATGAATTATTTCATCTTTCCAAGGGAGAGCACGTTATGGCCTCCATTCAATTTAAATTAGTCTAAAAGGCCACAGAAATAGACACCAATAAGAGCTGAATGTAGGCATAGAACAGCAGCAAAGATTACTGTCTGAAGATCGAACAGGAGAGAGCTGGGTTTGAAATCAAAGACCTGCCATTGATCAAGTCTTTATTGGTCTAGGACAAGGGTTTATAAACATGTTCTCATTTTTCCTTTGGGTCTGAATGCAGCATGAGCTAAAATAAAATGATGCCAGATTTGGAGGGTCGAAGAAAGGACCAACCGTATCTATCCCGAGAGTTAACTATGCACCTGGCCTCTCCTGCTCTGCTTTATTCTCCAAAAGGAAGAAACAAGAGTCCAGTAATTCTGACCATGTGAATTTGAAGAATTTAGGGTAAACTTTTATCTGGTTTTCATAACCCTCAACATTATAGATGTACTTTCAAGAAATACCTTAAAATAGGAAAAGAGGTTGAGAAATACATGTGGATTTAGTGGCATTGAATGCAAATGACTTCAAATGTAAGGCAAGTTGTTTATTTTTTCTTTCTCAGATTGTTTCTTTTCTCTTCACAGTAGTGTATGTGAGTAGGTATGAGTTTGAATGCATGTGGAGAAGAAAAGAAAAATTCATTCATATAATATATGCTAAAGGATGATGTGACAAGATGTGTATTATGCAGGGTGTTAAATGAGCACAGCTTGGGATGGCATGCTGTGGCTCCAAAATAATAAACATATTCCTGTTGATTTTGCTGAAAATGTTTTCTGGATGATTATTCAATCTCTGGCCATTATACCTTCCTATAATCAAGATTATGTTGATCAAGATGATGACGCAGAGAAGGTGGGTTATTAAAGAATACAATTTGGGGGGAAATTAAAATTCCTGAAACAGAACAGTCATATACCTATCAAGTGTTTTGCTCTTCCTTGTACTCAATGGACTAGTGGGAAAAATAATGTCATAAGTAGTCAAAGCACACTAATATGGAAAGATTGAGATATATTTTATCTATGGAGAAGGAACATTAATCTTTATCTAAAAAATGTTGCGTTGGCAAGTTTATATGTTTCCCTAGAATATTTAGAGGAAAGTAGAAGTATCAACCACATTCTTTAAACACAGCCATAGGCCAGCTCTGCAAATGAGCAACTCTAATGTGAAAACACTTTCAAAGTTCTAAATGAGTTGTCCCTGCGGTAATAAAGAGGGGACATTTTACAGTATGACAGTGTGTAAGACAGCATTGTCAGCTGTAGTTTATTTAAAGCACGAGGCCTGTAACAGGAAAATAATGACTTTAATAAAATTTACTATTGACTTTGTAGGCTAAAATCTTTCTGTCATCAGGAATACAGAAAAACAACCTGTCTGAAAACCCTTCAGTTAAATATATTCCTTTAATATTTCAAAGCAACTTGATTTTTTTATTATACATGCCACTTCAAAAGATACCGTAGTAGAGTGGAAATTAGTATTTTTAATAGAAAGTTGGTATTGCTTACATAAGGAAAAAATCGGTAATGACCTATGACACTGTCAACTGAAAGCAACATTTGAGGAGACTGCGAAAGCAGTTAATGCAATTCCTTGAAATACTGTATGAAGCTGTGTCACAAATGAATGATTTATAAATTACCCAATGTCCTTCTCATCTGAAGGATATCTTTTAATCATGCAGTATCGTTTCTCAGTAAGAACGCCAAAGAGCTTGCTGGATATACATGAAAATCTACAGCATGTTAACGAGGTTGGGGTCATTTCTGAAAATTGGGGAAGTGGGAAAACATATGGCCTGATTTTACTCTCCAGCCAATTTGATTAAATGCAGTATAGATTGCTTGTGGTGTGTAAGAGAGGTCATGCCCATTATATGAAAAGCTGAAGGAATTCCATTCCTTTAATGTTTTACATAGTTAAAATAAACTGTGGTAAAAAGTTTCCCAACAGTGTATGACAGCTCAATTTAGAGGTGAAGCCTTTTAATAAAACCTCATGAAATGAATACTTTGGTTTATGCACTCTGTTTGTGTTTCCCACTGGAGTGCTTAGCATTATGAAGCTGTGGTTACTTGCTTTACTACTGCAGAATAACATCATGAAAGGAGAGACCAAAGCTTTGTATCAGAAAATAGCCAGAGTGAGTAGAAATGCTGATGGAGAAACCTTAATTTTGAGCTGAACTGCTTTCCTATTTGCTTTTAACATGCTATTGTAAAGTATATCGGCTTGGATTACAGGATATTATTTAAACAAAGGAAAAAAATCTGCAGGGCTTTTTACACATTAACCTACAGCTTATTTAAAGGAAAATTATGAACCTCAGAATCATAAACTAGTAAATTTTCCTAAACTTTAATAAAATAAGGACTTGAAACTGCAGCATGCTTTTCCAAATTCAGTATATATGTTGGTATTATTTAGAAGAGAAGGAAGGCAATGGAAAAAAATAAAAAGCAGCTCATTCCTGTAGAAATTCTGGTACAACTGCTCCATGTGGAGACAATTCTACTTCAATACCATCTAAGATCTCAAAAGCAATTCCTTAGGGAGATAGTATGGTGCCTTAAACCAATTAAATACTCGATATATTAGCATTAGACATAACTGTTTTCAAGAGCAGTCTTCATGTTGATCCTCTTTCTTTCTATTTGTGCTCTCCGACTCACTCTGGAACCGTCCCTAACATGAGGAACAAAATCAAGAAAGTTGGTCCATTGTTGCACTGACCATTACAGCCCTTAACATTTTCTAGAATTTCTCAATATTTGGCCTGACTGCAACCACTGTAATATTTCAGTAGTTATTTTATTCTACCTATGTGAATGTCAGAGGAGTTTGAGCATGGTATGCAAATATATGTAAATTATATAGATGCTTATGCAATTATTAATCCCCAGACCTCCTGGGGAAATATGGTGACGTTACAATGTGCATCACTTGATTTTGACAATAAATATTGCAATTGGTAAGGTACCATATCCTGAGATATGTGACTTCTGCTCTCTGGTTATTTACTAACTTCCCAATTATACCAAGTAGGAGTTAGTATTCGTGAATTGGCTTTCTCTGATAGTCTTTCATGACTTGTGAATATAGTTGATAGCCAAACTAATAAGTGAGAAAAAAAAAAAAAACTATCTATCCCTTAGCGACTCTAGGAGATGACAGGTAGACTGAGTCTTAACTATGCTTACTCACCTAGGAGAGATGTAGGTGGCATATAAGGGAGATATCTTTGGTCATACATAGGATTGACGTTACTATTTAAGAAAGCTATTTGATGAAAATACAAATGTGGATGTGTTGATTTTCTAAGGTTTCAGGGCTTTGTTATCTGGGATGCAGAAAGGGTACATTGAAAGCTTCTAAGGACTGTCTCCATTCAGTCTCCTAAGATTTCTCGTTTCCCGGGTTTCCACATAGGGTTAAATAACATAATGATTCTGCTCCCTAGTTAATCTCTAATTTTATCTACTCCTCTATATTTAAGTATAATTTTAGACTGGACTACTTGAGGCAACAGAAGCAAAAGAGTCTCATGCGTTGATTATACAAATACAGCCCAGGAAAAACCTTTGCTTTGTTTATTCCTTCAACAAAGGTTTATTATGTTCTATTTCCCAGGCACAGGTTAGAATAGTGATCAAAAAACAAAACTCTTGCCCCAAAGGAAGTTGTGTTCTTTTGAAGGCAGACAGTAAACAGATAAATAAGGTAATGTTTGTTTCCAGGTGGTGAAATGAGCTAAGGGGGAGGAGGACAGAATCGGGCTGGGGGGTCTGGGGTAGGGGGAATAAAGAGCAGAGGCTGAAAAAAAAGAAAGTTGAAGACTGGCATACATCCTTGACATGGGCACTGTGATACTGGGGATGGAACAAAGCTGCAATCTGATCTAACAGGTACTTCACTTGGTCAGAAAGAGAGGCTAATAAATCCATCTGCAGGATTCTTTCAATAATCCCATTTTCTGTGTTAGCCTAATTTGCATTGCTATAAAGTACCTGGGGCTGGCTAATTTATAAAGAAAAGAGGTTTAGTTTGGCTCACAGTTCTGCAGACTGTACAAGAAGCATACTGCCAAAATCTGCTTCAGGTCAGGGCTTGAAAGCTTCCAATCATGGTGGAAGGCAAAGAGGGAGCAGGTATGTCATGTGGCAAGAGAGGGAGCAAGAAAAAAAGGGGGTCGAGGGTGCCAGCTGGGGGTGGGGGGTTGTCCGGACTCTTTTATACAACCAGATCTTGCATAAACTCATTACCTTGGAGAGGGCACCAAGCCATTCCTAAGGGATCCACTCCTGTGACTCAAACACCTCCCACTAGGCCCCACCTTTCACATTGGGGATCACATTTCAACACGAGATTTGGACAGCTCAAACATCTAAACTGTATCGCCCACTTATAGTAAAATCCCAAACCTGCCAAGAAATTTGTCTAGGTAAAAACAGTTTTATTAAATTAACATTAGGCGAAATTAGTTAATTTAGGTTACAGTGTTCCCCAGCTAATCACTAATCATATACAGTGGTGGGGTGATGAGGAGTATTGGCACATTAAAAAACGAGGTTTTTAAAATACGTACTATAGTTTTAGAGATTGTAGGTAAAAAGCCTTGACACAATACACAAATGTTATTGTGATAGATTTTGTTAAAAAGAATACATTACTAACCGTATTACCAATCCATAAGATTTAAATATCGAACAATCCGTAGCTCAACTACTTTGCTGTGAATTAAGGGCACACAGGGCCATGGGGAGAAAGAAGGCCTATGCTTAAGTCACAGCTCTCATTGGGAACATGTATTTTGTTTTCTTACTTCACCCTCCAAATGACTATTGTAAAAGAAGTCCTCAGATACTGTGAGATAGAGGGAAGACAACCATAGATTCATACATTATATGTGTGTTACATCTTTACTTATAATTTGGGTTAAGTTTGATTTAGGTGCTTGAGATGTTTAAAGTAGAAAAAAAATGTGTTTAATCTAACAAAAGTGTTTTTAAAATGCTACCTCAGATTTGAGGAAGCTGAGGCAACTTACCCAGTCTTGAAAAACATGCGACCAGTGGCTCTGAGCTCAATTGCTACTTGGTGTCGAGACAAAAGCAGAAAGAATTTAACTGTGGCACCTCTCAGCCTATGTTGAGTAAATCAAACGCTTTCATGACACTAAAAGGCAAAGGAAATACTCTGCTAGGTGGAATTTGTAACAATTTTAAAAAATTATTTCTGTATAGAAAAATAGCTTCTTTATGTCTCACACATTTTCTTATCACATTCATTATAAAGCACATTTTACCTTTGATTTTTGCGTCACCAACTTTGATAGATCCCATGGCTTTTAACACAGTTTAATATCTCCTCATATTTGTTTTTTAGTATATAAAGCAAAAGTCAAGAAATATACAGACCAAATCCAAAGCTGTTTTTTGTAAGACCAAGAACAATAATAGCTAACATGTATTGGTTAATTGCTAAGCAGGGTTTTTAAAAATTGCTGTAATCCCAGCACTTTGAGAGGGCGAGGTGGGAGGATCACTTGAGCCCAGAAGTTCAAGATCAGCCTGGGTAACATGGCGAAACCCCGTCTCTATAGAATATACAAAAAATTAGCCAGGCATGATGGTGTGTGCCTATAGTCCCAGCTACCCAGGAGGCTGTAGTGGAAGGATTACTTGAGTCTGAGAGGTCAAGGCTGCAGTGAGCCATGATTGTGCCACTATACTCTAGCCTGGGTGACAAAGTGAGACCGTGTCTTAGCGGAAAATAAAATTGCATTGCCTCTATAAAACACAACAAATGTAAAATACAACATTATTTTCACTTTCCAAATAAAGTGATGAAAGATTAGAAAGGTTAAACATGTGGCACTAGATCACAGAACTGGTAAAAATCATCAGTGAGGCTTGAATCAGCTCTCTCTGACTGCTTATCCAGTTAAAGTGCTATCAGGTTATATGAATTAATAAGTTACTATTAACATTTCTACCTTGAAATTTCTTATAGTCATTAGCAGTAAAGTTGGATTCTTATAAGTGAACAAATGCCCTATTAATTCATATAGAAATGGTATCATATTTGAGTCTAAATATAAATACCTCAACTAGAAAATATGGCTACATTATTTATCACAAAATTACAAGGCCGGCACAGTGGCTTATACATGTAATCCCAGCATTTTGGGAGTCAGAGGTGGGAGGATTGTTTGAGCCCAGCAATTTGAGACCAGCCTGGGCGACCTAGCAATACTCCATCTCTATAAAAAATTGATTAGCCAGGCATGGTGTCATGTGCTTGTAGTCCAGGCGACTCAGTACCCAGGAGGCTGAGGTTGGAGGATCAACTGAGCCCAGGAGGTCAAGGCTGCAGGGAGCCATGATGATGCTGCCAAATTCCAGCCTGGGCAACACAGTGAGACCCCATCTCAGAAAAAAAAATTACTAAAACACATAGATGGAGCCTAGTTTTCATGATAGAGGTGGTACCTCCCCCTAGAAGGTATTATGGAAATTTGCAAGCCTGGTTTTTCAACAAAGATTGGTGAAGGGGAACAGCATGTTACTTGCCTTGAATGAGTAGAATAGTCCCACACATGAAGTGTATTGTCTCACATTCTTCACAAATTTGGAAGAGTCCATGAAAAATCCATATAGGGAAAGTAAACTATTTATAATTATCTGAGTCTAGAATTTGTTGCCATTTCACATGCGCACAGTTTCCCCATAGGCTAAATTTTCCAGAAATGTATTACAATAAAAATCTATGAAAGATTTTACATATTTGTTTAGTTTAGAATTTTATCAAGAGTCATTCACCATATTTGGAAATCTTGTCACCTATGGCAATGATGCTCATAATATGAGTCACCAGTCACCATTTGTATTATTCTTTTTTGTAGCTGCCACATATAAAGATGAAAAAAAGAATATTTGAGGCTCTTTTAAGTAGTATTAAATGGAAAATCATTAAATATCAGAGATACATAAATTGCAGTATGGAATTAAAGGTTGTAAGCATGTTATAGCTTATATTCATATTTATATTCATTTATCACACAATGATAAGAAATGTTGTGAAGATTATATATTGGATTTATTTACTTATTTTTATGTGGTCAGAGGTTTTCCACTGTTATTCTGTTACTGTCCATGAAGGTCTACCACAACTATATCTTCTTATATTACTATTCCTTATTCTAGTCCATCACCTGTCAAAGACTAAGGTTCTTAAGATCTGTTTAAGCACTAGAGTCTTGACAAGAAGTGGAAATTTAATGTGGACGATAGGCTTTGTGTGATTTTTTAACATTATTCCATCCTGTGTTTTAATATAGGGAATTATTGTACAATACTCTACTTCTATATTTTGGAGGGATATTATCCTGTATAAAATAATTTTCATTCCTGCTTTCTCTTATTACATACTAATAAGTCTTATTTATTAGTACTTATCCTAATTTTTTAAGAAATTCTAGTGTTTATATGGATACTCTCCTCTTTTAGTTTTCTATACTTCCCACACAGAATGCCATTTAAAAATAATCTGTTCCAAAAAGGAGATATATTGGGTAGAATAGGGTTGAACGTTATATAAGATTGAACTGCTGGGCTTGGCTCAAAAGCAAAAGAAATAGGTAGTTAATATTTTAGAGTCTTCTTACTGTGAGAGAAAATCTTGCTGGATTTTTATTTTTTAACTATTGATGTAAAAATAAAACAATTATGTGGGAAAAAATGTACACAGTTGGAATTAAATAAATACCTTTGTAATGGTCACAGTTGATGGTCAGTTACATAGAAGATACTGCATTACTCTATTCACACGGCATTCTGCTTTGTATTATTTGAGCATTTACATTATAATTGTAAGGCTCTAATTACACATGTCAACAAAGACTCCACCACTATCATTTATAAGGTTTCAGGTCCAGCTTCCACATTTTCCTATAATAGATATGCATATGAAAACAACTTTCTTTAAAAAATCAGATACTTGAGATATAAAATATAGAAATATGCTGTATTTCTTAATTTTCAAATTTAGACTAGTTCTATTGAAACAGATGTAACTTTAAAAATGGAAGCATGTGAATATAGCAAGTAATTTTGCAACTGATAGCTGAGAATGCACTAATCTATTTAAATATATTTTCTTTTTATCAATCTATGGGATTCTGGAACCCGGTTATCACTTCAAACCGATAAAATGTGGATGGTACTATTCGAGCAGTCTGAAATCTTTGACCCTGCCTTGGCATGCAGTTGCAGGATAAAGTTAGCTTTCCTTCCCTTAAATGAACATGAGCAGACTTTTTCAATCCCTGCTCATTACGCCTAGAATCATTTTGAGCCAATTCATAGCCACTGCTTTGCTGTATATCACTGTAAATCATGGGTATAAAAAATAGTTTGGAGGGAAAAAAATTTAAACGGTAGCAAAATGTCAGTTTCAAGGGGTGTTAAAAGGAAATTTAATCAACTTTCAACACATTGAACACCACCTTGGCATTAGACATCATAGGTTTCCTTCTTACCTCCCAACTTCTGAGGCTTATTATTAAATACTTTCGCAGCAGCAAGATCACAAAAACATTAGACTGCTTGCTTACAGGTATATCCGACTTAGTAAACTTAAAGGGATGCTACCAGGGCTGGAAAAGCTGAAATTAGACCGATGGGCTTTACTGTATTCTGAAGCTGGGGCGTGCACAGTGCGCTATCTGATTCACTTTGCCTGCCAGCTTTGTTCTCTTGAGCCAGCAGGAGGGATTGACACTTAGGAGAATCTTTCTCTTTTAACCCGTGTGCTACTCCTGACAGCTAAGCTGGGTGAACAGAGCCTGGCAGACAGCTAGAACTCTGGGTTTGTGGTTTATGGGTAGCTGTTTAGAAATTGGCATTTTAACAATGCACTCCCTGACAATGTAATTAGGATAATTTTTTAAATTATACATAGGGCTGGCTACAGAATTTGTGGAAGCCAGTACAAAATGAAAATCCAGAGCCCCTACTAATAGCAAAGCATAAGCAAGTGAAAGACTTTCTAAACACCCAATCGTTTGTGCAGACTGTACACCCATGAAACTGGCTCTGGTTATACAATTGCTCTTTGATCAGTAAACACTTAATATATTTGCAGCAGAAAACGTATCAGTGTGGTTGTATTAATAGCTTAACAAATGAATATATGTAAAACATACAAAAATAACTTACTTTTAATGAACTCTTCCTTATGTGCAAACCTGGCCTAGGGCAAGAAATAAAGGGTCTAGGAAAATATAAACTTTTAAAAATAAATGTAAAATACCAGCTCATAAATGGGACAGTTTCAGTTTTACTAACAAATTTACATGTAAGTCTACCAACACGCTATTTCTGAATGGAAGGTTAATTCCTTTAGAATTAATGTTCTAAAATTTTAGAATGAATAATTTGTAAAAACCTTATAAAATTTTGATCTGAAAGTTTAAAAAAGAAAGTCAATCTTTTTCCAATTTGTAGGAGTTTTTAATGCTTTCCTAACCAAAGAAATCTAAGAACTAACAGATTTTTTAACAATATGGCAAATGGCAAATTTTATTTGTGTTCAAGGACCAAAACACTGGCTTTTGAGCATATTTGTAAATGATATTTAGTCTTTTAATGTTTGATAAGCTACACTTACCAAAAACAAACCACTCATTTATTTATTAATTCAGCATTCACTGATTATTTGTTATATGAAACACTGTGAACTTTTCTATAATCTTCATTTTTTGTAAAAGTATTATCTCTTCAATAATCAAAAATAATATTCCTCAGAAACTTCTTAAAGTCTCACGATGTGCAAGTTTTAAGGTCTCTGGGGAAAGCTGACATCAATAGAAAATATACATTTCTAATCAGCTTCTAATTATGATAATCATATATCCCATTTCAATTTAAATATACTTACTATTTTATGACTTTATAAGGAGTCGATATGGACTAAAATGTGGAAATTCTGATAGGAAGGAACTAAGCTCACTTTTAACATTATGGTAAAAAAATGTGTATTCTCTTCACTGAATTAAAGAAAACTTGACCACCAACTATTCATAGATATGAGGATAAAAAGCACAGAACCTGGTTAAATAAGAGCACTTTTTTTTTTTTTTTTTTTTTTCGAGACAGAGTCTTGCTCTATTGCCAGGCTGGAGTGCAGTGCCATGATCTCGGCTCACTGCAACCTCTGCCTCCCAGGTTGAAATGATTCTCCTGCCTTAGCCTCCCAAGTAGCTGGGATTACAGGTGTGCGACACCACGCCCAGCTAATTTTTGTAATTTAGTAGAGATGAGGTTTCACCATGTAGGCCAGGATGATCTCGATCTCTTGACCTTGTGATTTTCCCACCTTGGCCTCCCAAAGTGCAGGGATTACAGGCGTGAGCCACTGCACTGGGCTGAGAGCACATTTTTTATTGCAGAATAGACAAAGTCTGGTTGAGAAATTGATGGAGTTTAATGTGGGAAGTGCCCAGTAAAGATACTGATAGGATTCTGTCAAGACACAGATGAGGGACATTTAACTGATCCTTAGGCATTAGAAAAGAGATTACGGAGAATCCAATACTGACCTGAGTCTAGACCTAAGCTTTGAAGGATGAGTAGCCATTAGTCTAGCAGAAAACATGGAAAATGTATCCAGAGAGAGAGCAGAAGTTGTAAAGATGCAGATGTATACAAGGGCCTGCCACCAACCAGGGACTCCAGTGACAGGAGGCCTGTGAGGGTGTGGCAAAAGTTAAGACTCCAGAAATGGACAGAATGCAAAACATGAAGGGATTTTAGTCCCACTAAGCAGCTTGAACTTTATTTTAAAGTCTTGAGGGAGTCACTAATGGATTTATTTATTTCCTCATCATTATAAAACCAATATATGTTTATTTTTGAAAATTTGGAAATACAGCAAAGCAAATGCCAGTTCTAAATTTTAAATAAGGAATTGACCTATCAATATTTGCATTTTAGAATGAGTATACTCATTTAAAATTATGGGCATAGAGTGGAGTAAAACTGGAGTTAGAGAAACTAATTTTATGAAGTTTTTAGGATACACTCTAAGCTTCTATAAAAAGACCCTAAAATATAATGTTTTACAGGAAATTAGAAGAGTATTTCCCTTTTACCTAACAATTTATGAGCAAAGTAGTTGTGTAGGGCAGGAGACAACCATACTCCACAAGACTTCCAAAGTCTTCCAGGATCTAAGTGGCTGTTGATGCATTTTTTACTATTTCTGAGCAATAGGGGGAAACAGAGGGCCTAGAGAAAGTAGATTTCTCCCTTAAGAGATGACGTAGAATTTATGCACATTTCTGCTCACAGAGTATTGGATTGAATATAGGCTTATGGCCAGCCACACTCTGCAAGACAGCCTAGGACATATAGTCACCCATTGATTAGCTGTGAAACCAGGAGGAAAAAATGAGTAGTGGGAGAAAATTTAGAAGTCTACAGAAGGAAGGGCAATACAGTAGTAAACTGTGAGATAAATGGCAGGTGGCTGAACTGAGGTAGTGGCACTTAGAAGGTAGAAGAAGACACAGTCTTAGTAAGAAGAAAGGGAAGAAGCTTTTGGATTGTGTGGGACTATTCATGAAGGTACGGAGCAAGGAATGGAGCCTAATTGTCAGGGGAAGATAATGCAACTATACATAGGCTAGTACGAAATGAAGAATTAAATAAAGATACCAAATAGATATAGAAATCTGGAGTCCCAGAGAGAAGCCAAGTCTGGAGATATAGACAGGGGATACCACATCAGGATGTGGATAGTAATGAAGCCGGGGATCTCAAAGAGGTGTCCTGGTGAGTGAGAGAGCAGAAACTAAGACCTGACCCTGGGAAACACCAATGAAAGAAGGGTGTCAGAAAGCCCTACAGAAGATATTGAGAAGTAATGGCCAGGTACGGAGGTAAGCACATCTTCCAGGTAAAGTACCTTCACCAGAGAGGTAGATAAAGCACAAATCCATCTGAAGCCACCAGTGTTAAGCTGGAGAATCAGTTTAATAGTAAAGAGTACAGGCTCTGGAGTCAGACAGCCCTGGGTTTGAACCTCCGAGCCATCCCTTTAGTACTGTTATCTTGGCTATATTCTTATTTCATACATTAGCTCAACATAAATTTATTAAACTTTATTTTTTTTAAGACAGGGTCTTGTTATATCACCCAGGCTGGTCTCAAACTCCTGGGCTCAAGCAATCCTCCTGCTCAACCTCTTAGTAGGTGTGACTTCAGGTGTGCTACCACACCTGGCTAATTAATTAACTTTGTTTCCTTTTAAAAATGGGGCCAGAGGCTGGGGAGTAGAAGGATTCTTGCTACGTTGCCCAGACCGATCTTGAACTCCTGGCCTCGAGCAATCCTTCTGCCTCAGCCTCAAATGTATTGAATTCTTAATAAGTACTGAGAATTACACAAGTCTCTAGGAATACAGTGATTTTTCCTAAAAGAGTGTGGTTTCTACCCTTTTGGAATTTACAGATTAATGGTAAGACAAAGGTTAAACAGATAACCATAAAAATGATATAAATTAATATGTAAATGTGATATAGGCTAAGAGAAAACCACAAGATATTATGAGAAATTATAAACATTATCACCTGTATAATTGAAATAATAATAGAGCTTACCTCATAAAATGTTATAAGGATTTGTTGAGATTATGCATACAAAGTGTTTAACATAATGGCTAACTCATATTAGCAGCTCAATAACTTGTTTGATCTTATTGCTATTAGCATGTTTCAAGGCAGAGATTAATAGTATCAAATCTAAAGAAGCTGAGATAAAGTTATTTATTATGTTACTAAAGATCCTTTGCTGAAATTATATCAATGAGGTAGAGAAAGTGTAAAGAAGATGACTGGTGTATAAATTAGTTCATATGTGAAATCTTTTCTGCACATTGTTTCTGTTTTACAGGAAGGAAAGAGTTATAACAATAACTAATATTTATTGAGCCATTAGTCTGTGGCAAGCTTTACATGCATTAACTTATTTGAGGTTTGTCACTATCCTATGACTTCAGTGCCTTTATTATCCTTATCTTACAGTTGAAGAAACTAAAACTTAAAAATCTTAGGTAACTTGTCCAATGTCAAATAGCTTGTATTGTCAGCAATAATTTTAATCCAAAATCCTTTCTAAGTCCAAAGTCCTTCCTGTAAGCATTGTAACATTTTGGGTTAGACTCTCAGCTATATTAGACTCCTTGTAAAACCAGTAACACTGGTCAATATCACTTCTCAATGATAATATTGGTTTACACAAGGGGATAATATTGGGAAAATGAAGACATGTGTGTTTAATATTTATTTCATTCCATGCTATGGGGTAGCTGCTGATTATGCCTGATACTGGGGTAGGAGCTGGAAATGCAAGAATTAATGGGGCATATATCATTTTCCTCAAGGAATTCCCAGTCCAGGTAGACATTATAAATAGAAGAAATTTAAAAGAAAGACCTAAGAATCTTATTTTTTAAAGTAGTCACAAGATTTTTAAAAAATGATTTAACTTTTTCTGATAAGAAAGCAAATAGAAAATCTTTAATAGAAAGACAAATAACCAACTGAAGAAAAGAAAATGTAACCTAAAAAATCAATAAGTAAAACAATGGTGACAATAATAAACTTTACTCACTTAACAAATATATCTTTTAAGTATCTGTCATACATTAGATATCTTGTTATTCTAGTCTCCATGAGCTCACAGTCTGCTGTTGAGTTTACAATAACAATCGTATAATGACAGAAATTTTAAGTTCACAGAAGCTTAATTTCAAAAATCAGAGCCAAATTATTGATTCGTGTCACATGATTTTTAAAATTTTCTTTGCTGTAACTTGATCAAAAAGTTATGTGTTCAATTTGTAGACAGACCCCTCCACACATACACACACACAAAACAGATTCCTTTGATAGTTTTCATAGTTATAGGTAAGTGAGCGTGTTACTAGTGTCTCTAATCGTTTTTTTCTTTTTTTTAAGTGACACTGTTTACAGATTGTTTGTAATATATCTCTTACTCCTTCTTGGTATACAACCCCATCCCTCTTCCCTCTTGACAGTATCCTAATCTTCTATAACAAATCCACCATAAAAGCAAGAATGCAGTAAGATAACAGAAAGTAATGCCAGATAAAGGCGCAAAAAAAAAAATAAGATAAAGAAGACAGTTATAGCAAAATCCTTAAGCTGTGTTTTTTAGTTTTAATAATTTTGTAAGAATATATAAAATCAAAATTCTTTTTGTGTGATGACAGTATTTTTTTTCAAAGTCAAAGAAAATATAAATCCTTATTAAGCTGAGTTAGACTGAACTCTACTATGTAAGTATTCCTAAGACATTCGCTTGACTCCTAGTACCAATCTACATATTCCAGGAAATGCAAAATTAATGTGTAATGTGTCATCTGCCCTTATAGAGCATATATTCTGACTGAAAAGGAAAAATAAAACCAATATGGAACAAATAGGGAGTAGCACAAGTTTAGATATGATATGATTATCAAGATATGAAGTTCAGATAATAATTACTATGTCATGTTCAATGAAGGATGAAGCTGGCATCGGCTAGACTAGTTGGGAAGATGTGAGGAAAAAATACAGAATGAGTTGACTTTTAGTTAGGAAATAAGAGGAAGGACATTCCAAGAAAATGTTGAGAGGCATCAATGAAATTAGTGTAAATAGTGGGCAGCCTTGACATGAGAGGAGAATTTCTGTTGAGGAGTTTGGAGGAATAACATTTGATAGGTAAGGTGTGTGCCAGTTATGGACATCCTTCAATAACACAATGAATCTGTCAGACTGGGTATGATAAACTAGTGCCCAGTTTATGATAGCTATCTAGGAGTTGTTTGAAGCTCTCATTGAATTTCAGAGCAACAATGAATGATACCCTTTCTCTAACAGAAATTAAAATAATAATTGTGCAATAAAAGGACTTGTGAAAAGGTGATTGTTTGCTAGTTTTCCACTCTGCACGTGTCCTGTGTAGCTTAGGTTTGAATATTATACTTCTGTTATATTTTGTAATCTTTGACTTTTAAAAACTGATAATGGGAAGGGACCACATGGAGCACTGTATGAAGATTTCCTTTCCTGTTTCTATAAACTATGTAAGACTCTTCTCTCAGTTAGTAATACCTAATATTCAGTTGATCATTTTGTATAAAATAGATCCTAAATTTGAAGTGAATTAAAACTTTGTGAATGTGATATGTATTTTCATAAGAAGGAGAAAAAGCAAGGAAACACAATATTTTATGAAATCATAGTGTTAATACTTCTGTCAGAACAGAGACCTTAGAAAGCTCATTCCTTACTTTCCATAAGATATTCTCATCCTTCTACCTTGCCCTGGCAAGTGGTCATGAACTTAGGTTTAAACCCTTTAAAATTGGATTTATTATATATTGAAGGTATTTTTATTGATAATGAAACACTTCCACCCTTACCCCACTTCTAAAAAGCCTTTCTGCAGTTTCTAACTCTTGATCCTAGTTAAGGGTTGTGGGATGGTGTAGGAGCTTTGGATAAAAGATGAGTAGAAAGTATGGATAAGGTTAATTCCCCCTCACTATGATAATCCTGCAGACCATAAATTTTCTCTTCTGTAGTTTAAACACCTACAGGTTTTGTTTTGCTGTTGTTGTGTTATTGCTGTTATTTTACCATTCTTCCTATGAACAAATATAGGCCAAACCTTTATGACCTCTATAACCTCTATTATATGAATAGGAAGAATTTTATAAATATTTGCAGTTGCTTTACTCCTAAACAAAATTCAAGAATTTTAACGCAGAATCCATGGTCTCGCAATTTTATCTCAAAGTAACTTAATGGCCTTTCCCCCTATTATTTCCTTCACGCCATTCAAGCTGCAGATAAACAGTTTACAATTCTAGTGATATCTCTGTTTTAAAGTTTTGTCCTCCTTCTTGGAATACAGCCCCACTTTTCTTCCCTCTTGACTGTATCCTGGTCTATCTGTCTTTCTGGGAGGTAGCTCCCAGCCCTTATCTCTTTTGCTAAAAGAAATCTCTCTCACTATTCTAATTTTTTAAAGCATTTCTCCATGTTCTACCTTATCCTATGATTATTTATACGCATAACCTACTTCCTTGAAGAGAAATAAATGGAAACTCAGTCATAAATCAGTGAATAAATGAGCAAATACATATGATTTATTTCAAATTCACTTACCGACTTGGTCATACTCTCCCAGAAACAATCAAGTTTGTTAATTGTCCCCTTTAAATTATTGTACCAAGAGCCTAAAACAAAAATCTGAAAAACAAAGAGTAGAGAATGTTCTGTATGTTATAAATCTTCTAATTTAACCTAACATGTGTATATAAACATACAAACATGTACGTGTACACACATATGTACGTTCTCATACAGGGAAATAGAAAGGGGGGAATGCTACATTAAAAATTTATATTGTTTTTCAATCAACTGAGGCTGTCCTTTCTTTTTCATATATTCTGCTTTAACCCTTATTTTCTATATTCTGTACTTGGCCTGGCACAATGCCCTGAGTATAATAACTAAATAAATATTTGCCAAATTAAATAGTGCTTGCTGCTGAATGTGTTGACCTAACTACAGAAGTTGGTATTTATTTCCAGCAATTTTATCCCCAATTTCACCTTTATTCTTATTTTTTGAAATATTTTTGGGATCCTGGAACTTTGAGCTGATATGTTGGCTTTTCCTCTTAACTTCAAGATATCTCAAAATTTGATTTAGCATGCCATCTATGTCCTCAAACAAGTCATTCGTTAAAAAAAATGCTGATATACACTGAGATATTCTGTTAGAGATATCCATCTGGAGTGATAATGTATTCATAACCAAAAATCTTGAAATACAATCAGTCCACCATCAAACTATTTGATTAACTTACTCATATATTCAGTTCTCATTCACAATTTGGTTGCTGCTGAGAAGTTCACTTTAGCTGGGGCAACCGTTTCCCATTTTGGTAGGGAGCTGAGAGGCCAATTGACTAGCTCTCACCCATGAAATGAGTTTGGATGTGGTGTGTGTGACTTCCAGGCAATGGGCCTTAAAAGCAAGTGTCTTTTCCCCCGACACTTTTCCCTTCAGCTGGCTTGATGCAAGCCAACACAGTGAACTTAAAAGTCGTTTGTTGACGATAGACGAGCCATAAGATGGAAGAAATCTGGCTTTCTAAACAATTACTTAAGAGAGCTGAGCACTCATAAACACTAACTCTTTTGAATCAAGAAACAAATGTCTATCATGTTTGAACCAGTGTATGTCATTTTTGTTTGTTACAGCAATTAGCATTATTCTGCTAATATGGCTGTCCATGTAATTGCTTTTCCTTATACTTCCTCCTTGCTGTCAGAACCCATCTTCCTCTATAGAGGATAAAAATTCTAGATCCTTATAGTCCCAGTACTACTTTGGAGGGAAGAGAGCATGAGGATACGACCCATTTCTACTGGACCTAAAACAGAGTTTGCTTGTATAGTTTCTGGGAGACAAACTTCTGATAAAAAGGAAATGCTCCTTAAAGAGGCTCCAGGGCTTTTTGTGTGGAATTCCCTGTTGCTGCAACAACGATCTTACTTCCCATGAGGGAAAATCCAAAGAGAAAGGCTGTAAAATGGCAGAATAAAAGGTTCAAAGTGGCCTGGGTCCTTGAAGGTATCTTTAAACCAAGGAAACTACTCTGTTTGAAGCTTTGCCCTTATCTCTCCGGCTAGTAATACCATCATAAAATGGTAAGTTAGTCTAACATGACTTACTCTTATTGAATATGTTATGCTTCCTTGTAATTCTCACTTTCTTGTTCTAATGCCCTTTTAATAATTTTTGCAAAGTTAATTCTAAAATTTTTTCAAAATCAATGTAAAACGCACTGGTGTAAAGCTTGTTAAATTCACCCTCTGTAAAAACGGGATACATTTGATTGTTTTCCTAGACTGTGTGCGTCAGACCTGAAATTTATTCATTCAACTTTAGTTTAATTTGTTTCTTCAACAAACCTTCCATAATGACCACAGGGACTGGAAAGACATTTGAGCTTGGTAGATGTCTTTAATAAGTTATTTAATAACAACTTCGGGAAATTTAAAATCTAGTAGATGAAATAGGAGATAAATATAATTTAAGGAAGAAAAAGCTAAATCATTAGGTTAAGAAGAAATAATGCGTTGGGAACACAGGAGCAGTAACTAAGTCTGAATTTTTAAGTATAAATTATAAGTATGGCCACAAAGAATGCAGTCCTATTCCAAGCCACTTAGAATCTAGAAGATGTTATAAGTGTCATTTAATATTGGATCACTTTGAGTCAATTTCAAGTCCACTTTGTATAGGCACTGAGAATTCTCCTTTTAATTCATACCTACTTTCTTTGTCTGCTTTCCCTTCCTTGCCCTTTCCCTTCCCCATACAGGATTCATTTTGTTGCTACACCTTTTCTCTGCTAGAAATTCTTTTGCCTTGGCTATTCACCTTTTTGTAGTAGTCCAGCTATAAGATATACAAATGTCTCTCATATTTAATACTCTTAGCCTCTCACAGTACAACACTCCCCACAGGACTGAAGGTGTACAAGGGGAAAAGGAAACAACTCATGAACTCAGTTCTATTGTAATTCATTTTTATATAATGCTTTTTGATGGAGGTGGTAGGGGTTCTGTTAAATATTTTGAGGCATGTGAGTTCATACAGAAGTTATTTGAGAAAAAAGACTCTAAAACAGTGTTTCTGATTATCGCATTTATTTTCTCATGTAACTCAAAATTCTGCACTGATTATTGTATAAGTGAATATTGTAGTGAGAAACAGCTCTTTCTATAGAATGTTGCACCACCAATCAGCAGCCATTGTCTGCAATTATGTTCAACAATGTGCAATGGGAAAAGTCACGATGTTTTATTTGAGAAAAATTCAATACTTGGGAAAAATGTTAATACCTTATAGGCTGGTATATTCTCAAAATATGATATTCATACAATGAATATTATAATCGGTTTAATAAATCTCATTCAAATTAACTGCTTAAGTTTAAATTTAATTTAATTAATATGCAGAATGGAAAATAATTCTCAAAAATATGACATATTTGCTAGATATTTCAGAGGATATATACACTATATATACAATATAAAATATAACATAAATACATACAAAAATATAAATATAACATATTTGCTAGATTTTTCAGAGGATATAAAGATTGATAAGACTTTTTTTTAACTTCAAGAAACTTAAAATTTAGTAGATGAATTAGGAGGTACATAAATAAATATAATTTAGAAAGAAAGAGCTAAATCGTTGGGTCGAGAAGAAATAACATGTTGTGAACACAGGAGCAGATAGATACATTCTTAGTATGAAGACCAAAAAGGTTAGAGAAGGCTTCATTGCCAAAGTAAACTTTGAAGTAATCCAGTAAATAATGATTTTATAGATTAGTGTGATAACAGTGGGGTGTTATTATAAGAGAGGAAAATGTGTAAAGACAACTTTGAGATAGGAGAGTAAAGGGCAAGTTTGGGAAATGGTGAACTCTTCTCATAGGTGGTGTGGAGAGAAATATAGGCTGAGATAAGATTACAGAGAAACATGAATGTCATGCCAAGGAGGAGTAATTTTTTTTCCTTTTATTATCAGTAATCCATTAAAGTTTTTTTTTAATGTTTTAATTTAAAAAAATTGTAGGTACACAGTAGGTGTATATATTTACCCAGTACATGAGATGTTTTGATACAGGCATGCAATGTGAAATTAGTGCACCATAGACAATGGGGTATCCATCCCCTCAAGCATTGATCCTTTGAGTTACAAATAATCCGATTACATTCTTTAAGTTATTTTAAAATATTTAATTAAGTTATCACTGACTATAGTCACCTTATTGTGCTATCAAATAGTGGGTCTTATTAATTGTTTCTATTTTTTTAGTACTCATTAACCATCCCTACCTCCTCCCCAACCCCCAACTACCCTTTCCAGCCTCTGGTAACCATCCTTCTACTCTCTATGTCCGTAAGTTCAATTGATTTGAGTTTTTAGATCCGCAAATAAGTAAGAATATGTGATGTTTGTTTTTCCATGCCTGGCTTATTTCACTTAACATAATAATCTTCAGTTCCATTCATGTTGTTGCAAATGACTGGATCTCATTATTTTTTATGGCTGAATAGTATTCCATTGTGTATATGTACCACATTTTCTTTATCCAGTCATCTATTAATGGACACTTCGGTTGCTTCCAAATCTTAGCTATTATAAACAGTGCCGCAATAAACATGACAGTGCAGGTTATCTCTTCAATATACTGATTTCCTTTCTTTTGGCTATACACCCACCAATGTGATTGCTGGCTCATATGGTAGCTCAATTTTTAGTTTTTGAAGAGCCTCCAAACTGTTCTCCATAGTAGTTGTACTAACTTACATTCCCACCAACAGTGTACCAGGATTCCCTTTTTTCCTCATCCTCACCAGCGTTTGCTATTTCCTGTTTTTCTGATATAAGCCGTTGTAACTGGAGTGAGATGATATCTCCTGGTAGTTTGGATTAGCATTTCTCTCATGATCAGTGATGCTGAGTACCCTTTCATATGCTTGGTTTTCATTTGCATGTCTTCCCATTAAATTTGTTGAGCTAGGAAGTTCCTGACTCTTTTAAGAAAACCTCTCTAGGAGTTGTGTAGAGGAGAAGCACAATGACGCTAGTATGCTACCATCACAGATGGTGAAAGGGTTAATAAAAACTAAAACCAGCAGTGGAAATAGAGACACTCATAGACATCTGTATAGGAAAATACTTATCAGTTGAGATGGAATATTTCACCTTGTAACTTCATGTTAACTATAGTGTTGTGTGTACATAGAAATAGAATTCTGAATGTAAATTTTGATAACTTCATCTCTACAAATGAGATCACATTGTCTGGGAACCAAGCCACTGTGAGAACTGTTGATTATTTTGAGAATTCCTTTTTTTTTCATCAGATATCCTCCTATAAAAGTAATTACTACAACTTTTTTCACTGCCTTAATTTCCCATTTGTATATTTAAAGTCAAATCCCAAGAAACACAGGAAGTTTTTTTAATACTCAGAAATGTAATAAAGAAATATATCTGTACATCAAAACATTATATAACTTTACCAAAGTATTATTTTATCTCATCAAATATTTTAATATAAACATAAAACACTTTTAACTTCAAGCAACCATACTTGCTAAGTTGGGTCTTTGTCAAACAATAGGCTCTTAATGAGTATATGGTTTAAAATGAAGCTTTCAACCCTTTGACCACGAAAATGAATCCCAAGGAATTAAGAGCCAAATTCTTTTTTCTCTATATTCAAAATGTAGCATTTCTCTTATAGCCTGTTTTTAAAATTATTATTTTTAAAGAGATGTACAAATCAAAGTGGTGGTTACAATTTACAGTATTGCCATTACCAGGATTTCACTCAGAAGATAGCCAGAATCTGACATTTTGATCCCAGATTCAATGGTGAAGTATTGTTATAGATCAGAAACTAATTGGCCTGCTAGAACTAGAGGACTAGCAGTTAACATTTCATTAATAGTGTCATTGGGCCTCTAAGGATCTCTAAGTCGGTTATAGTTAGAAAGTTTTTCAAATGAAAAGTTGTAAATGGACATTTTGGAAATTCATAGGAATTCTCATTTATACCGCCTGTAAATAATTTTTTAGTTCTACCTATTTGAAACACCAGTTTTATTTGGCCTACAAATTATATTCTAATTTCACATTTTTCCTGCCTGAAATCTGTTCAAATTCTCTTTCTGCCACTTAATGTTTGAGTGATCTTCTGTAAACATTTTAATTTATCTAAGCCTCAGTTTACCTAACTGTAAAATGAGAATCCGGATGCCTATCTTTCTGGATAATTGAATGCATGTAATGAGGTGATGTAAGTAAAGTATGGGCATTCAGGTAAAAGTAGTGACTGTTCTTATGACATTTCTCAGCTCTCTTTATCGTACTTTAAGTCACATTCTTTTTTTTTTGAGACGGAGTCTTACTCTGTCGTCCAGGCTAGAGTGCAGTGGCATGATCTCGGCTCAGTGCAAGCTCTGCCTCCCGAGTTGACGCCATTCTCCTGCCTCAGCCTCCCCAGCAGCTGGGACTACAGGCACCTGCCACCACGCCCAGCTTATTTTTTGTATTTTCAGTAGAGATGGGGTTTCACCGTGTTAGCCAGGATAGTCTCGATCTCCTGACCCTGTGATCTGCCCACCTCGGCCTCCCAGAGTGCTGGGATTACAGGTGTGAGCCACCGTGCCTGGCCTAAGTCACATTCTTAAAGGAGCTTCTTCTTCACTGCTTATTTATAAGTGACTTTTGGCTCATTGTTTTAAATCTATGCTGGCATGAAATGCTAATTTTTTAGGGAGTAAACTAAGGTGAGATAGTCTAAAATAAAATTAAATCCTCTTTTCTTATTTTTCTAATTCCTAAGAAAATGTAAAACTTTTTTCCTAAATTTTATATTTTTCTTTTATTTTTTTTTTCCTGTAAATTTGATGCTGGTAATGTTGGCCAGAGGCGTAAGTGCATAATATAATAAAGAAACAACTAGAGAATTAATAGAGAGAGAAAAACTGAGAAATGGCATGTTTTTAAAGTATTTTTATTAGTTTTTCAATGCAGAAATGTATATAAATATATTATTTACTTCTATTTACATCATTCCTAAGGTACCTGATAAAATTATATAAAGGTATCTATTCATTGTCCTCCCTAGAGAGCACCATGGCTTTTTGACACTTTGATTATCTTTGAAAATATTTCATGATTTAGATTTTTCACAAACTCAAAAATATCTCTCCAATTGGGTCTGTCCAATTGGTACATATTAACAAGGTTTCTGACAAGAGTTAGGTGACATTTTTTTTAATGTGTGTGGTTTTTTTACCTTAGCGATTCCTCTTTTAAGAAGGTGATATTGAAATAGTAAAACAAGAAATAAAAATAATTAGCTCAATTAAATTTTACCAAGCAAAAAAATAATTTATTAAACTGTTTTCATAATGTGTTGTACTATATTCTTATAATGAAACAATTAGTGATATATATAAGTCCTTCATTGGTGAAGATACATTTATAGAGCAGGAAGATCTTATCCTTTAGTCAGTGGCCTAATAAGGATGAACAATTGGCCAAAATAATTTTCAAAAGCCCTTTATAAAACAGGTAACAAGACCCAATCTTCCAAAGGTTATATTGCCCTGCTGCCTTAAACAATTGGTCCCTGTGTGAGACTGTAAGCATTTAATGAGGTATACATTGTAAGATGTAGAAGTCATCCTTTTATCCCATGGATACATAGCCAAAGACATGAGAACTATGAATTCTGGAACCACATGAGACCAGGTCATCACAGAATAAAAATTCTATCCAAAAAAAAAAAAAAAACTTTCTTCAAATAGTCCTTTAAACTGCTTTCTGTTGAACTGTAAAGAATCACTTGACAAATTACAAACATGTAGTCATGACTAATTTCTATCAATTTAAAATAAAACCATTGTTTTCCATGCATAAAAATGTTTGAGTATACATCGTAATTTATAATGTCATTTGAATTCTTCCTATGTAAATTGTTTTTATTCTAGCACCTCTAAAATTTTAGGAACATTCTTTTTAAGAAACTTTCCTTCACATTGTTGTTTCCTTCCTTTCTTAACATGAATCTATAAACTTTTAAATCAAATTACATTTAATAGGTTACAAAATGGTGAACTATATAAAATGTTTTTTAAAACATAATCACTTTTCTGTGGACTTTAGGTAAAACAATTTTTATGATTTGGGATTTTATGTGTATACAGCATTTAAAATTAGAGAGTATTTAGGAGAATTGAATGAAATGAAAATAAAAGATAAGAAGATTACATTTGCTAAGAAAGTCTGAAAAAATGATTTAGACCTGGAACAATAATTTGCTATTTGCATATAACACAGTTATGAGAATGATGGAGGCTCTCCTTCACCATTGGCAGAACAAGAGAGGAGACAGATGAAAAAGCCATGGCAGAAGGGAAGTTGGGAATCATCCTTGATCATCTTCAGTTAAGAAGGAAATAGTCACTTCACCTCTACCACAAGGATTTCACCAAAGTTATATATTTCAATGCTTTTTAAAAGAGACTTTATCACCTACCTAGATATTCTAAGATTTTAATCAAACACTTCCTACCCCCATGTTATAGACTGTAAAAGTGGGAAACAGGTTTTTCTGTGCTCTGATCACCCCTCTGCACAAGCAGCACTTCTGGAAACCTGGACCTCAGCTCTGCCCGAGAGGCCTGCCTGGTCTCCCTCCTTAGACTTCCTGGTAGACGTGGATTTTCAATGATCCAATGCCACTTTATCCAAGTCATTCTACTTATCACTTTACTGACTCTTCTATTTTCTGCCCAAGTTTCCTGACTTGAACACCAAAAAAAAAAAAAAAAAAAAAGTAAAAGAAAAATAAAACAGTTTTCTGAAGCTGACAGTTTTCTAAGGAAGTTTCTTTTTACAAATGTTTAAACTTGGAAATGACAGGGGAAGCAGGTAATAATATGGACTCTTCAGAAAATAGCATTTAGGGAGAAAAAATTTTGTTTTCAGAGCCTTACATAAAAGAGTAAGTCTATAGTAAGGGTTATTATTATTTACTCCCATTATTAGGTACTACCAGTGTTTCTCAATAAAACCCTTAATTGGTAGACTTTGCTTACACGTAGGGGGAAAATCACCAACTTTGAAGTGAGAGTATAAAACTCATACAATCAAGTAAAGACTAAACAAAATATATGAAAATGACTTTGCAAGATACCTAACATTATTATCATCACCACCACAATAACCATCGCTACCAAAAGACCTGTTTTCAAATTGCATTGGCTGTGTCACCAGCTAGATATGTGATATTGAACAAATTACTAATCTTTTCCGAGCCTCAGTTTCTACTCTGCAAACTGGGAATAATATCTACCTTAAAAGTTGTCTGGAAAAATCGATTTGATTTTGTCTGTGCTAAGTGCTCATTAAATGTAAACTGCAATGTCTCGTGGTTGGAGTAAGGCAAAGGATAGGATGGAGTTCCCACTAGTACGAAGGAATTTGTGCTACGGAGAGTGGTAGGTCCTCTTAAAACATCCATTTGTTACTTGAAGACTCAGTAAAGGCAAATGAAAAGAAAGATGGAAAATGAACAGAAAAAAGGAACATTACCATACAGTATATAAAATACATTCTTTAATCAGCCATCCATATTTACTAGATTTTTAAAAAAGCATCCAGTGCCTTAAAAGGTTTTTGAAAGCTGTGCTATTTTTAATAAAGTCTCATGTGAAGCACCAAATGAGCTCTTAAAAAGGCTAGAAGTGCAATTCCTTTCCATTTCTATCAATAGGAATTGCCCAGGTGTCATGTGCTCCATGCAGCGCATATCTAGGGACCGAGCCCACTGTATTCTTCGCCGGTGAAGGCTTCGAGGTGCCCTTCCTGGGGAGCCATTCCTAGAGTGTGTTAGAAAAGATCAGAAAGCAAATATGGAAATCACTAGCATCTTTTGATTTTGAAATGCACCTTGTGCATTTACCTGTTTGACATATGAGTGAAGAACTCAAAGCATAAGTCTCATTGAGTAAGGTTTCATAAAAAGTACTATTTTCTTCCTAGATGTAACACAAATAGCGAAGCTATCAGTAGATATTTTTCTTTATTTTTATGATTTTAAGAGAGAAAATAGTTCAATTCTTAAAAGCAGGCCAGTTTTTAAAATATAGCATGTCTTAAAAATATTTTAATAAACATTTGGTTCCTACTATTCACAGAAAATTTGCTCTTACATGTTAGAAATGCCTTACCTCATCTTTTTTAACAGCCATGTTCCTAAGGTGTGCTTGATGTAAGAGGACCATTTTATAATTAGCGATATATACATATACCCAGACCTAAATTTAGCCTAAATGCATTTTCAAAAAGTTGTAAAATACTGTGTTCAGATTCTCTTTTCTCCAATGGATTAATCTGAAAAACAACTGGGACTCAATTTAGAATTTCCTGGCAGCGAGCAAGAAAAATGTCAAAATCACAGTTTTACTTTATTGAAAGCCCTCTTAGGAGTCCCGTGGAAAGAACTGTGTGTGCCTGGTAGCCAGAGAGCGGTGGGAGGTAATATTTAGTTTATTAATGTGTCTTTGATTTTTTTTCATAGTGTTGATGCCTAGTATTAAAAAGCAAGACCTTGATCCAATTTTCCCCTTGCCCTCCCTCTAATGGAAAAGAGCTATGAAAAACAGATAAAGTTAACAAGATGTTGCATAAAATCAAAGTGCATTTCAGCAATCCCAAGATATTCAATACATCCCATTTGCTTGTGCATTGGAATGGCTCAGTAAATTATGTTTCACTTGTAAATATTGAATTTTAATATCCAAGTGCCAACAGTACACAACCTTGGACATACGTTAGACAACATTCTTGTCCTCTGGAAGCTTAAGTTTTATAAAAACAAAACTAGTAATTCATTTTCTTGATGTTTTTCTTATTTTGCATTTTATTAACATGGCAAGAGCCACATATTTATTACTTGTGCATTGGATCTGATTTTCTTTATCCTTCATATTGAATTAAACTAGATTTTTGAGAGATCTGCATTAGGGTGAAGTGTGACTAAGAATTAAGAAAATTATATTGCTAAGTAATAGGTTAATTCTGATATTTTAGTGGCTAATAAACCATTGGTAATATTTTAGAAAATTGATGCAAAATAAAATTATAGTAAATTTCTTGATGTGTTTGATCCTTCATAAACTCAAGAAGCAGCTACCAAAATATCAGTGAAACATGCAAATCTTTTGTGGAAATACTAAGTGGATTATTAAAGATTAGTTGTGTTATTTGGGTGCTTTAGCAGAAATATTTTAGAGGGATAAAATGAAAGAGATTAAATGACCTGGAGATGTGTCTGACAACTAATTTTTATCTATTAAGACACTAACTACAGAGTCTTCAAAGTGCTATTACCCAAGTATGACACTAGTTCTAGAGAGTAGTCTTTGGGAAAACCACAGCCTAAATGATCTGACAACAAAATGCTCTTGATCTTCAGGTCATTGGCAATCATGGTGTTGAGATTTGTTGTGTTTTCATTACGTTTCATAAACTCGTATTTTAATTTTTTTGCTCCCTCAGTGATTAGAAAAACCACATTATATGAAGAAATACCATTTTTGTAATATTACTTTTAGGACCATTTTCTTCCCGGTCTGTCTCTTATGCTTAAATTCCAACCTTCATTCAACTCTATTTCCCACCTATATTTCCCCCGCATTTTAGAGAGGTTTTGTTCCCTGGCTTACATAATTTCAGGCTGTCATAATAAAAGTATGGATCTGTACTCAATGCACAAAATAGATGAGGGGATAGTCATACCCATCTTGCTAAATTCCCCATGCTTGTGTTTTTTACCTGAAATAATTTTGACGATGCCAACCATACTTAATAGAGACGATCATTGCTCACCATCCCACATCACTGCGGAAGAAGGACCTAGGGTCAAGGCTCTGCTGAAGGCAGGTGCCATATTTTGTATTATACTTGGTCAAAGTAATATAATAAGAATGGTAAGAGTAATAAGAATGGTAAGAGGTGGGGTAAGGTCATGGGAAGTTAAAATCTGTTTGCAAGTCTAAATTATAAGGAAATATTAACAATGACTAAATAGAGAAGCTGGCCTTCAGATAAAGTTTAAATTGAAATGAGAATCACTGAAAAAGAGAGAAAGACAGAGGGAGACCAAGGGACAGAGAGTGAATATGACATTGCAGACCCTACAAGAAGGATAGTTGTGTTCTTTCCTGTTGACTTTTGTCTTCCCATTCCAATATGTACGTTCTCTTATCAAATTGCTTTTTGCTTAAGGTTATTTGAGTTATTATTCTCTGCAATTAAGAAAAACTTAATAAAAACAACTGTGGACAATCAAAAAATGAATATTCAAATGTCAAGTTACAATGGAAGATCTTAGAGCCATAGAACCATGCATATCATCTTGTGCAACCTTAAATATAAAAATAGAGGTTTTAAAACCTTATAAATGTGCTTCAAATGACACGGTAAAGATTATATCACAAATGTATATAAGTGGTCTATACTTTATGAAACAGTTTAATGAATTTTACTGATATCTTTTAGGGTAGACACCAGTAGCTGCCCTTTTTACAGATGAGGAAATAGAGTTATTTGCCCAAAATTCCATGGATAATAAGTAGAAAAGGCAGAAATTTTTTTCCAACAAACTAAAACTCTATGTAAATAAATTAATGAGAGGCATGTTGACACTCATGAAAGAGAGTTGAAAGAGTCTGTTCTCGGTTGCTGTAGCATGTCATCCCTCCAAACCTAACCAAGTATATTATAAGTAGTTTCAGAAAAATAATGACACCACACATTTCTAGAAAATATCTCAATTTTTTACATCTATGCAAGTGATTTGTTCAAAATTCCTATAATAATTTGATTTGATGATAATGAAGAGAATGATGATGTTGATAATAATGGTGATGGTGGTGATGATAGTGATGCTGAATGCATAAATGCCTACAAGATATCTCAAAATGAGTGTTCCTTGGGCACCTCACTTGGCATTTCCAAAATAGAAATCATCTCGCAACCCAAATATTCACTCAGCCTATTACTCCAAGCTCACAATCTGAGTTATTCTTTCCTCTTCTGCTTAACTCATCCTTGACATGAAGAGTCACCAGTCTTTGAAACAACCTGTCTTCTAAATGTGTCTTAGACCAGCTACACATGTCCATGGCTGTGCCCTCTACCTGTGTTTAGACCATCAGCTTTTCTCTTTTGAATATCTGAGTAGGTCTTCTAACTAGACTCTTTGCATCCCGCCTCCCTTTCTTAAGAGGGAATGCTTATTAATCCTTTTTGTCCCTGAGTGGAATGAGCTATCTAAAATGAAATCTGATTTCACACTCATGCTTAAAATGAATCAATAGTTTAAATCCATGGTCCTTAACATGAATTACCAGTGTTCTTATGGCTCTCTCGCTCTCCCCTAACCTCACCCTACCCCTTGCAAACCCATGTACAGTTACCCAGATGTACTACACTCTCTCAAAACTCTATGAATTTGAACTTTCAATGACTACCAATACCACTATTCCATTATCAATGATACCCGCTACTACTACTACTCTACCAGTATTGAGAAAGTCAAATTAACAGTTTTATTCTTTCACGGGAAAAGTTCAGAAGTGGGAGCTTCAGTTTAACTATGGAATAAAGCAGCAGTGGTCCTCAACCTTTCAGGCACCAGGGACTGATTTTGTGGAAGACAATTTTTCCGTGGACTGGGGAGGGCAGGATGGTTTCAGGATGATTCAAGCACACTACATTTATTGTGCACTGTATTTTTATTATTATTACATTGTAATAAATAATTAAATAATTATACAACTCACCATAATGTAGAATCAGTGGGATCCGTGAGCTTGATTTCCTGCAACTAGATGTTCCCATCTGGGGGTGATGGGAGACAGTGACAGATCATCAGGCATTAGATTCTTCTAAGGAGCATGCAACTTAGATCCCTTGCATGCATAGTTCATGATAGAATTCGTGCTCCTATGAGAATCTAATGTCACCGCTGATCTGACATGAGACAGAGCTCGGGCAGTAATGAGAGCGATGGGGAGTGACTGTAAATACCGATGAAGTTTTGCTCACTCACCTGCCACTCACCTACTGCTCTGCAGTCCGGTTCCTAACAGGTCCGTGGCCGTGGGCTGGGTTCCCCTGGAATAAAGGATACACATTCTCTTTTTCTTAAAGCTTGATGGTAGCTTCAATCACATAGTATAAAATTAACCCTTACTTTCCAGCCATTGTTTTCAACAAGAAGGAAGAAACAGAATTTTTCACTAGTCTTCCATCAGCCAGAACTTATTCATATTATTACTCCTAGGCTCAACATAGACTAGGAAGTGTAATCACAACTTCAGAAGGTTACTTTTACTAAATTAGATGAGTAGAGAATTCACTGATAGATAACCAGAAATCTCCTCTATAGCTATCACATATTCTATCCTTAGTATACAATTGGCACTTTAATGTGTACTTTATATTCATTATCTCATTTACTCTTCATAACATATTCCAAAGTTAGGTACCTATTATTCTCATCTTACAGATGATAAAAGTAAGTCTCAAAATATTATATAATTCACTCTATGTATTGCTAGTAAGTGCAAGAGATGGAATTCAAACTCAGAATTTACCCCAAATTAAGTGTTTTTTTCATTATACTAGATTGCCTCCTCATTATTTATTAAATGTCAAGGCCTGTACCAGGCATTGGACATACAGAAGTGAAGCTTGTGTTCAAAGAGAACAAGCTGAGAGAGCTGGGGCATAAAGGCAGGAATGCCCACTTATGGAGTTGAGTAAGTAAATAGGCATCAGAAAGGGGTACACAGAACCTATGAAGATTGCACTTGCTGTTCTCTCTGCCTGGAAATCTCTGGCCTATCGGCACAAATACTAGCATATTTGCCCAATCAACTCCTGCTCTACTCTGTGTCATCTCTCAGCTCCAACATCAGAAAATATGGTTTAGGGATACCTACCATGAATTCCCTTAGGCCCTATGCACACCTCCATTCCACTATTTACCTAATCAAATTACAATTCTTTTTGTACAGGTGGTACCTCCCTGCACATTGAGGTCAGAGATTTTCTTTACATCGTTAGCACTTAAGAAAAATGTCTCACATGTGGAGGTCAATATTTTCCAGTGTGAAAGACCTTTCATAATACGTGTTATCACATACTAATTTATTTATATTTGTGTGTATATGTGAATATGTGTGTGTGAAAGTGAAGCAAAAACACTTCATTGCACTTCAACGAAATGAAAATGTGCATTTACAATTAGTACATGTATTTTAAACTTCACTTTCTTTAATTTTTCTTTAAAAATTAACACACAATTTTGTTTCTTCTGCAGATACAAACTTAAGGCTGGATGAAACTCCAGCTTAATGGCACAATCAAACCAGATTTATTCTTGATAAATGCAGCGTTCATAATTTCCTATAAGCTTAATTATCACCTGTACCTAAAGATAAACACATTTACCTAAATGATTATGCTTTTCAATTTTTTTATATTTGGAAGACATAGCTGCAGAATAAAAGTAATTCAATATTATGGAGCATGTAAAAAAGAGTAAAACTCTTCATACCATTATTCACTTTCTTCGTGTATGTGAGGTGTGTCGTTTCACTTCTTAATTATTGCTTGTACTTTCCATACACATGTTTGCATTTCGGACAGTTACATATGCAGTTGCTGTTGCTGATGTTAGAAGATGCTGGCATCTTCTAAATTCTGGGCCATGATGAGAAAAGTTGTGGCATTAGAGGAGATGGTATTCAGTGTTTTTTTGTTGTTGATGCTTTTTGTTTTTTGTTTTTAAATTTTTTTATTGTTATGCTTTAAGTTCTAGGGTACATGTGCACAATGTGCAGGTTTGTCACATATGTATATATATGCCATGTTGGTGGGCTGCACCTATTAACTCGTCATTTACATGATGTATATCTCCTAATGCTATCCCTCCCCCTTCCCCCCACCCCACGACAGGCCCCAGTGTGTGACATTCCCCTTCCTGTGTCCAAGTGTTCTCATTGTTCAATTCCCACCTATTAGTGAGAACATGTGGTGTTTGGTTTTTTGTCCTTGCGATAGTTTGCTGAGAATGATGGCTTCCAGCTTCATCCATGTCCCTACAAAGGACATGAGCTCATCCCTTTTTTATGGCTGCATAGTATTCCATGGTGTATGTGTGCCACATTTTCTTAATCCAGTCTATCATTGTTGGACATTTGGGTTGGTTCCAAGTCTTTGCTATTGTGAATAGTGCCGCAGTAAACATACGTGTGCATGTGTCTTTATAGCAGCATGATTTAAAAAATGCTCATCATCACTAGCCATCAGAGAAATGCAAATCAAAACCACAATGAGATACCATCTCACACCAATTAGAATGGCAATCATTAAAAAGTCAGGAAACAACAGATGCTGGAGAGGATGTGGAGAAATAGGAACTCTTTTACACTGTTGGTGGGACTGTAAACTAGTTCAACCATTGTGGAAGACAGTGTGGCAATTCCTCAAGGATCTAGAAATAGAAATACCGTTTGACCTAGGCATCCCATTACCGGGTATATACCCAAAGGTATTCAGTGTTTTAATACATTTTGGCCTTTTAGAAAATACCCAATTGAAAAGGAATCAGTCCTTGGACAAACTTAATTTTTTAATAAACTTTGTTCTGTATCTCCTAAGTATATATATAACTGTTTATATATTTTGATGTTAGAGAGTATAATTTTGCCCACTAAAGATCTAAGACACTTGATGGAATTAGGAAAGCTTTTCTTTCCTTTTATTTTCTTTTCTTTGGTTTTTTCTTTCTTCTTTTCTTTATTACATATAACTAAGCAAACATAACTCCTGTTTTAAGAAAGGTTTGCTTTCAAAATGAAATAATATTAATGAAAATAGATTGAGAGTAAGTTTTTGGTGTAATATAGGATTTATCTTTATTTTAAGTAATTGTATCTTCATATAAAAATAGTTGACAATGTGCCTTTATTCAAAAGTGCCTTCATGATTCCATTTAGCCCCAACAACAATGTCTTGAGATATAGTTGTTCTCTTTAAAGATGAAGACATTAAAGCTCTGAGCGAATATATAATTTGACTGGATTTCCAAAATAGTGAAGTCATTAGTAAGTCCTATTTTTTAGAGAAAAGTCCAGGGCTCCATCTAGTTCATAAAGAAAATTCATCTTGACTCAAATTTTAAATTAATGTTTACTCATTCCTTCTGCTTAGCTCAATCAGGGCAAAAAGACACTTCCATGACATGGTGTTACAGACTCCTTTCCAAAGTCTACAAAGTATTATCTTTACCATAATTCTCTCATTTTACAGACAAGAAAATTGAGGATCACAAAGTTACTACTGGTCTGCAACCTGAGTGGTTGTGCTTCTTTCCACACAGGGTAAAAGGATTCCTTCTTTTGCAAGTAGGATACTGAGTGGTGCCAAATTGGAGAATCTGGCCTATGTATCACTTTTCAATAGGAAGAGTTCATTATGTCAAGTTCAAGGACATTTGCTCCTCTCAATAAACCTGTATATCTTCAGGTTTATTTTCTTAAGCTGATTTAGATACATGCAAATTCTTACGTTGACCATTCCATTATGTTTAAGAGCTTAATTTCCTGAGATCAGTTGTCTCAGTCCTATAAAGGAATACTTGATCTAGGTAATTTATACAGAAGAGAGGCTTATTTGGCTTACAGTTCTGCAGACTGTTCAAGAAGGATGGCACCAGCATCTGCACCTAGTGAGGGCCTCAGGCTGATGGAATGTGAAGGGAAACCAGTGTGTGCAGAGATCACATAGCAGGAGAGGAAGCCAGAGGAAGAGTGGGGAGGTGCCACACTCTCTTTAACAACCACCTCTCATCAGAAATAATAGAGTACGATTTACATTTAATACTTACTCTAACAATAGACTAAGTATATGCATTTTGTACAGTTACCCATGCAGTTACTGTTGCTGAAGTTAGAAGATGCAGGCATCTTCTAAATTCTGGGCCATGATGAGAAAAGTTGTGGTATTAGAGGAGATTGTATTCAATGTTTCAGTACATCTTGGCCTTTTAGAAGATATCCAATTGAAAGGGACAATTTTAATTCTCTAATTCCTTGGACAAATTTAATTCCCTAATAAACTTTGTTCTTTATCTCCTAAATATATGTACCTGTTTATATAAGTTGAGAACTCAATCAATGCTTCAGGGATGGCACCAAGCCATTGATGAGGGATCCATCCCCATGATCCAAACACTTCCCATTAGTTCTCACTTCCAACATCACATTTCAACATGAGGTTTGGAAGGGACAAACAGACAAACTATAGTACCAATGCATTGCTGATCAGAACAAAAAGTCATAAATAGAAAAATATCATGAGTAGTGCCTGCCCTGAACATACAAGCATTTCTGTTAATCTGATGTAGTCCATTTTTATGAACCTGTTCAATAACAGAAATGGCATGCAATCTACCATTACACATGCTGGGCTACCTTTTCTGAGTATTGTCACTCTGCTGAAGCCAGCGAAGTACACTACTGAGAAGTGTTCAAGGTACAAAAAAGGCAAATATGAAAAAAAATCAATCACTTTTGGAGGTAGACACATGCTTGTTATATTACCCATTGTACTGGTCAGTATATCTTTCCAATTAAAGAAGAAAAAAAGGAAAGTATAACCACGAGGTATGAGTAGTAAAGGAATGAGCAGGGCCTTATGGGATGACACTACGGTGCGAGAAGCCAAGTAGCCTTGGCATAGACCTGAAGCTGCCAGTGATCCTTTATGTTTCATCTAAACTCTTACTAATATCCCCAGGGAAGTTATCCCCAACCCTCCAGTGCTCCAGCTCATCAGTGAGTTGACCTGTGTGATACTTGCATCTTGGAAATCTGCAAGTGGGAGTCCACCAGGCACCATAGTTTATAAGTTATTACAATTTAACATTTGTGTGTGTGTGTGTGTGTGTGTGTGTTTCTGAAGATCAGTCTTCCCTATTGACAGATGTTTGTGTAATAGAAAAATGCTGTAATGAAATTAAACTTTTTCATATGGCACAAAGACATAATAGAGGCTTACCTTGATCCTGGTCACCTTCCAAGCATCTAAACACATCACTTTATAAATAATAAATAAATAATTCTGGAAATCCAGAGGACACAGCTTAATTTGTTGTTGTTGTTTTTCACATCTTTGTTTTTTTTCTATTTTAAATTTTAATATCAGTAACCTACATGGTAATCTCTTATGGTAATGTAGATATGAAATTTTAAACTGTTATTAAATCAGTAAAATCTCAGATTTTATATTAATTTAAGAGGATACTGAAACAGGAGAGTTCCCTGACCCCTCACGGGACTGGCGCCAGGGATGTGACTTGTTCACTGGGCTGTTGCACACTCAAACCCTTACAAGAAGCATGCAGGTGAGCTGGAGTGAGAGCTTCTGGGCTCCGGACCCAAGGCAGTGTCTAGGGGTGTTACAATGCTCCTTTATCTTTGCTGTCTAGGGACGGCTGTTACCCAGCTCAGTGGAGTGTCAGGGTAACAGCCTTTTACACCTGCTCTCTTTGTACCTGGGTCCTTCTCCAGCATCCGGGAAGGTCACACAAACTTGAAGGATGGTGAATGCAGGGATTTTATTGAATGATGGAGGTGGCTTTCAGTGGGATGGATGGGGAGCATGAAACGGGATGGAGGAGAAGGATGATCTTCCCCTGGAGTTCAGCCATCCTATGGCCAATCTCCTCTCTGACCATCCCTAGCCAAATTCCTCTCGACATTCAAGTGCCCCTTCTCTTCTGTCCTTCTCTGCTGCACCATTCTGCCACTGTGCTGCTCTGCCACTCTTCTGCTCATAGAGCCAGCCATTTGGAGTTTACATGGACACAGGATAGGGGGCATCGTCAGCCAAAAGGCAGTATTTGGGCATAAAAGTAGGAATGACTGTTCTCATTTAGGGCTGTGGGTCCAGACTTGAGGATGGAGCCCTCACCAGGCACCCCACATTCCTGCCTCCTGTCTATATCAATACAATGTATGGCTAGAACCACTGTAGAAATATTTAGACACTCTTGCACAAGAGAAATCTTTACCAGAAATCACTGAATTAATATAAGCTTAAATAATGAAGAGGGAAACCTTGCACTGAGAATGGTTCACTACCAGCTTTAAATATTCTCTTTTCTTCACGAAGACAAGTTGGGGAGGTCTAATACATCCCAGAAGATCCCAAAATTTAACCATAAGTGAAATTTTACTAGGAAATATTTTTCTATTGTTGAAAATAACAATGAATGAGAGAAAATTAAAAAGGAAAAATTAATTCTAAAACTTATAGTAGAATACAAACAGAAAGGCTATATTCTCATTCAGTCTTATTTAATTAACTATTACAAATGAAAAAGGAAAGAAAGAAACCAAGTAGTATATTTTTAGTGCTCTAAATAGTCATTGTATTGCAGTTTAACATGGATCAAGTTGCTCCTTTATTGAGGATAGGGATCTGCTGCCTGGCCCCATCTCTGTAGAGTGAGAATCCCAGGGCAGACTGTTGCCCAGGAATTATTCTGTGATTATATGGAAAGTTAGAAGTGTGAATCTAAAGTGTAATCCGGAGCATACAATTTATGAAAAGCAAAAGGACTTTATGGTATAAATATCTTCGTAATGTTAAAGCACAGCTAAGATTTTCAACGCAGTTGAACTACTTCTTAAAATATTTTGGGTGGCTCACGCCTTTAATCCCAGCACATTGGGTGGCTGAGGTGGGTGGATCACCTAAGGTCAGGAGTTCGAGACCAGCCTGGCCAACAAGGCCAAAACCCATCTCTAGTAAAAATACAAAAATTAGCTGAGTGTGGTGGCACGTGCCTGTAATCCCAGCTACTAGGGGACACTGAGGCAGGAGAATTGCTTGAACCCGGGAGGCAGATGTTGCAGTGTGCCGAGATCGTACCATTGCACTCCAGCTTGGGCAACAGAGTGAGACTCCATCTCAAAAAGATATATATATATTTTTTGGTTTGTTCTGTTTTCCTTTTTTTTGTTTTTTTTGTTTTTGAATGTAACCAAAAGTGTCTGGTTATGTAACTAACTACATTGTGTCCTCCACATTCAAATAGTTTATTACAACCCAAATTTTAAAATCAGGGAAGTCTGAAATTGCATTCACCAATAGATCTCAAAACAATGGTAATAAATCCCTCTAAGAAGATTGCTCTGTTTAAAAGTCTTAGACTAACAGACAAGAAAATTTAAAATATTTTATCCTTTTAAATTCCTCGGTATTTTGGAGAAGTCTCTGTATTTTTTGGATGGATTTGACTGAATAATATTAATAATAGCAATAAGAACAGCTAGCATTTATGGATATCTTAACATATGCCAGGCATTTATTTAGGAACTTACGCATGTATTATGTAATTTAATAAAATAGTCCTATAAGATAGTACAGCTAAGAGTTATAATCATAAACCTATATTAAGAGGAGGAATCTGAGACTTACACAAGTTAATTAATTTGCCCAAAATCACACAAGAAGGAAGTGGTAGAGTTAACGTTGTGCCTGAGGGGTCTAGCTCCGGGACCCATGCCTTTATCTGCTTTCATTCCAAGGAAAATGGATTTATCATTCAAATGTATTGGGTATTTATATACCCAATATGATTTTACTAAATGCTTTATGCTAACCAAGCAACAAGGAGAAAATGCCTACAACAACCTTTCTATTACATATTTCCCACCAAATCTCTAGTTGTGAGCTTCAGGAATAAGACCATCTTCCCTTCTTTCGTGTGTGTGTTTTTGGCCTGCAAGCTACATTTGGTATCCTAAATATGCAATTGTCCCATGTCTTTTGTGTTTGTTTGTTTTAAGAGCCCAGTCAAGTTAGTCGGCCTTCCACCCTTAAGGGCTCAGAACAATGAGTGTAGGTTGGCATCAACCACCTTCATATTCTCTGATACCTGAAAAATTGTTCTGTGAGAATATTTCTTCCCTGAGGGAGGAAATTTCCTCCATTTTAAACTCCACTTATCGATGTTACTTGTAACTTTTGCTTAAGATAACAGCTGGCCCCATTATTATTGTAAATAAACAAGCTACCTCGGCCTTTAAAAGTGTTCAAGAACACAATTATATTTTTTTAATATAAGACATGGTCATCAATGGACTGCACTTTAATATATAGTCTCATTGAGCTTTTTAAACACTGGAAAAGCCTTATTTTGGTAACTACATTTTTTAAAATTTAAAATCTGGCTACTAGAGCTTCAAAAATGCTGAGCTTCAAAAATGCTGCCAAGATGTATATGGTAATGTTGTTATCTTTAAAACAATACAATCACCAACAGGATCCAACCTTAGCTTTCTTTCTGAGAATACTTTTCCCAAAGCTAAGGTAAAAGAGAAACTTCTTTTTTAATTGATGAATTATAAATGTATAGCAGGTGAACCATAATTGTTTAAACATCATTTTTTGAGAGTAGCTGTCTTAGTCAGCTATCCTCTAGAACATAAAGAAATGACTTGATAAAGCTGTTCATGTAGAGTTTGAGCTGTAGCTGAATCATTGCCTTCTAATTTATGGTAAATAATTTATTTTTATTTGAGCAGAAGACACTTTACCAAGGTTTAGGTAGCAATAAATAGCAATGAGTACCTGGAGGTACAGAGGTAGCCTTGAAAGGTTTAGAATAATGCCTTAATTATAACTATTTCTGTTTCTTTTCTACTTAATCCTTCAAAAGCAACATATATTTTACTTTTCTATTATCTTAATATTCTTCCATTCATAAATATAAATTGAGTACCAGGTTTGAGACAGGTACCGTACTAGGCACTGGGTATGCGCGAATGAACAAAATGAGGCAAAACTTCTCATCTCGTGGAACTCACCATTTAGAGGCACAAGACAGATATTTTTAAAAATAAATCAATAATTAAATCATAGGGTATTTATAGGATGATGAGTGCCAAGGAGAAAAACAAAGATGGGGAAGTCCTGGGGAAAGTTAGGATGCTATATTCAAAGGCTGGTAAAGACTTTACTGAGAATGTAACACTTGAGCAGAGCCATGAATGAGGTGAGGGAAAGATTCATTTAGGTTCCTGAGGGAGAAGGATTTTAGGTAGGTTTTTTACATAGTTACATTTGGTCAAGGTTGCTTCACCCAAAGAAATTTTATACTTGCTTCTTTTTTTTTTTCTTCCCAAGAGAGCTAAACTTAGGAATGTGAAGTGTCATATGAATCCTCTAGACTGTGAACTCCTTGACGAGAGGAACAATGTCTTATTCACTTTTTCTACCCTCAGAGTCTGGCTCAGTGCCTGGCATAATAAACATTCAGTGAGAGCAGCAAAAAGAGAATGGAGGATAAAAAAAATTCATACAGACAAACACAGTAATTCTGCCTTCAACCCAGATTCCCATCTCCAGTTTTTACATTTTTCAGATAATCATTATATTTACATAATCAATATGATAATCTGTTTATAGTTTAATTTCCCATTTTTAAATATAAGAAGTATAATTAAAGTGACTTCACCCCAGATCACTTGTTTCTTCTTTATTTTGATTATGTTCTGCTTGTCAGGCAAAGGAGAGCTGGAATCAAATTGTGTTGCCATTAAGCTCTGTACTACAGGCTTTTTTCCATATTCCTTAGTATGATCTCTTGAAAATTCATTGAATGCTATGAGTATGTGAGTATGTACATCTCTATCACAGCCCCATATCTGCCTCCTTCATAGATCTTATCACAATCTGAAATTATCTTGTGTTTTCATTTCTTTACACGTATATTGAATTGCCAGTCTTTCTGACTCCAATGGAAGTATTATGAAGCTTCATGTTAAACCCTGACTTTAAGGACTTTTCACATAGTAGACAGACAACAGATATATCTGGAAGGAAAGAAGGAAGAAAGGAAGGAAGGGAGGAAGGAAGGAAGGAAGGAAGGAAGGAAGGAAGGAAGGAAGGAAGGAAGGAAAGAAGGAAGGAAGGAAGGGCTGTAAAAATAAAAGGCAACAATATATCTACCCTAGGAGCCTATTTTCTTTGTAGACTATGTTATAATTTATTTGAAGACTTTCAATGAAAGTAATAAGGTTCTTAAGTGATTTTAAAACACGTATAGTTGGCCAAAGCCCAGTTTCATGAAAATAAATGGTTAGATGAAAATGTTTACATGTATTTTTCTCAAAATGTGCACACCTGTAAGGCTTTGCTAACTAATAAGCAGACATACTAGTTCACTCACTAAGAAAAAAGTAAAATTACATATATCCATTTGTATTAACAAGCTTGGGAAAAATGAATTTAGTTGTTAACTTTCTAATCTGCTTTTGGATTTTTGAGATACATAATAAAGACATTAGTAATAAGAAATATTATTTATCAAGTAGTTCTAATCTAGCAAATTTATTTCATTAATACTTTTAATCAATACTTTATTATCTTTCCACATTGGACTTTTTTATTTAAGCTACCATCACATTTTTAAAATATCCCTAAAATTATTCATTTAAGATATATTTATCTGCCATCACTTGAAAGAAAACCAATCCACAGTTTATTAAGCACCTACTATGTGTAAGGAGTTATGTAAAGAATAACATACCAGAAGTCAAAAGTATAGGTCACTCTCCTTATACAAAATTTGTAACCATCTCCATAATACGAATTAATCCATAGACAGTCAAGTGAAAGAATTTGTAGCTTCCAGTGAAAAGTTATCCTAAGAATCAGATTTAGAAGGATGAAGAGTACATGTAATCGTTCTTCACTATAATATAGATATTAGTTACCAACATATGCCAACTATAACATATTTCTGAAACATACTAAATATGAAAAAAAGAGCTGAGATGTTAGCAAATTTCATTATGTGTGCATCCATTATATAGACATCAGTTTTAAAACTGGGAGTGGGAGAAGGAAAAAGAGAGGAGGACAGATTATATGTACAGAGTACCTACTGTGCATTATTCACTGTGCTGAATGCAATACAGAGGTGACTTTCAAATAATACTCCAGGAAACAGAAACCCAAGATCATGAAGTAAGGAGATTTTGAATTACTGCTCTACTCCAGGAATGTGTACCTGGTCTAGACTCCGGGCACAATTTTCCCTCCCACAGAAAGCCATAGGGCTTATATATGGTTTCTGGAGATATCAAGGATGTCAAAATTTGCTTTAACCACCAAATGAAAAGAGTAAAGCAAACTACATTATGAAGGTTGATTATGCTTTGTTATATTGATGGAAACCATAAGTCAGAACAGTTAATGACAGTTTTTGAAAATCAGCGGCATGGTCTTTGGATCCAGTGTTTTGCCGTGGTGTTTGTGAGAACATTCAAATTGGCCAGCAGTTAAAATGAGTCTTGCCCAATTGACAGATGTGAGCCCTTCGGAGACCAAAGGTGTCCATCATTGCTGGAGCAATGGAGTAAAAACACAAAGAGAGGAAGTCTCTGGGTCATTCTGGGAGTTTCAAATTTCTCCAGGCCAGTAACAAAGCTGACAGTGGCTGGAGAATCTTACCAACACAGATGGTTGCTCTATGATAATAGAGGGACTTGAGGAGGAAACTATGAATATGTGGGATCAAAGGCAACAAAATTTTCCCTGCAATGATGGCGCATCTTGAAGTTCTGACCTCCAGGACAATTTTACCTATTTCCTATCTTCTACTGCTTACATACTTATTATCATTCTTCAACCTAAATCGTATTATTTCAAGCATTTCCTACCAGTTTCAACTGCCTTAGCAGCTCCATGCAGGTGTCTGAAAAGCAGCTCCAGCTTACATGACTAACACTGGTGTCATCTCCTTGGAAGGAAAAGGGAAAAAGAGGAAAAAAAACTCACTTTCCCAAGTCCCTAGATGGTGCATTGGACTCTCCATCCATCACCCAAGGTGGAATTCTGAGAGTCGTTTCAAATTTTTCCCTACTTTTTATTTGCCATTTTCAATCACTCTCTAAATCCTGTCAATTTTATCTCATCAATCCAATATTCCCCCTCCATTTAATGTGTAAATTTAGATATTTTTAATCCAAGAGAGTCTTTCTTTTAAGATTCTTGCTCTCTTGGAATCTCTCAGTCTTTTATTCCCTTCTAATTTTATTTTCTTCCTATCTCAGCTCAGAAGGCCTCACTATAGTAATTTTTAAAATTATCATCCTCCCCCACCTTGCCCACAAACATCCTTTTCATTTTTTTTTTCTGTAAACTGCAAAAGCAATCAATCTGATTGATCATTCACTTTGGGTAATGCTGGAGGGATTTAATTAAATTGGACTAATGCTGTTATAAATCCATAAATCAATGTCCTCCCAATGCACTGGCTTGTCAATACTTTTATACTTTTGTGATCATCTCTCTTTCTTTCATTCGTGAATTTTACTACTCTTCTCAAGCCTTCCGCCCCATATCTCACCTCTTCATCAGAAGGTGCCTTGCTTTCTACTTCACAAGGGTAAAAATGTTTGTGTGTAGATAGATAGATAGATAGATAGATAGATAGATAGATAGATAGATGATAGATAGATAGATAAATTATTAACCAGAGGCCTCCTGAAGTGTCTCCCTCTTCTGGAAACTTATTTATACACATAATCAAAATTATTCCTTTTCTCTCTCTTTAGATAAAACACTGTTCCTTCTGTTACTCATCTAGTCACATGGCTTTATCATCTCCACATCGATCACTTCCAAAATTGTATCTCCAAACTTACCATCTTAAAACTCTGCCTTTGCTTTCTGCTCTAATGTGTCCTCTCGCACACTCAATAATCCCTATCTCAGTTGTTGTCACCAAATCAGGAATCATCCTCAGTTCCTCTCTCTCCTTCACTCCCAATCAACCCATTAATAAGCCATTCTATGTACCGAATCTAGTCATTTTTGTCTGCAACAACCACACTGATTCTGGGTGCTATCATCTCTCATCCAGAATGCCCTAATGGTCTTCTACCTCATTTTATTATTTCCACTGATTCCTTCCAGTTCATTTTCCACATGACAACAATAATGATATTGAAACTCAGATTTGATGATGCTGCCTTTCAATGACTTTCCATTGCACTTTGAATAAATCAGACTTTCTTATAATGGCTTGTAAGACCCCATGTTATCAGGCCCGTATCTACCTCTCTCCTCACTTACAGTGAATTACTACAATGCTCTTTTTCCATCTCCTCAAACTTACCAGGCTCTTTCCTTCCAGAGACACTTTGCAAATGCTGTTGTTTCTTCCTAGCATGCCTTTCCCAGCTCTTCACATACATTGCTCATTCTTTCTTCCCTTCCCTAGCTGAGCTTAAATGCCGTCTTCTCAGAGAGAGATTCTCCCTGTTCACTCAATCTACATAGGCTTCCCATCTGTGCCTCACCAAGTTATTTTTCATTTCAGCACTTTTTTCTTTCTTCTAGCATTGAGCACCATTTGCATAAGTTTATTTGTTCAACCATTTTTTGGCATCCCATACTATACTGCTCCACGAAAGCGCAGTCAGTGTCTTCCTTGTTCTTCAGTGTATCCCCAGAACATAGCTCAGTGTCTGAGAGATAGGAGGTGTCTAATCCCAGTGATCTGTGCTCTAGATATCACCCTCCTGGTCTTTTGGGTGGTTGCTCCAATTGATAACTCCCTCTTCTATTTTCAGCCTCTGTTTATCTGCCCTGTAATTTGTATCTCTGCAAACTTTCCACATGGGCCCACCTCTATTGAGGGCTTTTTCGAAGTTCTTTATCAGAGTTTTTTGGCTCTCATATTAAGCCATATTATCCAAGCTAATCACTACAGTAATGAAGACAACAGTTTTGCTCCCTCATACCACTCCTCTGTTTTATATCTCATTTATTCAGAATCCAACTACTTCTTACACACCTGAATATGTCATTGGCCTTTCAAATTTAAAATATCCAAATAGAAATCCCTGACCCCTAATAACTCTTCCTCGTATATTTCCTATCTCCTTTTACCATTCAGCCAATCCCAAAAAGCAGAAAGTTTGAAATTATGCTGAATTGCTCCTTATCCATCAGCCAGTACATCCTCTTGATTATATCTCCTAAACAACTCCTCTCTGCACTACTTTATATTTCAATTCTCTCTCTTTTTGCCCTCTTTGTTTGCTTTCTGTTTCACCAACTCTTTATTCTTACCCTCTCAAAAACAAATCTATTAAGAAACTCTGTGCTCTAAATTTATTAATGAGTCCCCGCTGCTTTAAAAATACATCAAATCTTTCATCTTTACCATGGCATATGAGGTGTCGACAGAATAAGCAAACTTTGTAAAATACTTAAAGATACGTATTCTGAACCAAATGTGAGTGACCATGGCCCAAAGCACAGACTCAAGAGGTCCTAAGTATGTATGCTTAAAGTGGTTTGGTTACAACTTCGTTTTATATGTTTTAGGGAGATAGAAGCCATCAATCAATACATGTGAGGTAAACATTGGTTTGGTCCAGAAAGGCGGGATGTGGTGGGAGGTTTACAGGTCATAGGTAGATTCAAAGATTTTCTGATTGGTGATTGGTTGAAAGAGTTAAGTTACTACTAAAAACCTGGAATCAATAGAAAGGAGTGTCTGGGATAAGGTAAGGGCTTGGGATACCAGGTTCCTTTTTTCTTTTTTCTTTCTTTCTTTCTTTTTTTTTTTTTTTTTTTTTTTTTTGAGATGGAGTCTTGCTCTGTCACTTGAGCTGGAGTACAGTGGCTTGATCTCAGCCCACTGCAACCTCCACCTCCCAGATTCAAGCGATTCTCCCGCCTCAGCCTCCCGAGTAGCTGGGACTACAGGTGTGCCCCACCACCCCCAGCTAATGTTTTTGTTGCTGTTGTTGTTTTGTTGTTTTCGTATTTTGAGTAGAGACGGAGTTTTGCCATGTTGGCCAGGCTGGTCTCGAACTCCTGACCTCAGGTGATCCACCCATCTTGGCCTCCCAAAGTACTGGAATTACAGGCATGAGCCACCATGCCCGGCCTAAGATTCTTCTTATGTTGATGCAATCTAATAGGTGGCCATCCTTAGAGACAATAGATGGCAAATATTTCCTATTCAGACCTTTGAAAATTGCTAAACTCTCCAGAAAATACTCAGTAAGAGAAGGAGATTCTCTATAGAATGCAATTTTTCCCCACAAGAAACAGCTATGTTGAGCCATTCTAAAATACGTTAAAGAAGTATAATTTGAGGTTAAATACTTTGATTTCTTTTGCGGCCTGCTATCTGTCATGTGATGCTATGCTACAGTCAGGTTGGAATTTGGTATCCTATTGCTACAAAGATTCTGTTTTGTCAGTCTTAAAATATCAGGTTTAATCTTAATGTTGGTAACTTGTGCCTGAATTTGGGAGGAGAGTATAATGAGGCATGTCTGAACTCCCTTCCCACAGTGGCCTGAACTAGTTTTATTTGAAATCCCCTTGGCTGAGAGAGGGGGTCCATTCAGTCAGTTGGTTGCAGGGGACTCTTACAATTTTATTTTTGGTTTACAGAGGTCATCTTTTATTATTTAGCTCCTGTTCATTTTCTTACCTTATTTTTTTAAATCACTCTTCCTTAAGAACTTTTAATTGTGACCAAGTTGCACAACCAGAAGTTCTCTGAAACCTCTGTACATGGGGCCTACTGCCTGGTCAACCTTACGCAACTGGCCAACTAGAAGGTCATCCATGAAGATTAGTTCAAATGTTGCCTTTTTTATAAAACCATCTCAAAACTTTTGTCCTTCTCATCCCTGGAAATGCATTATTTGTATCTTACATATTTATGGCAATTATTGAGCTCTGCCTTTACTAGAACGTGGGTATTTAGAGGCCTGGAAAATTTATTATCTTCTCCGGCTTTGTTCACAGCACCTAACACAAAGTAAACACTCAATTTTCCAAACTATCAATAAATTAGTAAATTAATACCTTCTGCTCACATGTTGAGGATATATTTCAGTTAGACATTGGTACCTGAGGTGATGTTCCAGGGATACTGCAGGTAGCATGGCCTAAGGAAAAGATTGAGGCTTTGGAGCAAGACAGGCCTGAATTTCAATTAATACTAGCTCAGCAATGTACCAGTCCACAGCAGTCTGATCTTGTACAAGCTCTCTAAAGCTTTCCTTCCTAATCTATATACCAGAGATAATAGAACCTACTTTATAGACTTATCTAGTGATTGAATAATGAAGTATGTAAAGCATTTAACACAATGCCTAGCACATAGAAAAAATTCAATAAATATGGCAGTTATCATTACTGCAAACGCAGTTCTTGGAAAATATCCCTGTGATAGTTTCAGTTTGGTTAATATGTACATCCCCTTGCTCCCACAGTGGATGTATAACATGGATAATGAGTGAATTTATCAGGGCCATAAAGACAAGGTCACCAATGAACACTGTTTGCTTTTTCATTGATCAATTTTATATGCTTTGTGTCAATCTTACCTCTCTGAAGAAATCTTAGCATTTAAATATAGCTCCACTCTGAGTGGTCCATTAATTCTCATATTTTACCGTTTTGCAATCAAGCAGTGGCATGCAGTTGTGAATTATTGCCATTTTAAATGTTTTCTCTGGTTTCTCTGAGCATGTTTGTTTTTCAATTTTCACTGCAAGTCTCAGACCTTTGAGATCAGGGTCCATTTACTTGAACTCATTCATATCCCTCCTAGTATCCAGTAAAATGTCTGTACAAGCAGACATGAAATAGGCTTTTGTTAAAAAGAGAATTTAAAATATAATTTAATGCCTCAGTTCATAAGTAAACAGACTTGTTAGTATGTTTAGAAAGGTATCCCATCTGTGGTTATGACATATAAAATATGCCTGTGCATTTTATATGATTTTGATATATATAGAACATAAAATTATTTTCATGCTTAGGTCTTCTATATGCAAAGTCAAGTAAAGTGGACATTTTTAATCCACATTTAAACATATAGAGCATTTAATTTACAAGTAACAACTCAATCTAGTACCTAGTAATGAGCAGTTTTATTATTTAAGGGAACACAGACAGAAAATGAAAAAAAAATGCAGTAATTTATTGACATGTTTTTAAAAAACTCCAAGGTCATTCTTAAGAAATAAGGAAGAGAATAACCCCAAAACATAAACATACAAAGTGATTATGTAGATTGCCTAGCCCTCAACAAACCTTTAATTTAACTGGGTTACTGGAAACGAGGCATACCACACAAAACACTGACTAGACTATAGGGAACCTGGGGCAGACAGATTTTTTAGGTGTATCAGGGGATTTGATTGCACTAGTTACCTGCTCTCTGGAAAGTAGAACGGTGCCAGGGAATAATAAAGGGTAGATAGTAAGAGAGGGCATAGTAGGTAACCATGTTTCATTGAACTGTTTACCCAGTCGGCTCTCTTCTGCCCTAAAGGAAGACAAACAAACAAACAACCTGAGACTCATTAAGATTAATTTTATTCGGCATATTTTATTCTTTGGGTTTCATGGGAATTCTAAACACTTAAAAGGCTAAGTTTATTTCTTTAACTACATCTTAAGTATTTATGTTATCTGGTATGGTATAGATGCTATATTAAAAGAAAAATGTCCCAGTGGTTCACACATGGAGGCCCTGTTGTTGAATAGCAGAATGCAAGAAAGAAGGCTTTTATTTCTAAACTTAATATTGTGGTTTGTTTACAGCACATCTGTCAAAAAGTTCATCTGTAGAGTATGTTCAGCTGTGTCCATTCTTCCAGGCCATTATTTTCAACTACTAAACAAGATAGTCCCTCATCAAATTAAGGAACTCATAGTTTGTACTCAGCCTTCCTAATACTTTTCAAGCCTGTTCTCCGATCATGTGAGCATCTTTTATCAGGCATCAGTCACTGAAACATTTTAGAAGAGGGCTTTCCAGGTCTCCAGAGAATCATGCCTGATCTATTCCACCTATGAAAGGGCTGACCCTGTTTCTAACATTACTGTTTCTTGCTACACAGCAGAACTTCAGTGCTGCTCAATCAAGTCATGTAGCCACACGGGAAGGAGTATCTGTCCGAGGCTTCAGAACTGAGGACTTCATTGACCATATACTTTTCACAGAAATAAAATTTCAAAAGGCTTTCCCTAGACTAGAGGGCAACAATGAACACAAAATAAGTTTTTCCCTTTTTACAACATTTTTTAATCTTATCTATTTTCCAATTAGATATGCTGTTGGATTTATAAATTCCTAACATGCTATTCAAATGCAAATTCTGTTGGCATTTATGAGTTTTATATATTAAAGTAATGTAATATTTGGATTGAATATGTTACTGGGTATGATAACAAAAGTACTTATTTTAGAGGAATATTTCTGGAATTGCTAGATTTGCTACCTGAAAACACTGCATTTACATTGATTATAGAAGGGGATTTGGGGGCCCATAAATGTGATCTATTTGCATTTCTTAGTCTTTTATGAAAACACTAACTTTAGCCTCTTTCCAAAAGAAGAAGAGTTAATGAATATTTAGTTGTGTTCACCTTTTCATAAAAGTTTCCTATTTGGAATGTTTTTGTAAGCTAAAATTGTCAATTTTGTTAGCTAAAATTTTGGTATAAATACAGTTAACCTGTATTTCAACTTTCACCAAGGGTTAATAAAGATGTTGCTAAAATTTTGTTCTGTCTAAAGAACTTAAAACTATGCAACAGCCTTTTTGACATCTCAGCAGAGATGTGTATCATAAACAGATATGTAAAAAACTTCCTGAGCCTAAAATAAGGCAATTTATATGTAAATCGGCAATAAAGCAGAACTACTGCAAATGCATAAAACATCCCATTATTGACATTTTCTGTTCTGAAATAGTTAAAATGCTTGATAATTTTCCCTTTATCTCCTCAAATATTTGCTTACCTGCCTTTTATTTCCAGGTCCTGGTTACATTAAGCCATCTACAGAATAGATTAATATCTCTTAGCTAGCTACTTTAGCATTTGATTATTTAGTCAGGTAATTCTCTTATAGAAATATTGCAATACCAAAGCTTGCTGTACAGCAAGATATTAACTGAAAGCAGAATATCATACATGCTGAAATTTCAGATTAAACTAGAATGCATTATTGATTGTGTGGTAATTTAGTTTCCTGAAAATAAGTGCCATTGGGTTATTCTTTAATATGAATGATAATGCAATATCTCCATGGACGGGAAATGAGGTTCTTCAGTGCTGATGATGTGCAGTGTTACTTTGTCAAACGTTTTCAAATTGCTTCCTTTTGTGTGAGTGGATGAGGGAGGTATAGTGGGGTCTTTTCATTAGTTTACAATTGGAGATTTATTAGAATAGAACTCAACCGTAAATTTGCCCGGAGTATTGCTTTATTAGAGTGGAGCGAGTCTTTATTGGGATGCCTTAGAACTCCATAAAATGCTGAGTTTTCTAGGTACAATGAATTGCAGCAATATCACTAGTATGCTGGTACTTTAATAAATTGGTATTAAAATATCTTATCAAAATGTCCTGAGAGTTAGAGTAACCCTTTCTCTTCCAATCAGCATTTTTGTTCACCCAAACATATCTATTTCCAGAGTGGTTTTATAGGAAAGAAAGAAATTTCTGTTAGAAGGCTTGCCAGTTTAAAGGAATTTCTGTCATCAAATAATAAGGAAAGTAAGGACCAATGAGTAAAAATATTAAACATACTAATATTGATTAAACATTCCTTTAATATTTAATACGTGTATCTTCTGGATATATTATATTTAGCCTAGATGCAGTGCAGAGGGAACATTTTCACATAAGCTATTGCAGATATAGCCTACAAGCTCCTTGTGACAAATCTATAAGGACAAAAATTGTTTCAGCAATTTTAAGGTTAACAGGTGCATATCTTTGAACAGCTGCCATCCATAGTGAAATACAAGAGATTTAAAAGTAATAAAGAAGGCTTAAATTTTAATGCTGTTGGGACTTTAATAACTATTTTAACTATGGGCAGCTCAGTACTTAGAACCTGCTTATTTTAGATGTGTGTATAAAATTATTCGATGTGCCAAAAACACATTTATTGTATCTTTTTAAAAGTTGCTTGACTTCCTGAAAATAAAAAAGGGTAAAGTAAATGAACTCCTTCATACATATGCTTTGTTTTATCATTTAAGATATGTTGATAATATGATATTGGTTTTCAGGTCTGCATTGTCCAGAAATGGAGATGACACCAGAAAACATTCAGCCTGCATTCTAAATAAATGATATCACAAATGATAAAACATTGGCAAGATTTCATGCATAAAGATCAGAACACTTAAATAACATTATCATATCAATTACTCTATAATCACTCAAATGGTCAGTTTTCACTGTGCTTCTGTTTCTACAATTGCTAAAGTGTTATTGTCAGGGAAGGACAACAGAGGAACTGAGGAACTCAGGGAAACATTTAAATTTAGAAGCTTAGAAATTATAGAATGTTTCCAGAAATTTTGCATTTTGACTGTCACTGAGGAGGATTCACCAAGCACATTTTAGCATTTTCTATTTTTCTGTCTAACTTTATATTTGTAAAGTGACCCATCTTTTAACTGAAACAACATTTCTGTTCATCTTGGTATCTTAAAAGGCTGGTGGTGAAGGACTCGAGCTTTGGAATAATTTAGACTCATGGCTTAGAATCAAATCTCCACCACTTATTAGCTGGCCACTCCAGGAGAGGTTATTTAAACTTCATTTCCTCATTGCTTAAATGGGATGCTAAAAGAGAATGCCTCTTGGAGTATTGTCAAGATTGAATGAGGTAATGAATATAAAATATTTAGTAAAGGGCTTGACACTTGGTAGGTGCTTGATAAACATTATCTAATATTGCTATTATTATCACCACCAATAGTTTTCCATGATTAGATGTCAGTTATACCTGATTAGATATTTTTATTCCCTAACCCATTCTCTTGGATATATAGATAATAAAGTTCATATAGTGACTCAAATAATAGATGTTTGCCTCATACAGGTTTGAGTTTAACAACTAAGCTTTGCTTCTGAATACAGAATTTTGTTTACACCTGGGTATCAATCATAGTACTTTTAATTTTCATAAGCTAAATTATTTTATAAGATATTGTGCATTCTGGGAAAATTAAATAGAAATCAGACAGGAAAATAAGGTAGATACTGATAAATGCATTCTACGTAATTTTTGCCTCCCTTCCCTCCCTCTCCACTCCTCTCCCACACCTTCTCAGGTATAAAAGAGGAATGATACGTATCATATCTAATGTGGATATAAACACAATAGATACAACAGGAGTAATAGTGAACAGAGAATTTCATTCATCACGGTGGCACTTCATTGTACAATTATTGACTAATTTTGTCTTATCAGTTTTCTCTTGTAATGACGTTATTATATTAGTGCTTAGTTATTACTATTAGTTTTAACTGACCTAATAAGCTTTCAGGTTTATCGGGGCATAAATTAATTCCCACATTTCTCCAGTACCCAACACATAACCAGTGAAGGTCTGTGAGTTGTAGTCATTGACTTTTGAGATACAGTATGATCAGTTTCTGAGAATCCACATCCAAAAATAGATGACCAAATGGGGAAAACTTAATTCTTATTAATTTCAATAAGAAATGATAGGCGTGCTTTAACTTTTACCTATTTAGTTACAAGAATCGGTTAGATAATTGTACTACAAAAGAGAAGATCTTCAGCTACTGGAACAATGAAATGTCTCCAATTTATGATTCAGAACAGGGATAAACACCCCGTTTCCAACAATCTTTCAAATTACTGAACAATTTCTAAGTGTTCACAGAGTAAGGAATCACCTAAGTCTTCTTTAAATATTCGCTTGCTTGAGGGGCGCGTTAGCTCACTCCTCTAATCCTAGCACTTTGGGAGGCCGAGGCGGGCAGATCATGAGGTCAGGCATTCGAAACCAGCCTGGCCAACATGGTGAAACCCCGTCTCTACTGAAAACACAAAAAATTAGCCGGGCGTGGTGGCAGGCACCTGTAGTCCCAGCTATTCGGGAAGATGAGGCAGGAGAATGTCGTGAACCCGGGAGGCAGAGCTTGCAGTGAGCGGAGATCGTGCCACTGCACTCCAGCCTGGGCGACAGAGCGAGACTCCGTCTCCAAAAAAAAAAAAAAAAAAATTAGGTTGCTTACACTTGCTTACACTTTGTCCAATTATTGACTCATTTTACTTGGTAAAATCGTTTCAAATGCTATGAGAAATAATTGATTTCTTGACAATTTCCTTTTATCAGCAGATATTTTGAATAGATGCCTACAAAGCTATGTTTGACAAAGAGAGGCAAAAGCCAAAGAAAATAGGTGATCAAAAAGCAATTATGAAAAACATAGTCACATCAGTCAAATCTTCACTAGACAATCTATGCTATAGATTATTCTTGATATTAGTAGAATTGGTTGCTGGTTAATTTCCTGGGATAAAAAAATTTATAATACTATTTGCAATAGTTCTAAATTAGCAAAAAAGTCAGACATCAATGGGAGCAGAATGTCTGAGTACAGTAGTTTATTCCACAACTATTTAATGAGTACCTCATATGCACCAGGTACCGTAGAGAGTCAGGGGCGTGGTATATATGTCCCTGAAACTGCAAGACATGATGTGAATGGCCAAGAGTCAGCTGGAGGAGCAAAGGGGCCAATCCTGAAGGACTTTAATGCCAGCTACGTTTTTCAGATTTTTCCCTAACAGCAACGGCGAGCCATGAAATACTTTTAAAATAAATAAATAAACATCACTGTAGTTGCTGTGTGAAGAAAAAACTAAAGAGAAAATAAGACTAGATCCACAGAGACTAGCTAGAAGAACATCACTGAGGCTGATTTCAGGGGGAATTAGAGGGAGATCTCAATCCTTCACTAAGCCATAGTCTGGAGTTCCAGCTACCCTACGACTGCAACGACCTTCCGCTTTGCATTTTCAATCTGCTAGCAGTCTCCCCATGGTGACCTCTGTTTACTTGCTCCTGGAATTCTTTTCAGCTGTCTCCAAGATAATACATAAAATCTATGTCTTTCGGCGTATTTGTTTGCTACTGGACACTAGGAAGAGACACAAGTACTAATATGTCTAGTAGTGTGCAAGAGTAAGGTGTCACAAAATCCCAAGAGCTCACCACAGAATATGAGAATGTGGTGGCTCACGCCTGTAATCCCAGCACTTTGGGAGGCCAAGGAGGGCGGACCACGAGGTCAGGAGATCGAGACCATCCTGGCTAACTCAGTGAAACCCCGTCTCTACTAAAAATACAAAAAATTAGCCGGGCATGGTGGCGGGCACTATAGTCCCAGCTACTCGGGAGGCTGAGGCAGGAGAATGGCGTGAACCCGGGAGGCGGAGCTTGCAGTGAGCCGAGATCGCGCCACTGCACTCCAGCCTGGGCGATAGAGCGAGACTCCTTCTCAAAAATAAAATAAAATAAAACAAAATAAAATAAAATAAAGAATATGAGAATGTGTTTCCATATTGGGAAGAAATATACCAAATTGATTCTATCAGCTGGAAGAGTCTGAATAAAACAAGCATCAGAATGTTTTAGTTGGCAGGAAAAAGAAAGGAAAGTGAATAAAGAAGAAAGTAAACTAGAATTTACTGAGCACCTACTAGTTGACAGAAGCTGTGCTAAGTGCTTTCTATTATTATTTAATGTAATCCACAGTGAGGTAAATGTCATATTTCTATAAAATAGAAAACTAGAATTCAGTTAAATGATTAACTTGTTTAATGACACATATTTGATAAGTGAAGAAACAAGAATTTAAAAGATCTATCTGACTGCAAATCCTGGGCTCATTCAGTTACATATTTCTGCCTAGTGTTACCAGTACTTGCAGTGACAGAGTTCAACCATATGTGTAGTGGGGGATTTGGAAGATTCCAAAAGTCAGTAAATGGATACCATTGAGACAGACTGACCTGCTGCTTGCTGCCTTCATCACCAGCCTCTCCCTTTTGGCACCTTCTGTGGGTATCATACCCACCAGTCCCCATCTGGGATCTCAGCACCTCCCTGTCATCACAGCTATCACATCACCTCCCAGAGTGACACATACCTGCTCCATGCCCATCTCTTCAGACTCACTGAGTAGACCTGAGCTTGAATCCAGGCTCATTAGCAAACTAACTGAATGAGAGTGGCTAAATTACTTAAACACTGTGAGCTTTACTTTTCTCATCTGTAAAGTGGAGATAATTATTCCAATTTCATACCTTTTGGAAATCTGTATGTGAAATCATCCAGTACTCTGACTGCCATACAGAAGGCATGCAAACCAGGTTTGAATGTGAAAATGCCCTCTAAGATATGGCTAAATTTAATAAACTAGTTCATGTTAATACATGAAGAAAAAAATATGTTACTAAACAAGACTCATGTTTTTCCAACTCTCAAGTAACATTTATGTTTTTCATGTTATATATCTCTATCTAGATAGAAAGCAGCCATTTTAAGCCAGAGATCATACTTGTAATTTATGTTTATTCTTACAGTGCCTGATACTTCATTGAGAAAACAATGATTTTAATTTCTATTGATAAACTACTTTTGGAGAGTCCTTCTTGTCTGAAGTCATTATGTGTGTTCTGAGCAGATTCGAATGGGGAATAGAATTTGTTAAACTTTGAGGAAAGATAGTGGACTAGCGATATCCTGAAGCCTATCTGAGACCATGTCCCCAATATGAAGCTGAAAAGGAACAATGAGATGTCTGGCAAAGCCCTGGACCCTAGAGAAGGTTTTTGTGATGCCTCTTATGGTATCAGTCACAGTTGCTGAAACAGAGGTTAATTGCAGTGTTCTGGGCAAACCCAGGCATTGATATAGTTACGTGGGCTTCACACACTCTTTCAGCGTTAGGAGGGGTCATTTTAGATGGTTTCCCTTTGGAAACCAACACAGGAAATCCATTCTAGGGGAAGTTACTCTTTAAAAGGCCATATTTCAAATCACCTTCAGAATTGTAACAGCCTTTGTTAGAATGAGACACTGTATTTGGTTTTTCATGAACTGATAAAGCTTGAAATTTTTTTCCTCTATGGTTTAATAAATGAACTTCAAAAATGCAGTTTGATGAGTAACCATGAGGCTGAACCATTACAGAAAGATTAGGCAGAAGCACTCATGGTTGCGCTTTTTCCAATTCAAAAAACAAGGCAAGTTGTCCTACATTTACAGCAACTATATTTACTGAACAAAGATTGAAACCTACTGCTAGACAAAGCTTAATTGCTCTATGGATGTATGGACCTTCTAAATAGCCTAAGTTGAGTTTATGTAAGTGACTAGCATAAATGGCAGGGAACAAAAAGTCCCCATCATTTGACTTAAGAGCAATTAGAATAGCAAGCAAACAAAAATTGAATATTTTTTGAGAAGATTATATAGTCAATAGTCTTGAAATTCATTTACAAATGTTAGTTAACAATGTAAAACGGATTTAATTTTTTTAATTCTGAATAATTTAATTTTTAAATGCTGAATTACTGGTAAAGAGATGTTTTTAACTAGATCTGAGGTAAATGATCTGAGTGCAATACAAAACAGAGCAAATAGTGTAATTAACAGTGTAAAACCACAAGTAGGGTTGAGAGGACAGAAATGTAGAATTTAAGAGTACAGAAAGCTTTGTGCTGTCTCCTACCGTACGTAAGTATTCCCTTGGTCAAACAGAGATCTATACTTATACAGAGAACCTTTTTCTGAAAAAAAAAAATAAGCCCCTATTTGAACTTATCATGAAACTACATTTTCTTTTTTTTTTTTTTTATTATACTTTAAGTTTTAGGGTACATGTGCACATTGTGCAGGTTAGTTACCTATGTATACATGTGCCATGCTGGTGCGCTGCACCCACTAACTCGTCATCTAGCATTAGGTATATCTCCCAGTGCTATCCCTCCCCCCTCCCCCCACCCCACCACAGTCCCCAGAGTGTGATATTCCCCTTCCCGTGTCCATGTGATCTCATTGTTCAATTCCCACCTATGAGTGAGAATATGCGGTGTTTGGTTTTTTGTTCTTGCGATAGTTTACTGAGAATGAGGATTTCCAATTTCATCCATGTCCCTACAAAGCACATGAACTCATCATTTTTTATGGCTGCATAGTATTCCATGGTGTATATGTGCCACATTTTCTTAATCCAGTCTATCATTGTTGGACATTTGGGTTGGTTCCAAGTCTTTGCTATTGTGAATAATGCCGCAATAAACATACGTGTGCATGTGTCTTTATAGCAGCATGATTTATAGTCCTTTGGGTATATACCCAGTAATGGGATGGCTGGGTCAAATGGGATTTCTAGTTCTAGATCCCTGAGGAATCGCCACACTGACTTCCACAATGGTTGAACTAGTTTACAGTCCCACCAACAGTGTAAAAGTGTTCCTATTTCTCCACATCCTCTCCATCACCTGTTGTTTCCTGACTTTTTAATGATTGCCATTCTAACTGGTGTGAGATGATATCTCATAGTGGTTTTGATTTGCATTTCTCTGATGGCCAGTGATGATGAGCATTTTTTCACGTGTTTTTTGGCTGCATAAATGTCTTCTTTTGAGAAGTGTCTGTTCATGTCCTTTGCCCACTTTTTGATGGGGTTGTTTGTTTTTTTCTTGTAAATTTGTTTGAGTTCATTGTAGATTCTGGATATTAGCCCTTTGTCAGATGAGTAGGTTGCGAAAATTTTCTCCCATGTTGTCGGTTGCCTGTTCACTCTGATGGTAGTTTCTTTTGCTGTGCAGAAGCTCTTTAGTTTAATTAGATCCCATTTGTCAATTTTGGCTTTTGTTGCCATTGCTTTTGGTGTTTTGGACATGAAGTCCTTGCCCATGCCTATGTCCTGAATGGTAATGCCTAGGTTTTCTTCTAGGGTTTTTATGGTTTTAGGTCTAATGTTTAAATCTTTAATCCATCTTGAATTGATTTTTGTATAAGGTGTAAGGAAGGGATCCAGTTTCAGCTTTCTACATATGGCTAGCCAGTTTTCCCAGCACCATTTATTAAATAGGGAATCCTTTCCCCATTGCTTGTTTTTCTCAGGTTTGTCAAAGATCAGATAGTTGTTGGTATGCGGCGTTATTTCTGAGGGCTCTGTTCTGTTCCATTGATCTATATCTCTGTTTTGGTACCAGTACCATGCTGTTTTGGTTACTGTAGCCTTGTAGTATAGTTTGAAGTCACGTAGCATGATGCCTCCAGCTTTGTTCTTTTGGCTTAGGATTGACTTGGCGATGCGGGCTCTTTTTTGGTTCCATATGAACTTTAAAGTAGTTTTTTCCAATTCTGTGAAGAAAGTCATTGGTAAATTATAACAAACTATCTCTCAGACCACAGTGCAATCAAACTAGAACTCAGGATTAAGAATCTCACTCAAAGCCACTCAACTACATGGAAACTGAACAACCTGCTCCTGAATGACTACTGGGTACCTAACGAAATGAAGGCAGAAATAAAGATGTTCTTTGAAACCAATGAGAACAAAGACACAACATACCAGAATCTCTGGGATGCATTCAAAGCAGTGTGTAGAGGGAAATTTATAGCACTAAATGCCCACAAGAGAAAGCAGGAAAGATCCAAAATTGACACCCTAACATCACAATTAAAAGAACTAGAAAAGCAAGAGCAAACACATTCAAAAGCTAACAGAAGGCAAGAAATAACTAAAATCAGAGCAGAATTGAAGGAAATAGAGACACAAAAAACCCTTCAAAAAATCAATGAATCCAGGAGCTGGTTTTTTGAAAGGATCAACAAAATTGATAGACCGCTAGCAAGACTAATAAAGAAAAAAGAGAGAAGAATCAAATAGACACAATAAAAAATGATAAAGGGGATATCACCACCGATCCCACAGAAATACAAACTACCATCAGAGAATACTATAAACACCTCTATGCAAATAAACTAGAAAATCTGGAAGAAATGGATACATTCCTCGACACATACACTCTCCCAAGACTAAACCAGGAAGAAGTTGAATCTCTGAATAGACCAATAACAGGAGCTGAAATTGTGGCAATAATCAACAGTTTACCAACCAAAAAGAGTCCAGGACCAGATGGATTCACAGCCGAATTCTACCAGAGGTACAAGGAGGAACTGGTACCATTCCTTCTGAAACTATTCCAATCAATAGAAAAAGAGGGAATCCTCCCTAACTCATTTTATGAGGCCAGCATCATCCTGATACCAAAGCCGGGCAGAGACACAACCAAAAAAGAGAATTTTAGACCAATATCCTTGATGAACACTGATGCAAAAATCCTCAATAAAATACTGGCAAACCGAATCCAGCAGCACATCAAAAAGCTTATCCACCATGATCAAGTGGGCTTCATCCCTGGGATGCAAGGCTGGTTCAATATACGCAAATCAATAAATGTAATCCAGCATATAAACAGAGCCAAAGACAAAAACCACCTGATTATCTCAATAGATGCAGAAAAAGCCTTTGACAAAATTCAACAACCCTTCATGCTAAAAACTCTCAATAAATTAGGTATTGATGGGACGTATTTCAAAATAATAAGAGCTATCTATGACAAACCCACAGCCAATATCATACTGAATGGGCAAAAACTGGAAGCATTCCCTTTGAAAACTGGCACAAGACAGGGATGCCCTCTCTCACCACTCCTATTCAACAGAGTGTTGGAAGTTCTGGCCAGGGCAATCAGGCAGGAGAAGGAAATAAAGGGTATTCAATTAGGAAAAGAGGAAGTCAAATTGTCCCTGTTTGCAGACGACATGATTGTTTATCTAGAAAACCCCATCGTCTCAGCCCAAAATCTCCTTAAGCTGATAAGCAACTTCAGCAAAGTCTCAGGATACAAAATCAATGTACAAAAATCACAAGCATTCTTATACACCAACAACAGACAAACAGAGAGCCAAATCATGAGTGAACTCCCATTCACAATTGCTTCAAAGAGAATAAAATACCTAGGAATCCAACTTACAAGGGATGTGAAGGACCTCTTGAAGGAGAACTACAAACCACTGCTCAAGGAAATAAAAGAGGATACAAACAAATGGAAGAACATTCCATGCTCATGGGTAGGAAGAATCAATATCGTGAAAATGGCCATACTGCCCAAGGTCATTTACAGATTCAATGCCATCCCCATCAAGAAACTACATTTTCTACATAGGAAATGTTGAGTCTAATTTATATATTTATTTATAACTATTCACTTATAGTTTTTATTGTCATCAGACCACAAACTTTCCAAACTCAACTTGTATGCTGATTAAAAGTAACAGCAGTGTGTTTATTAAAGTCAGCAAATCTGTGATTCAAAAAGACACCTTACTAAAGGGTCAGGATTTTATATTAAGAAAGAATGTCTGAGAGCATGGAAGAAATGCTACTCTTTGAGCAAAAATATTTTATTGCTGTGAAAATCAGACATTAATAATTCATTTTTCATAGAATCTGCACTTCTGCCTCTTGGAAAGGCATAATACTGTGAAAGCCCTACTAGGGTGAGAAGGAACATAATGTGCCTCCCTGAGGCACACTGTAAAGTTAACTGACCCTTCTACACCAGGGTGCAGAAAGCTATCCTTGAAACACGGTGCAAAATTCCGTCCTATTTAAAAGCACTCTGAATGAATGTTGTCTGTAACCTTCAACTTTACAAGAGCCCCTACTGAATTAATAAAATGAAACAAACAAGAAGAATGGTTTGAAGGGTGCATTTCAGGGACTGTGTAAAAGGAAAAGGGAAAGGCTTTCAGACTACTCTACCTGTTGGATCCAATTATCTAACCTTCAAACACATAAATTAATTACTATGATTGGCACCAGAGTCCAAAGATAAACTAGACCTACTCACTGGCCTTGGAAAGCTCACTGTCTGGTAAAGCGGGCAGTCATATAAGAGACCATTATAAGCTGATGGTTGCAGGACAGAGTATTATTGCACAGGGTACTATTTGAACAAATAAGACAGGAAGTTATCCCAGGAAAAGATAACATCTGAGCTGAGTCTTAGGCAACGACTAGAAATTCATCAGGCAATGTTGGTGTGTTCTAGAAAAAGAGATTGACGTTCAGAAAGATGATCCATGCAATGACTGTTCAAGCAAAATCACTGAAAGAAAAAGCAGTGTGGTGTATTGGGACATAGTAAAAATGCTTTGAGAACATGAAATGTCAGGTAGGAGGTAAACGGAGATGTAAGCAAGGGCCAGATATTGGAGAATTTAATATGTCATGTGAAGAAGCATGGATTTCATTATGTAAGGAATGGGAAGCCACTCAAGATGAGCAGGTAAATGATGTAGTTCTAGTGAAGTAGAGACAAAAACATAAGATACTATTTTTGTCAAGGTATGTCATTAATATATCAAAGTAACAGTTTATATTTTAGTAATCTTCAGTTTCTCTTGTCTACAATATTTAAGTTACAGACCAATATTCATGGAATAAATGTTGCCTAACACTTATTCTGTGCACGAAAATCTGTGTAGGAAAACAAATGAAACTAAGAAAAGTTTAAGACAATATAATTATTTATGTAATTATTTTTAATTGTACTAAGATTGTAAATGTTATTAGAGTCCTATGAAAGGAGATGAGATGTCGGGGCAATTCAAAAAATTTTTTAAAGTGGGATATTTTCCATTTTTTATTTGCACAAATTTATGGGGAACATGTACGATTTTGTTATATGCATAGATTGTGTAGTGATCAAATCAGGGGTAACGTGGAACTTAAGCTCTTACACATATATTAAAATATAAATCTCTTCATTTTGTTTCTGTGTTAGAGAATGTGGCATCCACCAAATATTTTATTTGCTCCCCTACATTTCTCAGTTTCTTTGCCATTAGAGAGAACCATGTGACGACTGCCAAGGAAAACAGAGTAGCATTGATGCATGTCACTTCCTGGTTCAAGCAGTTCAACACTTATGTATGATTCCCCAGCTCTTTTCTTGCCCTGCCATGGTGTCTGGCATTGTTTCATGAGGTTAAGTCTCCATCAGCCTGGATCCCTGAGTGACCACCTGGAGCAGAGCCACTCGCCCCATCTGCAAACCAATGTTCATGCAGCATAAGTAAAAATATTTTTTAATAATTATTTATTTATTTATTTTGAGATGGAGTCTTACTTTGTTACCTAGGCTGGAGTGCAGTGGTGCTATCTTTGCCCACTGCAACCTCCATCTTTTGACTTCAATTGATTCTTCTGCCTCAGCCTCCTGAGTAGCTGGGATTACAGGCGCCCACCACCATGCCTGGCTAATTTTTATATTTTTCATAGAGATGAGGTTTCACCATGTTGGACAGGCTGGTCTCAAACTCCTGACCTCAAGTGATCCACCAGCCTTGGCCTCCCAAATTGCTGGGATTACAGGTGTGAGCCACTGTGCCCAGACTGGCATAAGTCAAAATAAACCTAGACTATCCAAATGAATACACCATTCCTTATTATTCCTTGTCTACTGTCTCATACCTCTCCTAGTTTAGACCTCTATGGGAGCCTCATGTTTTTCTCTCTTCTACATTACAAACTCTATGTGTGTAACACTACTTTCAGAAAATAAAAATATAATTGCTAAAATAAAAACAAAATAAGGCAAACCCAAAAATTTCATAATTAAATTCAACTTTGAAAGAATAGTGAAGAAAATATACCAAAATTCTAGCAGTATTTCTATCTTTGCAGGGCTCGGACAATTGTTTTGTCTTACTTTAATATATTTTCCAGTTTTTCTAAAATAAGCCTGAATTGTTTTTATAATAAAAAAAACCCTTTTAAAATTAAATTTAAAAAAATGATTTGGAAGATTGCCAGAAATTGGTTCCCGAGAACACCAAACAGAAATGAAATAGTAAAGAGAGTAATCTGATGTTTTTTAGACTCTAAACATATATGTGAGTTCTTATTTTCAAGGCTGTCTCAATACCTGCAATTCTTTTTTCCTCTGTTCTTTGGAGAACATGATCAAATTCAATATTATAATATCGAGTTATAATTATTTTATAGTTTAAAATAAAATATTTAGTCTATTTCTTAGTACTTATATATTATGTTGCTGAAATTATGTTTGAATGTGCTGAAAAGTAAAACATTAGTCTTTTTTATTTGCTTTTATTTGCTTCAGTTTCCTTTTCTCCAATAAATTTTCTATATGCATCATTCAAAAACATCCCCATAGAACATTACATATTCTATTGGAAATCTTTTATCTAAAATATCTAACTTATTTTCTGCTCTCTGGAAGCTAATATTAAAAGAAAAATATCTAAACATCTATTATTTTCACCGACAGTTTTCATTCAAACATATTTGTTGAATTTTTTTGTTCAAGTGCTTTTTTTCTAAATATTGTAAATATAAGGGAAATATTATGGAAAAACTACATTAGCACACAAAGTTATGATGGAAGCTTGATCCCCTTGCCTGTTAAGGTATTATAATTAAATCTTTTCCAATCTAATCTACTCAAACTTAAATTTTCAGATTTCAGTTTGAATTAATGTGTTAATAAAACTGAAGAAAATTTGTGTTGAAGAAAAATGTTGTATTAGTTTTAAGATCTCAAGGACCTAAGAAAGGTTGATTAAAGTAATAGCATCCTGACTGAAATTTCCAAGGATATTTACAGGCAACAAGGTGAACATAACATTTTAAACATAACTTTGATATAGATTCTTTCTATTCTTCAATTTCATAAGTTACCTTAAACTTCAAATGTTTTAAGACTGACTCTTAAAGCTAAGGAGGGTAGGAATCAGGCTGTAATTTGTAAGTAACATGTTGCCCATTTTTCTGATTTGCTCTTCCTCACAGGATTCACTTGTTCCCCAATAGCATTAAAGTAGAACTCGTGATGTTTGTGTTTACTAAAGCAGAGTATGGGTTTCAAGTAAAGTTGTGAAATCCTGTTTTATATTCTCAAATAAAATTCTACCTAATAATAAGCCAATAAGGTAGGGTGGCATCATAGTTCCAGGTACCTCAACAAGAAATCTGAGAGTCCGAGAAGTGCAAGAAAACCTTACAAGGTGATGGACAACCTAGACCAGCCCCACCCTTAAGGAAAATATCTTAATATTAAGATACAAAGATCACACACCAAGGCTACCATCATTGCCTGATAATTATTGATTATCTCATTTATGTTTTATATTTGTCACCCAAAAATATTTATGCTAGAATAAAAAGATTTCAAAGGCTATTACTCTAGTTTAAATGATGTAGTGATTTAAATGTGCAGCCCCACTGCATCTCTTGTCAAAACCCTCTATTACACGATCACTCAACCTTTTATCAAATATCTGTTGTGCATTAGACATGGTGTTGTAAACAGTAAGTAGGAGAGGAGTAAATGATGGAGAATGCGGCTACAAAATCAATCTTAAAACCTCTATATCATCTCTTCAATCATATATTCCTATACTTCTAGTTCTCTCACTCCTCTACAGACCATGAGCTTAGGAATTAGACTACTTGATTTAAACCTTCACTCCTCTATTCATTATCTATGTGGCTTTGGCAAGTTACTTGACCTCTCTGATCCTCCCTTGTAAAATTGCAGTGGCAATATTATGTCCCTCATATACTGATGTGAGGATTAAAAGTGAGAATGCAAATTAAGAGCTCAAAGCAGTGCTTGGCACATATAAGCACTCAATAAATGTTTGCTATTATTGTCATTATTATTGGTATAAGGACTATTATTACTATGTTTAATGTCATCAAGACAGACACTTCTTTGTTTCCATTAGCCACTTCATGACATCCTTCATTTAACTATCATTTATTTTGTGCCTATCACAAGCTGGTTTCTTTGCTAAAGTTTGGAGTCATAAAGATCAGTAAGAAACACTGAATCTAAAGAGCTGCCCTTCATATACTGTACCCCTTTAACCATTTCACCCAATTTCTTGGGAGGAGTCATCATTTCATCAGTTCCCTGTTCTTCTATTATTCTGTCTCTGCAAAGTCAGTTGTGAATAAGTTTTACCATCCACTTTAAGCCCTTGCGTAGACAAGTAATACATAATTATGGTTTCCAGCTGCCTATAAGCTATCAGCATTTATTTCAAAGATTTCCTACTCAACTCAAGGTATTTACCACACTCCTGCTACTCTCACCCTCAGCAAGTGTTCTTGCCTGTTTCATGGAAAAAAGATAATGAAGAAGATAAAATAGAAACTCTGCCCATCCTTTACAAACAAAGAGCCAATTAACTGTGTCTGCACTTATCTCCCTCTCCCTCCTGCTGTCCCAGAAAGAGAATACCTCCCCATCAAAAGCAATACTGTCACCTGAGCTTCAGAGGTCAACTTTTACCACCTCCTCCAAGACCTCCAGGAACCCATGGACTTTGCTTCATAGTGTGTTACTTTTTTCCTTTTTCCCTTCTCATCTAGCTCTTTAAATTTTCTCAGGTCATTGTGCTCCATTTCCTTTTTCTCCTCTAAGATTCATTCATTCTCCCAAATGCTGCCCTAACTTGCTTCTTCCATTTACACCCAAGATACTCAAAGGAAATTTAATTTTGCTTTACCTTTTATAGTCATACAACCCACTGCATTCTGGTTTTATATGATACCAGTTTCCCTGAAACTATTCTAATTGCCAAATTCAATGGAAGTTTGTCAGTTTTTATCATTTGGTACTGTTGGTCGTTCTTTGATTCTCTTATCCCCTGCTTGTAAAACGTTGCTCATTGCTGACTTTCATCCTGTCTTATTCACAACTATATGTCATTTGCTTTTCTGCTCCTTAAACCCATGCTTTCTAGGTTCTTCAGCCTTTTCTTTTTTGCATTCTGAACACTTTCTGAGGACATTGCTGACAAACTGGGTGCTTTCCACATTTGCTACTCCATTATCTGCCTTAAGGTAGGCACAACAAGACCACCACCCAGCACCCACTCCGATTATGATCCCACTTCTAGAGGTAAACTCTGGTCAGTTTTCAGTACTACAGGGCTGCTTTTACCATATCCTGGATAGCTCACTTTATTAAAGAAGAAATGTATAGCTGATTCTACTCCCCTTAAACATACACTCCAGTTGTAGGCTTCTGCTAAAAACTTGAAGGAAAACTAATCGCATAAAGAAAATAGAGGACCAAAAAAGGCATTTTCTTAAGTAAATATGCAACATAAGATTTGATCACACATAAGTATTCAGAGTTTAGTGATTCTAAGACTCCAGGCTGGGCGCGGTGGCTCATGCCTGTAATCCCAGCACTTTGGGAGGCTGAGGCGGGCAGATCACAAGGTCAGGAGTTCGAGACCAGCCTGGCCAACATGGTGAAACCCGGTCTCTACTAAACATACAAAAATTAGCTGGGCATGGTGGCGGGCACCTGTAATCCCAGCTACATGGGAGATAGAGGCAGGAGAATCTCTTGAACCTGGGAGGTGGAAGTTGCAGTGAGGGAGATTGCACCATTGCACTCCAGCCTGGGCAACCAGAGCAAAACTCCGTCTCAAAAAAAAGAAAAAAATACTCCAAATAAATGGATTTTTTTTCTATAAATGAAAATTGAATTATTAAATTATCATGCTGGTGTTAGGCATTTGTAGTGGAAAGGGAAAGGAAAAGAAACCATCTATTTTTCCCCTCAAGGCCATATTATATGTCAATGTTTCCTGCTTAATAGCTGCACCTGCTGGTAAGGACAAAGGAAGCACTATAACTTGATTTTGTAAATAACTTATTGCAATGGGCCAAGACTTTGTGCCATACCTAATGGGCATGTTGCCTCCTTCTCTTTTGATTGCTTTCCCTTGTATACCATTTAAAAAGAAAAGGCTTGTACCGTCGTGTGTACTAGCTTAAATCTGTTTTCATTACTGCTTGAAATTATTTCTGTTGTCATCTCAACCATTGTCAGCCCACTATTTGTTTTCAGAATTTACGGTGAGTTTGCGAAGTGAAGCTGTCAACCTGCTCAAATACACAGTTAACTTTATTATTTGCAGTGTTAAAGAAATGTAGTCATTCCTTTAGCAAAGTTTGTTGAAGAATAACAGGAGCACAGTTTAGAAATATACCAAAAACAAGGAATTAATTTCTGGTTAACCTAATTGTAGATAAGTTTTAAATACCATGTCTTCTCAGGAGAAAAATTGAAAGCAATTCTGTGATATTTGACATAAGAGGAGTTCAGCATAGAAAAATAGAAAAACAAAATATACTTAGGAAAATATAACATATAAAATGCATTCTTTTTTTTCTTAAATCACTAATAGAGTAGGGACCCAGAGCTTTGAGAATATATTTTGCATCCTTATGTTACATTAAGAGCTCACTTTGGAGACCTGAAGAATCATGTGGCTAACCAGGTGTATGAAGAAGTTTCCTTACCATTCTTAAACAACATACCATTTAATTTTGCATTAGTATTCTCAAGTGAATGCTGAATTCTTTTATCGCTATGCTCATATTTAAGACCATTATAATAATAGTTTTCTGTGATTTTATTTTTCTGATTCAAAAATTGAAAATGCTCTATCTAAACAAAGAAAAATGATTGTGAAAGCTAAGTTAACATCTCCTTTTTTTTCTTTTTAAGTGATCCCTTAAAGGAAGGAGTTGGGGGATTGATAGGATCCATGTACAGAAAGTTGGCTAGAGGTTGCCATCCATGTCACCATGATGTGGATAAAACAGTCATCATGCTCCTGCTGGCTGAAATACACGCCCAGTTACTCAGTATCTATTTAGTGAGGAATTAGTATGTATGCCTCACGCCACCATGCATGCTTTTAGGCATGTTATTCATGTAAATGGATATGTCAAGGAAAGAACAAATCTTAGGAACCATTGCTCTAAGACTCATTCTTTGCCTTTTGCTCACTTCCTAATAATTCATTTTCATCACCATAGCTCAATCTATAAGACATCATAATGATTTTCATGGGCCCTAGGCACTTTTGTCTTCCTGGGCCCCTTCTTTCATGAAACAAAATATTAAGTTATGTTTTACAGTTGCATTGGTATGAAGACGAATATATTAATATTATATAGCAAAACTTTTTTGACTTAAAGTTCATATTTTTCCTTTTAATTAAAAAGAAATTAACATGTGTTTATGGGCCAATAAAAGTATTGTGAGCCCTAGGCACTATGCTTACTATGCCTAAAGCATAAGTTGGACCTGGATCTCTATGGATTCAATGCTACTGAATCCCAAATCTATGGTTCTTACCTTGACCTCTTGCTTAAACCCCAAATTGAGAACTGCCATTAGAAACATACTACTTACTTATATTACCATTACTTTAGATTATGAAAACCAAATTCATAATTATCCCTAAACTAGCTCTACTTCCAACTTGTGTATTTCCATCAATGGTCTCATTTTTTCCCCATTCTTCCAAACATAGAAGCACAGGAGTAATCCTGACTCTCTGCTTTTTTCCTCATATTTTATGTTGAGAGTTCAATTTGAATGAACTATCTTTTCTTCCCTCTGCATATCTTCCCCACCTCCACCCTTTCCAACAGATTCAATATTTCCCATATGAACTGAGATCAATGTTTCCACAGAGTTTTCTAAACCCTCTCCTCTTACAGTTTTTCTGCATACTAATGCCAGATTAATTTTCCTAAGGTGTTTATCATGGGATCAGTTTTCTGTGCAAGAATTTCTAGTGTAAATAATATAAAAGCTAAATGTTTCTAATTTATGCCCTCTAATAACCTGACTTTATCAATTTAGTCCTCTCAACTCCCCACATGAATTCTTCAGTGGACTGTGGTACACTCCTCACCATCCCTCACAAAAGTTGCATTTAGCTCCACCTTTTTTCCTTAACTTGAGCTATTTCCTCCCCCTATTCATCATCAGAAATTTCTCCACAGTTCCAGATCCAGATTTAGTCCTATACTCTCCAGAATATCTTCTCTGATTACTTCAGGCAATATGATTCCATCCTTCTTTTATGCCAGCACATTTTCAATTTATACTATTACTACTGACATTAACCTCTTTTTATTTCATTCTGTGTTTCTGTAACAGAACAACACAAACTAGGTAATTTGCAATGAACAGAAATTTATTTGGATCACAATTCCGGAGGCTTGAAAGTCCAAGACTGAGGAACCACATCTGGTGAGGGCCCTCTTGCTGCACCATAACATGGCAGAAGGCATCACGTGGGCAAGAGAAACCAAGAGAGGGCAAGAGAAGGCCAGACTAGCTTTTATAACAAACTCACTCCCATGATAATAAACCCAAACTCATGATAACAACATTAATTCATTCATGAGGGCAGAGCTCTCATGACCTAAACACCTCCCATTAGGCCCTGGCTCTTAATACTATTGCAGTGGGGATTAAATTTCAAACACATGAACATAGGGGGACACATATAAACCACAGCATTGCACCCCTGGCCTCCAAAACTCATGTACTTCTCACAGTCAAAATGCATTCAGTACATTCAAATAGCCCCCAAACTCTTAACTCATTCCAGGATCAACTGTAAAGTCCAAAGTCTAGATTCTTATCTAAATCAGATGTAAGACTCAAGGCATAATTCCTCCTGAGGCAAATTTACCTGCAGCTATGAGTCCATGAAATTAAACAGGTTGTATATTTCCAAAAAACTATGGTGAGACATGCATAGAAAAGACATTTCTGTTCCAAAGAGAAGAAATGGGCAAGATGGGCTAACTGGTCCCCATAAGTCCAAAACCCAAAAGGGAAAGCAATTAATTTCTAAAGTTGGAGAATAATCACCTTTGACTCATGTCCCACATCCTGGGCACACTGGGGTGAGGGTCAGGCCCCAAAACTTCAGACAGCCCTGCCTGTGTGGCTATGCTGGTCTCAATCCACCCAGCAGCTCTCATGACTTGGAGCCTCATGCCTGCAGCTTTCCCAGGCTGAGGCTGCATGCTAGTGGCCCTACAGTTTTGGGGTACGGGGGGCTGCTTCACTTCTATGGCTCACTAGGCATTGCTCTAGTGGGGACTCTCTGTAGTAGCCCTGCTTATATGGCTCTGCTGGGCATTCCTCTAGTGGGGACTCTTTGTGGTGGTTCCATACTTGTGACAAGTCTCTGCCTGGGCCCCCAGGCTGTTCACAACATCTTTTGAAATCTAGTCGGAAGCCACCAAGCCATCATAGCTCTTGCATTCTACATCCCTGCAGAATTAGCACTACATGGACGCTACCAAGGTTTATGGCATGTATCTTCCAGATCAGCAAGTTGAGCGATAGCTGGGCCTGCTTGAGCCACAGCTGAGGTGGCCAAAGGGCACTGCTGCAGAATCAGAGAACAGAGTTACAAGGCACAGGGCAGTGAATACTGAGGTCCTAAGAGCATCTCTCTTGAAAACTTGCCCTCAAGGCCCTAGATTGCCTTAAAGATCTCTAAAATGCTTTTGGAGACATTCTCCCATTGTCTTCATGAATAGAACCTGGCTTCTTTCTATCCATATTAATCTCTTTAGCAAATGATCTCTTGGCCACACACTTTGTATTATCTCCCAGACGCGCTTTTTATTCTTTACATGGCCAGGCTGAGAATTTTCCACATATTTCCATTCTGCTTCCCTTTTAATTATACATTTTACTTTTAAATCATTTCTCTCTTCTCATTTTCCTGTAAGTATCCAAAAGAAGCCATGCAGCACCATAAATGCTTTGCTGCTTAGCTGACCTTGCTTCTCAGTTTCATCTGATATTGTCAGATGAAAGGTGATCTCATCAGAATCACCTTTACTGTCCATTTTTCTATTAGCATTCTAATCACAACCACTTCAATAAAGCCCAAGAAAATTTAGACTCTCCCTAAAGCTCTTGTCTTCTGGGTCCTCACCAGAATTGCCCTTAATACTCCACAGATATCTACACTTTTTCTAGCCTTGTCCTCCAAACTCTTCCAACATCTACCTATCACCCTGTTCCAAAGCCACTTCCACATTTTCAAGTATTTATTATAACAACAGCCCTGCTTCTTGATACTAATTTTCTGTCTTAGTTCATTTTGTATTGCTATAACCACAGATTAGGTAGGTTATAATGAACATAAATGTATTTGGCTCACAATTTTGGAGCCTGGGATGTCAAAGATCAAGGGGCCACATGTGGTGAGGGCTTTCTTTGTATGTCATAAAATGATGAAAGACATCATGTTGGTGAGAGAGAGTGAGAGAGGGCAAAAGAGGGGGCAAATATGCTTTTATAAAAACCCACTCCTGAGATAATAAACTTAATCCCACAATAATGACAGAAATCCATTCATGAGGCCAGAACCATTATGACCTAAACACCTCCCAGTAGGTCCCACTCTCAACACTGTTGCACTGAGGATCAATTTTCTAACACATGAACTTTAGGATGCATATTCAAATCATAGCAAGCTCCTTTTTTTTTTTTAAGTCTGCTCATTTCCCAAGTGTTACATTCATCTTCTTTGTTTTCTATTATATTTTTGTTACTCCTAGAATAGTACTAGAATACTATTTTTATTACTGCCTAGAATAGTACTAGTTACAGTGACATAAAATTAAGATGTATTCATGTATTGATTGATAAAACATTGTAAATTTAATTTTAAAAATAATGACTCTGGAATTTTTGTAGCCTATTGACTTTTTGACTTTACTGAGGTATAACTGACAAATAAATGTTGTATATATTTAAGGTATTCAACTTGATGTTTTAATATACATACACATTGTGAGCTAATCACCACAATCATGCTAATTAACACATCCATCACCTGCCCCAAGTCATTTCCTCCTTTCTGTTTCCTTCTCCTTCCTTCTCCTCCTCCTCCCTCCTCCCCCCTTCCTCCTCCTCTCCTCTTCCTTCTTCTTCCTCTTCTTCTTCTTCTTCCTCTTCCTCTTCTTCCTCTTCTTCCTCTTCCTCTTCTTTTACTATTTATTTCATGTGTAATGAGAACACCAGATCTACCCACTTGGCAGATTTCAAGCATGCAATACAGAATTGTTATCTGTTGTCAGCATGCTATACATTAGCTCTACAGAACTTATTTGTCTGCAATTCTGAAACTTTGTACCCTTTAACCAACATCTACCAATTTTCCCCTTTTGCCAGCCTCTGGCAACCACCATTCTACTCCCTACTTCTATGACAGCGACCATTTTAGGTTTAATGTATAAATGTAACAATGCAGTATTTGCCTTTCTATATCTGGCTTATTTCACTGAGCATAATCTGCTCTAGGTTCATCCATTTTCGTACAAATGACAGGATTTTTTTTAAGGTTAAAAAATATCCTATCTCTGCCTGTATACACATGCACCCACACACATACAACACACACACATACACACACACATCATGTTTTCTTTGTCCATTCATTTGTCAACATTTACATTTTGTCCATATATTGGCTATTGTGTATAACGCTGCAATGAACATAGAAATATAGGTATCTCTTTGACAATCTGATTTCATTTCCTTTGGAGAGATAAATGTATTCTCAGAGTTGGGATTACTGAATCATAAGGTAGTTCCATCTTCAATTTTTTGAAGAACTTCCACACTGTTTTCCACAGTCACTGTACCAACTATCATTCCCACAAACAGTTTACAGGGGTTCCCTTTTCTCCACATTCTTGCCAACATTTGTTATCTTTTGTCTTTTTGATAACAGCCATCTCGACAGGTGCGAGGTAATATTTCACTGTGATTTTGATTTGCATTTCCCTGATGATTAGTGATATTAGGCACTTTGCATAAACCTGGTTTTTTTTGCATTTGTATGTCTTTTTGGAAATATGTCTATTCAGATCCTTTGACCATTAAAAAATCAGATTATTTGTCATTTTCGTATTGAGTTGTATGACATCCTTATGCATTTTGGATATTAATTCTTATCAGATATATGATTTGTAGATACTTTATCTCAATTCATAGGTTGCGTTTCACTCTGATGATTGTTTCTTTTGCTAGTGCAGAAGCTTTTTAGTTTGATATAATTCCACTTTATTTTTGCTTTTTTTTACTTGTGCTTTTGATGTCATATTCAAAAAATTATTGCCCAGACCAATGTCAAGAAGCTCATATGCATGTTTTCTTTTAGTAGCTTTATATTTGCAGGTTTTAAATACAAGTCTGTGTTCCATTTTGAGTTGATTTTTGCATATAGTGTGAGATGAAGGTGTAATTTTATTTTTTCATTTTTCTGCATTTGCATATTCAGTTTTTCCCAACACCATTTATTGAAGAAACTATCTTTTTCCTATTATGTGCTTTTGGCACCTTCCCAGTTGGTTGACCATATATACATGGGTTTACTTCTGAGCTCTCTAATCCATCCCATTGGTCTATATATCTGTTTTTATGCTAGTAGCATACTGTTTTGATTACTGTAGCTTTGTAATATATTTTTAAAATTAGGAAGTGTGATGCCTCCAGCTTTTGTCTTCTTGTTCAAGATTGCTTTGGCTACTTCGGGCCTTTTGTGAGTCCATGTGAATTTTAGGATTGTCTTTTCTATTTCTATAAAGAATGTAATTTGAATTTTAATAGGGATTGCATTGAATCTATAAATTACTTTGAGCACTGTGGCCATTTTAACAATATTAATTTTGCAACCCATGAATATGGGATGTCTTTTCATTTATTTGTGTCTTCTTTAATTTCCTTCATCAATAATTTATAATTTTCAGTGTAGAAATTTTTCACCTCTTAAGTTTATTTCTAAATACTTTATTCATTTTGATACTAATATAAATTAAATTGTTTTCTTAATTTTCTTTTTGGATAGTTTGTTACTTGTGTATAGAAATGCCACTAATTTTTGTATGTTAATTTTGTATTCTGAAAATGTACTCAATCTGTTTATTGGTTCCAATAGTTTTTTGTTTTTGTTTTGGGTTGTTGAGTCTTTAAGATTTTCTGAATATTGGGTCATGACATTTGCAGGCAGAGAAAATTTTACTTCTTTCTGATTCTGATGCCTTTTATTTATTTTTCTTGTCCAATTGCTTTAGCTAAGACTAGAAGTGGCAATAGTGGGCATTGTTGGTTTACACTGGATCTTAGAGAAAAAGCTTTTCATTATTTCCCATTTATTATAATATTAGTGTAATCTTTACGTGTGACCTTTAGTATAATAAGTTCATTTCATACCTATTTTGTTGAGAGTCTTTATGGGATGGCTCGATGGTCAATTTTGTCAAATACTTTTTTTGTATTTATTGAAATGAACATGTGGTTTTTATCTTTGATTGCATTAATGTATATCACAATTATTTGTTTTCATATATTGAGTCATCCTTGCATCTCAGGGATAAATCCCACTGAGACATGTTGTATAATCGTTTTAATGTGCTGTTGAATTCAACTTGCTAGCATTTTACTGAAGATGTTTGCATCTATGTTCATTAAGAATACTGGCTTGTAATTTTGTCTGGATGTGATGTCTTTGTATGGCTTTGGTATAAGTGTAATGGTGACCTCATAAAATGCATTTGGAAGTGTTATTTCTTTTTCTATTTTTTTGTAAGAGTTTGAGAAAAATTTGTATCAACTCTTCTTTAAATATTTGGTAGAGATCACCTGTGAAGCCATCTGGCCCTGGGCTTTTCTTTGTTGAGAAGTTTTTAATAACTGATTCAATATCCTTATTTGTTATTGGTCTGTTCAGGCTTTTTATTTCTTCTTTGATTTTGTTTTGGTATGTTATATGTTTCTAAGAATTTATCCATTTCTTCTTGGTTATCTAGTTAGTCCAGTAGCCTATGAAATTACCACGTAAAATGAAAACAATTCTGTGAGGATTTGTTGAGTTTTTTCATCCAGATTTTATAAATGTCTTTTTAAAATCATCTGAATAGACTGTCTGATAGTATCATGTAACAAGGAACAAGAGATTTTCAGTCATGTGTGATAGAAACTCAAATCAAACTATTTTTTAAGTCTGTTGCCTTACATTTAATCTTTCCACAAATATTTACTGAGTAGCTCTTATATGCCAGCCTGTTGCTTATTATGCTAGGTACGTAAAGATGCACAAGAAATCCCTTTCTATTACACTCACAGAGTTTATACTCTAGTGGACAGTGCCACACAATGCCAGATAGTACAAAGTTCTATGAATCAAATATAGCAGGGTGAGCTCATAAACAGTAAATAGGAAATATGGTAACTCATTTAGATTTAATGACCCGGTAATTACCCTCCGTGTAGATGAAAACTCACATGAGATCTAAGTGACAAAAAGGATGTTGGGAATGAAGCCATGTGAATATCTGGGGAAAAGATAGCATAGATGAAGGCAACCAGAAAGGCAAAGTCCCTGAGACAGAAATAAGTTTGTTAGAATACAGAATTAGACAGAAAGCCAGTATAACTGAACAATGTTGAACAAGATGGTTGGCCAGAGGTTCTAATGTGTCACCGAGGTTCATCTCTTCCTTTCCATTTCTAGCCACTGCCTGACTTCATGTGGCTTTTTCCTCAGTCAGGCTTTCTCTCTGTTGCTGCCAGATTGTCTCCAGCTGCTCCAGGATTATGTGGTTCCCACAGTTAAATTCCAGGGAGAGAGAAGCTGTGTCTTTCCCAGCTTCTATGTCGCTTCCCCTTAAAGACCTCTGTCAGGTTGTGCTGGGATTGTGGGTGTGTCCCTGGACCAATCACCTTGCTCCTTGAGTTGAGATATTCTACTTGAGATATTCTAATTGACCACTAAGCACTATGTGCCTACTGCTGTGGCAGGGAATGCAAATTCTTGATTGACAGCTCTACAAGAAACACATGCAGTGGGGAGAAATTGTTCCCAAAGGGAAAAAATGCAAGAGAAGCAAGAGAACCAATGCCACTGCACATTTCTTAAAAACAATTTAATAACAGCCAATGAACTCTGGGTTCAAGATTACAAATGTAAAAGAGAAGGTCAATCTTCATAAATTTTCCATTCATATACCTTATGTTTCATTCAAGCTTTGGTAAATACTTGTTCCTCATGAAAATTTGAAAGTCGGCTATTATATTAATAATCCTGTTGTCTTTTCAGAAGAATAATACATTAAAAGTTTTATGATTTATCTTCAGATTCCAATTCTGTTAGTAGATCATGCTGAAAGAGCTACTTATATTCCCATCTTCAAGTTTTCCATTGCATAGAAAAATGACATACCAACTATTTGTTGCGCGAATGGTGGGTAAGAGCTCAGGTTCTGGAGGTAGACAGCATTAACTCATGCTTTGGTTCTGCCCCTTAGTATCTTTGTGACCGTAAGTGTCTCTGTACCTTAGTCTGCTCATCATTAAAATAGGAGTAATAATAATACCTATCTCATAAAGTTTGTTGTAAAGATTAAATGAGCTAATATACATACAGAACTTAGAAGAGTGCCTACCACATAAGAACCCAATAAATATTAATTACCAAGCAGTAATTTGATTTGAAAAGCCACTGGAAAATGCACAGTTTCATAGAAAATTTAAGTCCCTATTTTGCAGTGATTGACATTACAGAGTTCTAATGGTTTTCCACTTTTTATAATCTGCAGAAAGTGAATTTTGCTTCAGATACAATATCCCAAATCATTGTTGTGGTGAAAATAAAATATAGAATAATATTTAGCTGGTTCGAAGCACATAAAGACAATTGCAACCATGGGTCAAAACTAAAGTATGAATAGGAAGTTGAATATTACATTTATTATTACAAACAGTAATTTTTAGAAAATAGAACCAAAGCTTCTAAATAAAATAAAACAAAACAAAAAAAAACACAACGAAAAAACACGACTGGTACTGCCTGTTAATGGTATAAATGGAAAGAAGTTAAAAATGTGTTATGATGAAATAAAATGTATTTTATTCAAAAACTTTAAGTTGTCAATCCCACAATTGCACCAAGTGTTTTGGTCTCTTTTATGAGTTTATTGGAATTTCTTTTTATCTCAAAAGCAGATAATATTTTAAATCTGTATCTGACATAGCAATAAGGCCTTGATCATATCCTTTCAGCACACTATGTTAAAATATGAAATCAGTATTAGCCCAGTTAAAGATAATCTTCTAATAACTGACCAAATTTCTTTTCTTAAAAAGGTGTTACTATGAATATTTGCATCATTTGACTTAGTCTTATGATAATATTAGTTCTTATTGATCTTTAATTGACTCATTCATTTGTTCCTGTATAGCCTTAAAACATCAATTCATTTGATACAAAATAGATCTTGGCTGTGTACTGTGGTTCATGCCTGTAATTCCAACACTTTATGAGGCCAAAGCGGGCAGATCACTTGAGGTCAGCAGTTTGAGACCAGCCTGCCCAACATGGTGAAAACCTGTCTTTACCAAAAATACAAATATTACCCAGGCATGGTGGTGCATGAATTTAATCCCAGCTACTTAGAAGGTTGAGGCAGAAGAATCGCTTGAACCCAGGAGCTGGAGGTTGCAGTGAGCCGAGATCACCCCACTGCACTCCAGCCTGGGAGACAGAGCAATACTTTGTCTCAGAAAAAAAAAAAAAATAATAAGGAAGGAAGGAGGGAGGGAGGGATGGAGGGAAAGAAAGAGAGAGAGAGAGGGAAAGAAAGAAAGAGAGAGAGAGAAAGAAAGAAAGGAAAGAAAGAAAGAAAGAAAATAAAACAGATGTCGAATAAACAAATCTATAATTGAGGAACAGAATGTATCAAGTAGAATAAAATCTTTTCAAAGTAATAAGATACTCAGATAATTTTTATTCTGATTACTGTGGAAACAAGGAAGGAAGAGAGAGGAAATGAATATAAAGGACTTATCATATGACCTGCTTTAGATATATGCTACTATATATTTCATCTCTTGTCCAGCTCAAGTTTGGTGACACTAACTCCATTTTCAGATAAGCAAATTGAGGCTTAGACAAAAGTTGTGTCAAAGCCAACAGTTAATATGTGGTTGGGCCACTACTAATGTCTATGTTTGGACAAAACCAAATCCATTTCCTTGCACCACATTGTGCTCCCTCCTTGTAATTAACAATATTATGTGTCGAGAACACTTTTCCCACTAAGCTTCACTTTCACATCCTTTATAATATACAAATACTGAATACACATGTAAAAATATTTTCTGGGTACTTTTCCATTTTTGCACTTATCATAACCTAGAATATTGAAGAAATAGACCTTCCATATGTGTAAAATTTGCTTTCAATCATTTTTTATTTTAAATTTTAATTCTAGTAACTGTTTTTATGCTCTACTGTCCCTCCCTCAACTCTTTTTTATAAATAAATAAATAAGAAAAAAACCAGGTTTACAGTAACATCTAGGATCCTTGACTTTTTACTAATATTGACAGGGCACAGAATTGAACTTTGAATTTGTGTTTCCAAATAAACATCTAGTTATAAGGACTACATTGAAAGGAAACTAATGAAATTCCAAGGTGCTCTGGGTGGCTGTTTTATTCTGATCGGTGGTAGATTGCACTATTGACCAAATGTCAGACACGGAGCGATACAATGATTGAATAAAAGTGTATACATAATCGGAGCAGAGAACTTTGCCAGGACCAGCTTTGTCGCCTTTCTCATAATACTAGAGGAAATTCTTTTTTTATTCCTCCTCTCTGAGTGCAAATAAATTTTTTCTTCCTGGGCCCCCTCCTCCTTTTATTGGTGCCCCCAGATAAAATAATGCAAGGTGCCTTAGCCAGAGACGCTGATGAAATATTTTCAGCCTAGATATTAATCTGTTATCAGTTCTGTAGGTGTGAAATGTGATGAAGATGACAGAGAATCATGCTCTGCAGGCCTCAAGTAATTTGCACCAAAGATATTTAGATCTGTCTTTGGACACTGCAGATCAGTTATTATGGGAGGGGAAAAGCCCTTGGGGAGTCTACCTTGAAACATATTTCAAATGCCAGGGGAGTTGCATGAAAATTGGGTAATGAATGAAACTCTGATTGCAGAAAAATCACTTTGGAATGTGACTGCTGCAGCACACTGCTGCTCTGTGTAAACCTTAAATGCTTAACAACATGGACTGAGTAGTGTAGATTCTATGATGCATTCTGATACTACTTTCTATCTTTACTCCTCTTGCAGCATTCAGTTGGGGATGAATAAATATTTGTTATACAAGCTAATGGCTCTCTTTTCCATTTAATTGAAAACATGACCACGGCATGTGCATAATATATGAGAGCCTATAGATGGCTTATGCTAAGTTCACCAAAGAAAAGTTATCTTCTCTATCCCTATAACTCTGCATAAATCAACAATGTTTCTAAAACTCCAGTAGATATTCCTGAAAGCCTTTAATTAAATCAAGTTTTAGACAAGATTCGGCTTCTCATTCTTAATCATCAGGCTAGAATCAAGAGACATTACAAGTGCTTTTGGAAAACTTATCTTAAATAGCCAGAAATGGTTTACCAATGATAATCAGGAATGAATCTGTGCATTCATTCCTAGTTCTAATTCAGGAATTTAACTTGGAACAAAGAACCCGTAGTGGCTTATACCACATAGGTACCTACTATGAACACAACTATGAGATCAAAACTTTTCAAGTAACTCTTCTGAAACATTACATTAATTTAATTATGGACAGAAGCCTGTCTATAGAAATTCTTCTTCAAATTATAATAAATTTCAGAGTAAAATTAAAAATGTGCTGAATAATAGAAATGTACCCACAGAAGTGCTTATGTTTAGAAGGTCTAAGAATGGTCTCTTCTTTAAAGCCTACCCCTGAGTAAAACTGATGGTTGTATTCTATTTAATTATGAACGTGTTTCTTTCATGGCCCTGCTATGGTCTGAATGTTCATGTCCTCCTAATATTCACATGTTGAAATCCCAACCCTCAATGTCATATTACAAGAAGATAGAACCATTGGGAGGTAATTAAAACATGAGGGCAGAGCCCTCCTGAATGGGATTAGTACCCTCATAAAAAAGGCCCAAGGAAGCTTGTTTGCTTCTTCTGCCATGTGAGAGCACAGCAAAAAGACACCATCTATGAACTAGAAAGCAGATTCTCACCAGACACCAAATCTGCCAGGGCCTCGATCTTGGACTTCCCAGACTCCAGAATTATGAGAAATAAATGTCAATTGTTTGTAAGCCACCCAGTTTATGACATTTTGTTTTAGCAGCCTGAATGGACTAAGATAATCACTAAAATAATTTTAAAATATTTATTTTCATATTTTTTTTTTTGAAACAGAGTTTTGTTCTGTCGCACAGACTGGAGTGCAGTGGCATGCTCACAGCTCACTGCCGCTTTGAACTCCCAGGCTCAAGCAATCCTCCCACCTCAGCCTCCTGAGTAGCTGGAACTACAAGGCATGTGCCACCGCACTGGATGACTTTTTTTCTATTCTTTATAGGGACAAGGTGACAGGGTTTCACCATGTTGTCCAGGCTGGTCTCAAACTCCTGGGCTCAAGCGATCCACCCGCCTCGATCTTCCAAAGTGCTAGGATTACAGGCATGAGCCACTGCGCCCAGCCCTTAAATATTTATATACATGACTGTTGATGTGTTTAGAGTATAACCTACACAGTGGGCAGAAATTATGTCCTCACCAGAACCTGGCACATAATAAATACCTAACAAGCATTTGTAGAATGAGCACATAAATGAAGAAAAGGGAATATTTAAATTTTTTAAGGCAAATAGGGTTATGTGAAAAAAAATGAAGGCTTTTCCTTTGGATTCTTTTCACATTATTACAAGTGGCAAAAATAGTAAAGGAAGAAAACAAGGGAAACACTCTAAAATTTTAAAAAATGTATCTATTGTCAAATCAAAGAATGTAACAAAAAGTGCCCAATGTACAAATATGCTGTGCTCTCCACCTGTAGCAGGTCATCCACCAGGTGACATCAGAATCCAAGAGATTGACTACAGCTGTTGGGGGTACATGTGTCATCTAGATGCTGGAGAAGCTAATTCCATAGTGAAAACCACTTCTGACTTGGAAGTTCTGATATAAGTTACTTCATCCCAACTTTCAAAATGGTGCACAGATAGCCCCCAGCTACCACAGTGACACCAGTCTCCTCCAAGGTTTTTAAACTGATTAAGTTAGGCATTGCCTTACCTGAAATATGTCTCTATACCAGATTCTCTCATGCATTTCAGACTTTGAGTGTACCTCAGTTGAAAGGAAACCCCTCAATGTTATAAATGTTCAATTTTTTTATAGGATAAACACAATTTTTATAATTCAGAATTTGAGGATGGAGGTGATAGCAGCTACAAGGTTTAAATTCCCAGAAGTTGGGACTAGAGGGCTGATTGCTTTATAGGATATAAGGGAACACAAGCAGAATTTTAAGGGAATGCTTTATATAGATGAGGGTGGAAATAACTACAGAGGAGACCATCATAATTAGTCTTCAAAAAAGAGGAGGAGAAAGAGAAGATTGAGGAAGGGAAGGAGGAGGGAAGATAACAACTCTATAAGCAAATATCAGCAAAGCCCCACTGGGTTACTTTGTCTTTCTAGAGAGGATACTAGATATGAAGTACTTGATAATCTTTTTCTGCTTATCATTCTAATATGAAAAAAGAAGAAGAGTTTTTTAAAAGTAATTTATGGCTATAGATTTCTAATTTAAGTTTATAAAAACAAAAGTAGATAGTAGAATATTTGGGGTATTTAACTCTATCTCTAGCTCTATAAAATGACATACATATAACATTTACAGTGTATTTATAATATAGTGCAGCATATTTAAATATGTAATATAGATAATATATTTAAATATCCATACAATATTCAAAGTGATTTAATGATTCTCTGAAATGAAGTCCCCTGAATCTGAAACTCAAGAAACCTACAGCTCAACACCAAACTCATTGCATCATAAATTAAGATGCATTGAACCTAGAATACACAAATACTCTGTATTCTTCGGGATATATATTCGGGATAAATATTATGCTAGAGTATCTTATATTTGCTTCCAAATAGATTATAAATTCTGTGTAGAAGGATAATATTTTGCATATACATTGAAGAGTTTTTTTCTTTACTTTCTATATCTTATTACTATCTTCCCCTTTCAAAGAGTAGCTAGAGTATTACCTGCTTTCTGCCACCAGGGAGGGATGGTACACCAAAACAAAGACAACAAAGGCAAATCTATTCATAGTTTTATGTTTCAAATCCCGAAATTTTGCACAGACAGAAGCTATGGAAAAATGTGCAGTAAGGAAAAGAAGTTTTCTGTAGTCTCCAGCACTATTCAAGACCGCATAAATTTTCCACAAAGGGGTGGGTGATGAGAAAAATCAAAGAAGGGGAAAGAGAACATGAGTACTGGTGGGTTCTTGAGAAATAACACTTTTCTGAAATAACACTTTTCTGTTTCTTCTACCCAAAATGAATCCCTGGAAAGGGAAAGACTTAAATCAAAAATAATCTGAGCTGAGTTCCCTGTTCCCAAGGAAGAGATGCAGTTCACAAGGTCCCTAGGTGTCACCATGCCTAGACTGGGGAGGGAGGGGTAGAATGCTTCACATGACACATCTGGGCAGAAAGACCTAAGATGACCTTAACAAGAGTTTTCTGCAGCCTAGAGGGGTACTGGGGCAGTGGAAGGTTTACCAGGAGATCAAGAACAGCGCAGTTATGACCTGAAGAGCTGGCATGCCTGAAGTAACATTGTGGACTAATAAAGAAAATGGGGGAGTGAGTGAACTGTAAAGGTTCATAAAGGAAGATTAGATAAGAATAGCACTGTAAGCAGATACTAAAGTAGGTAATAATGACACCAAAGCAAGGTGCACATCCTGTGCATTGAACCCAATACCATGTAAGCTAATGCTCCTCAAAACACTTCGACATAACTGTGAGGGAAAAAGGAAGAGGCAAGGATTAGGGAGACATGTGGAGGAACTCCAAAATTTAAATTTACCTTCCTACCACTGAAGAGAATGGTCTATGAAAATACCCTGAAGCAGGGCATGTCTGTTGTGTTCAAGAAACAAGCTGGAGGACAGGATGGCTGGTGCAAAGTGAATAAGCAGGAGAGTAGCAATACCTGAGAGTAAAAAGACAATGAAGTGACACTGTATAGGCCAAGGACTATGAGAAGGATTTGGCTTTTATTCCAAGTGATACAGGAAGCTATTGAAGGGCTTTAAGGAGACTTGTTACATGAACTTCCCTTTCTTTTCATTCAATTACTCTGGGTAATTTCTTAAAAACAGACTTAAGAAGAATAAGATAGAAGTGGAGAGAAAAGGTTGAAAAGAAAACTATTGCGATATTCCAAGTGAGAAATGATATCTGCTTTGATTAAGGTGGTAGTGATGAAAGTATTGTGATTGTCATCAGATTCTGATTATCTTCTGAAGGTCGAGTGTTAGTATATGCTAATCGGTTGGTTGACGGATGTGCACAAATGAGTAGAAGGCTTTAGGGTTAAACAACCAGAAGAATGGTGTTGCCATTCTCTGAGATGGTAAAGACTAGAGGGAACTGGTTTCAGTGGTTTTGCACATGCTAAGTTTGAGTGATAACTATTACCCATCTAAATGCAAATTTCAAATAAGTACTTGTATATTCAGCGTTGGAATATAGGGTCAAAGCTGAGGCTGGAAGGTTATAGGTTATAAATGTCACTTAAAACCATGATACTAGTGATGGTGCATGCCTGTAATTCCAACTATTCCAGAGCTGAGGCAGGAGAATCACTTTAGCTCAAGAGTTCAAGACCAACCTGGGTAACACAGCAAGACCCCATCAGAGAATAAAACTGTAAAACCACAATACTGGATAAAAACAAGAGAGTGAATGCAGATAGAAAGAAGAAAAGGTATAAGGACTGAAATACAAAGGGTAAAAGGTATAAGCTCTGAGACACACCAATGTTATGAAGTTATGAAAAATCAGAAGAGGAAACTGAAAAGAACAATCCTTAGGCAAGAGCAAAAAAAAAATTCAAAAAGTAGAAATTTTTAAGGTTCAACTGTGTCAAATGTTGCCAACTAATCAAATAAGAGGAGGACTGAAAATTTAGCATTGAATTGAGAAACATGGCACTCATTTTTGACAAAGAAAAGGACACTTCTGATGGAGTAATGAGTAGCCAAAAAAATGGAATGGATTCAAGAGAAACTTGTGCTAGAGGAAGTGGAGACTAGTTACTTACAGACAACTCTTCTGATTAATTTTAATATAAATCGAAGAAAAGAAGGGGGTGATAACCAGAGGGCAAAGGAGATCAAGAAAGAGTTTTTGTTTTTTTTTTAATGAGAGAAATAACCGCATGAAGAAAGAAAAACGGTAATTGATAACAGCAATAGAAGGGATAATTACTAGAGTGATGGTGTTGAGTAGGCAAGAATGCGTAAGATTTATTGTACAAGAAGATTGTCCTCAGCTAGGAGCACTAAATAGTTCATTCGTGGAAGAGGTGAGAAAACAGAGTAGATAAACACAGATGCAGGTAGGTGAAGGTCTTAGTCTGTTAAGGCTGTCAAAACAAAATATTTTAGATTGCATAATTTATGAACACAAATTTATTGCTCACAGTTCTGGAGACTGGGAAGTCTAAGATCAAGTTACAGGAAAATTTGGTGTCTGGTGAGGGCCTGTTCCTCATATATGGCACCTTTTATGTGTCTTCAAAGGGCAGGAGGGGCAAATAAACTTTCTCAGGCCTCTTTTATAAGGACACTAATCCCATTCATAAGGGCTCCTAATCATCTCCTACAGGCTGCATCTGTTAATACTATCATAATGGGGATTAAGTTTCAATGTATGAATTTTGGGAAGCCACAAACATTCAGACAACAACAGTGGGTAAACATGGTAGAGGGAACAGGGTAAAATTATCTTCTTCACTCCTATTTTCTTAGTAAAATAAGAAGCAAGATCATTGGCCAAAAATGAAGATGTGGCATATCTGTATTTTTAAGCCTTTCTTTAGAGCAGTTTTAGCTTCACAGAAAAATTGAGAAGTTACAGATTTCCCTTATTCCCTGCTCCCGTACATGCTCATTAATTATGTCGCATAAACCTACATTGACAGGTCATTGTCACCCAAAGTTGATAGTTTACATTAGGGTTCACTCTTGGTGTTATATAGACTATGGGTTTAGACAAATGCATAATGACACTTATTCACCATTATAGTATCATACAGAGTAGTTTCAATGCCCTAAAAATCCTCTGCCTATTCACCCCTAGGCATCCCTAGGTTGTCATCCTAGCTCCTGACAACCACTGATCTTTGACTATCTCTATAATTTTGCCTACTTCATTAATACAGAGTGAGCATCCTTTATCCAAAAACACAAACTGAAATGCTCCAAAATCTGAAATTATTGAGTGCCAACATGATACCAGAACTAGAAATTCTACTCATAAGTACTTAAGATTTGTTTCATGCACAAAATTATTTAAAATGTTGAATACAATTTTCTTTAGGCTATAAAGTGTATATGAAATATATTCATGTTTAGACTTGAGTTTCATCCCCAAGATAATCTCATTATATATGTGCAAATGTTCCACAATCCAAAAAAAATCAAAATTTGAAACATTTTTGGTCTCAAGCATTTCAGACAAGGGCTACTCAACCTGTGCTAATTTTGCACTTTCTATGAAGTTCAAATTAGATAGTGGATACTTGAATAAAATTACCAAGAAAGTCATTATATCATGTTATTATTTTAAATCTGCTTTTTCATTAAAATTTGGTTTTGCTTTTTTTTTTTCCTATAAGTGGATTATTTTCTTCTTACTTTCCTTTGGTATAATCATGTTTCTGCAGACTGAAACTCCTATATAAAAAGTACACAATGACATACTTAGACAAAATAGCTTTAGTATTTTAAAAATATATTTTATTGTTTTGTGCATTTGTTCCTGATAAATTACTTTATGATAAAATTACTGACTTTTTTCTCTTTATTTAAAACAAGCAAACAGAAAGTCTTAATGACTAGCTAAGACCTTGGAAATTATACCTCCAACTAAGTGCAAGTTCTTATGTGGCAAGTGTTGATTTAGCTTATCTACCAGTATGAACAATAGATCCAGTCATTAGGGCCTACCTATTTTAAAAGCAGTTTTTAAATTTTTAAATCCCCACTTAGATGATCTCTAAAAAATGCCTTCTACACTCTGAGGAAATAAAATACAGAAATGTTCACATTCATGAGACAATAGCTTTGACTGAATGCTATAAAATGAAATCTGCTCTTTCAGTTTTTCTTTCAAAAGAAAAATTGCATAAATAATACATTTGGGCCTTGCAATACCAAACAAGCACAATAGCTACTTTACAGCTTTCATCAAAATGAAGGCCATCTTTTTCATTTTATTATGGAACCATTAATACAATATCATCAACTCTGATTGGCTATAAGGCTCCTGACAGAAGGCATCCTGCCAGATGTCAATGGAGGTGCTAATATCACTGGAATATGGGATGGCATCAGCACAGTGACTGGTGAGCTGATCAGATCCAAAAAAAGAAATAAATAAATCTAAAACTTTTCAAATTTGAAGGTATGGCTTCTTTCTCGGAAAATTCATATACCCCTAAATTCACCTGAGAATCTCTTACGTAATGAATGAATAATGGGAGTTTTTACATACAGGTTACCTTCCTCACTCAGTTTTTGGATGCTTTTGGATAGATTTCTCTCCCAATTAGCCTTTTCACTAGTCTATATCAGAAACATTTAAAAAAAAAAACCATAATATTTGATTGAGTCTATTTTTTTCTACCTATTTTCAGTTCAAACAAGAAAGATTTGTTACAGGGAAGAATCAAGATAATGGCAAAATTAGACTTTCTAATTATTCGTGGATTTAAATTATCCTTGCTGTTGTGGTCTTTGTCCCGTGACAACAGATAATTGAGAGCTGGCTATAATTGACGTATTAGGGTTTTCTTTTATTTAAGGCAAATAGAAGGACACAGTTAAACATTAGGTTTACCCTTTGGTAATAAGAGCACATGGCAGATAGCCACAAAATAGGGGTTTAAAGGGATTTACTTACTTGGGATAAATACAGTGCTGTGGAAGGAATTTAAAGAAAATTCAAAGCAACCCATGGATAACAGCCTTATGTTATATGGATTTAGCACAACGTGATCTAATTTCCCATAAATGGAAATTAAACCAAGTAATATAACCTGTTATTTTTTAGCATTCTCACTGATGTTTTAAAAGAAAAATTAGTTTTTCTCTTTTGTGGAAATAATTTTTAAAGGGCCTCTATATAATGAAATCTAATCTTCATTTTATCTTTGGGATATAAAAATATTGTTGGGTGTGTGATGACATATTCCAAGCCAATTGGAAATGAGTCGAAAATTGTCAATTTGCTTGACATGAAAAGATATAATATGCTTTAAGGCTTTACTGCATTACAGTATTGTGTCAATATTATAAGGAAGGGTTTCATCTCTAGACTGTTACTTCTTATTAACTGTGTGATCCTGCACAAATCACTTAATCTGTTGGTGCCTCAGGTTTTTGTCCTATAAAATGGGAATGATAATAGTACCTACTAATACATGTGAAGTACTTAGAAGAATGCAAGGCACATAATAAATATTCGAAAAGTGTTAGTTATTCTTGCTCCCCAACAGTATTCCCAGTGATAGAAAAGTGAGAGTAAAATAATAAGTAAAAAACGGTTGCCATTGTGTTGTTGTTGTCCTCAGCATTCTTTCCCTGTAAGATTCAAGAAAACCCTATTTAGTTACAAATTACTGCTACTGTGATTGACTGAGTTAGATTTGAAGAATTTAAAATATAGTCAGCATCAAATATTTGTGTTTGCTTTTTTAACAGGCAAATTAAAACATTGGCAAGTGCCTTTACTTTAATTTTTAATTCTTATGCCTTTGGAGACTGCATATAAAATATTCATTTATCCTCAATTTCAGTTTGGTAATATATGCTTGGCAATTAAGAACTTGATGTACTAAGAGATAAATGTATTTAGGTTAAATGTTAGTCCTTTGTGTAAAGCCTACTTTGCAGGAATTTTGTTATACTTCTCACTCTTTGGAAAGGGATGAAGCAAACCCCTAATTTTTGGATCTTTGGAAATGCCAGTGTGTCCCTTCCCTACCCTCTTCAATAAAACTGCTGACCTTAAGAACTCTACCTTAATTTTACTGTTTAAACACCAAATGCTAAGCACTTAAAAGGCTCACAGCTCACTCTTGATTCATCGCACTGATATCACAGATTTGGTTGGGAAGATTCTATGGCTCTCTAAGATTGGTCTTTGTTGTTGTAGGATATTGGTATGGCAGTCTAAGATTGGTCTTTGCCGTTGTAGGATATTGGTATGGTTCTCTAAGATTGGTCTTTGTTGTTGTAGGATATTGGTAATTAGGAACCAATAATGGATTTAGCATTTTCCAAAACTGATGTCTATCATAAGGATCAGCCCGTTTTTTCACTTTCTATTCATACATTCACCTAGCCCTTCAAAAGAAAATCACCCTCTTTATATAAAAATAAGTGAATCTTAACAAATTCACAGGTACATACAAATAAAAACATTTATATTTGCTAAAGCAGAGTGGCGTAAAACTAACACCTGTAACAGTGATGTGCAGTAGATTTATAAAATCAATATTACCTGTAATTTAACTGTTAACTTGTTTTTCTTCTTTTCCTTTCATTATAATTTATTTCACTACAATTTGTTAATTGTTATAAATAACTAAATTAAAGTTCATTTAAATTACCAAAAAATCAACATGGGGAATCGATCATGTATCAAAGTAGAAGCCAAGAGACGTGGTTTTGTTCAAGGTATTTGTCCTTTCTAAGTACCAGATGGCCTGTATGTTAAATGAGTAGGTGGTACTTTGAAATAATTTTAATTGTTCAGGTATCCCAATGAAAGTTGACATTTCTTAAACATAATTCTGTGTAAGTTATAATGCATCAGTTTCTTTGTCTTTGGCTAGAATTTTATCACTCATTAGTGTCATATTGGTAATCTTATACTGCCCAGAAACAGTGATAAAATGCTTAATTTCTTTGATTAATTTTAAATGAGACCAATATTTACCCCATAGTACAACTTGGTGTGTGAGAAAACCCATACTACAGGAATTGAGTTTGAGAAGCAGGTAGGAGAAGTCAGAGACAATCTAAGGACTATTTGGTGGTAAAAAACTATGAGAAGCCTGGAATGGGGTTCTAGAATCTCTTCCCACTTATATCCAACATTACTTCCTTTAAGAATACCTCAAGTTAGACATAAAAACAGTATATTTTCCCCTAAATAGGTATTATTCTTTATGAGGCTATAATATACAGATGTTATAGGCAACCATTAATATGTTTACTGTTTCCAAAGTTTTGCCTTCTCCAGATTGTCATATAGTTGGAATCACACAGTATGTACTCTTTTATGATATTAATGCTCATGTACAGTTCATGAAATTGAAGATGGGTGTATATTTGAATACAGGTTATTGAGTCTTTGGGAGGTTTGACTGTTGGAGGTTTAATAACTTCATATGTGCAAGTGTTCTGCACTGAGTGAATGTAAAATTATTCATTTTATCTTTATATAAAGCCTCCCTACTTTCAACTTACAGTGCACCTACATACTCAGTTTTATTTGATTGATTTGATTAATATACATGTATATGTAACATAAATTGTTTTCTTAATTTTTGCATTATCACATATCCTAAGGAAATAAGCTTTGTTTAAAGATGTTTATGAATGTTATTTAGAGTAACACAATTTTGACACAATCTAAATGGCCAATGATTGTTAGGAAAAAAAAACTATTGAGTGGAATGTTTCCCATCTACTTAAAACAATATTTTTTTAATGGACATATTCTTGTCATTATGCTAAGTGAAAAAAAAAATGCCAGGGTACCAGATTGTAAATATAATAGGAACACAACTATGTAAAATAAAACCAAAGAAAAGACATTAATTTAAAAAAAGCCATAAATAAAGACACTGAAATGTAAATAATGGTTATCTCTGTGTGTCAGGATCATGAGGACATTTCTTTATGTTTCCTTATATTATTTTACAGTTTTTGTGGTGAACACATATTGCTTTCATATCTGAAATTATATATACTTGATTTTTATAAAAATAATCCATTTATTTTAAGAAGTGACTAAAAGAGTATAATATTTAATAGTCATATATTATAAACTGTGTATAAGGCATTGTTTTATACATTGAATTTTCAATAACCAAATAAGCTAATGTATTATTATTATTATTTTATAGCTATGAAGTTTAGAGCCAAAAAGTTTAAGTAAAATGCCCCAGCTTAAATGGTTAGTAGATTATAAAGCTTGGATTTAAAACTAGGATATATGGCTTTGGTCTATGCTATGCAATGACAATCAAGTTGTGCAACTTAAAAATTATATACATATATATCTACTTATTTATTTAATATTTAAGCATGACAAAAATATAGATGTTATTACAAATGCCCATGTACTCACCACTGAGTATTGATATTTTGAAACAATGCCAGAGCATGTTTATTTAAATCAGTATTGCCACCTTAAAATGGATCAATGGGAATATGTCACTTTCAGATGATGATGTTATTTTTATTATTTTAATAAGAATAGCTATTACTTACTAAAATCTTCAGGCAGATATAAGTCTAACAAAACGTGTACAATATCTATATGAGAAAATTAAAAATTCTTATGCAAGAAATCAAAGAAGACCTAAATAAATTGAGAGATATTCCACGTTACGTTCATAGATAGGAAAACTCAATATTGTCAATATATAAATTCTTTTCAACTTAATTTATAAGTTTAACACAATTCCAAACAAAATTTCAGCAAGTTATTTTGCGTATATTGACAAACTGAATTCTACAATTCATATGTGGAGGCAGAAGACCAAGACTAGCAACAGTATTTAAGGAGAAGATTAAAGTAGAAGATTTGACACTGTCTACTTCAAGACTTACTCTAAAGCTACTGTGCACAAGACAGTGTGGTATTAGTGAAAGAATAGACAAATAGGTCAATGGGACCTATTTCAGAATAGAAAGCCTGAAAATAGACCCACACAAATATAATCAACTGAACTTCTACAAAAGATCAAAGGCAATACAATGGATAAAAAAGTAATCTTTTCAACAAATGATGCTTAAACAACTGGACATCTACATGTAAAACAGAAGAATTGAATCCACACACAGGCACATCCTTCACAAAACTTAACCCAAAATAGATCTTTTACCTCAATGTAAAACACAAAACAGTAAAACTTCCAGAAGATAACATGGAAAAATATTTAGATGACTTTGGACGTAGTGATGACTTTTCAGAAAAAACACCAAAGGCACAATGCTTGAAAGAAAAATTGATTAACTGGACTTCATTAGAATTAAAACCAGATGAGTTGAAAACATGTCCACATAGAAAAACCTGCACGTGGAAGTTTATAGTAGCTTTATTCATAACTGCCCAAACATGGAAGTAACAGAGATGTCCTTCGGTAAGTGAATAGAGAACTGTAGTACATCCAGACAATGAAACATTTTTCAGCACTAAAAAGAAATGAGCTATAAAGCCATAAAAAGACATAGAGAAAACGTAAATGCTTATAACTATGTGAAAAAGTCTATCTGAAAAGGGTACATACCAAATGATTCCAACTACATGACTAGCTGGAAAAGGTAAAACTTTGGAAACAGTAAAAATGTTAATGGTTGCCAGCAGTTAGAGAGGAGTGAGGGGTAGACAGAGGCGACACAGAGGATGCTTAGGGAAGTGAAACTATTTTGTGTGGAACTATAATGGTACATACACGTCATTATACATTTGTTCAAACCCATAAAATGCACAACACCAAGAGTGAACCCTAATGTAAACCATGGACTTTGGGTGATAAAGATCTGTCAATGTAGATTTATTCATTGTAACAAATGTACCATTCTGCTTTGGGATGTTGATAGTGGGGGTCTATGCATGTGTCGAGTAAGAGAATATTTGTAACTCTCTGTACTTGCTGCTCGATTTTGCTGTGAAACTAAAACTACTTTTAAAAATAAAGTCTATTCTTTTAGTGGGAGGGAGGTGTACTAGAATTGTCACATGTTTATTCATTTAATTCCTACAGTAGTCACATCAGTGGGAACCATTGTTTCCCCATATTACAGGTGAGATTATAGACACAAAAGGTTGATATACCCAAGGTCATTAGACTCCGGAGTGCATACTTGCTATCCTCACAAATTCAAAACGTTTTCAAAACTTTCTTGAAAGTATACAGCAGATTCTTTTTGTGTATCATCAACAAAAGCAAAATATTTACTCTCTAAGGACAGTATCATTTTCTTTTTAATTATGAGTTGCTTTTTGGAGAAAAGCCTAGTGGTGAAGTTGAGTAGTAAAGCTTGTAATTCTGTTATGAACTAAAAAAAAAAAAAAAAAAAAAAAAAAAACAATGTATTAAAGCAGAATCACCAACTTATGGTCCTTGGGCCAAATTTGCCCTCTGGGTATTTTGTGTTTGGTCTACTCTGCTATTGGCAAGATATTTCACATGCAGCTCCATATATTAGGTTCAGCTAAAAATGCAGAAATTCTTATGTAGCATCAATGAGCTAAAAACGGGTTGTAATTCATCCTCTTAAGTGGCATATGGTCTCTTCAGTTGCTTGGTCCCCACCATTTCTCTTTGCCACTGAGGTCAAGTATTAGGTATTTTTTTATCATAGTACTCATGCTGTTATTTTTCGTTAAGTAAAATGGAGGGAAATTTTTCTTGTATCCATGTCTCTGCGGGAAACATAAGATAAGACAAGAGGGCCCATGTTTTATGAAAAATGAGAATGTATATTTATTTGTGGAAATGCTGAAAATTCTAAGTGTTTAATATGCCAATGTATCATGTCTATGTCAAAAGATTACCACTTAATTTGCTTATATAAAAAAATTCTGACCAACTCATAAAAAAGTATGGTAAAATGTTTAATTAACTGAAAAAGACTGATATTTAAACAGGACTTATTTTGAAATGCAAATAAAGTGGTGGTGCTTAGTAAAATGCAAATGTGTATTAACTGAAAAAAAAATGGCTCTGATACCAAAGCCTTTTACAGCTGATAAGTTCATAAAGAAGTTTTTATGGAGGATAGCAGAAATTATAAGCCCCAAATAGAAACAAATATTTGCGAATACAAGTGTAGTGGAAAATACAGTTCAAAGTGTAGAAGACAGACTTGAGAACTACAGGACCAATTAGTTTGAGCTGTCTATTACAGTTGATGGAAGTCCAAATTTAAATATTAACAGCTATGAAGCAACATGATTCATGCTGTAGATGAGAATGTTGACATGACCAAAGCACTTTAAGGCCTTAGTACCATGACAGGCACAAGTTCAGAACATTATTTATATTGTGAGAAAAATCCTGAAGAGATGAATGTAATAATTTAATTGGTGAGCATGAATAAGAGCATTGCTCCTGCAGTAGTATGAAACTTCAATCTAAGGTAGCAATGTCTTACTAGGACAGAGACCAGACACTTTACATGTGTTCACAGTATCATTCATGAGGCATCTCTTTGAGCTAAAAAGTTAGCAACGAAACACACCATGATGAGAGTAATGAAGAATTTCCGCTGGATATGCTCCTATAATTTGAACCACTGATACTTTGATGCTTTGCTTGATTTGGAAACCCAGTTACTAGTCTTCTCTACTATTCAGAGATTCATAGTTTTTATATGGCACAATGCTGATTACGTATATGTGTATACATACACACACATATATGCATACATACAAATAAAGGATTGAAAATAATGTTTGTAATTCAAGTAACTTATCATCTGTCACCAGTGAAAACCCAATCAAAAACATGGCTTTTTTTTGGTTGATATTTTATCTGTCAGAATTGTTTAAATGTCTTTGCAATAATTTTTGCACTAGTTACACAAATTTATGATTTGAACAACTCACTCTCAGAGAAACTTTATCTTCGGGAAATTTAAATGGCACAGGACATTTGGCTCATTTTTCTATGCTAAGACGGTTCTACAAACACAAAAGATATGGACAGAACAAATTTCACAAATTCTATATTTAAAGACCAAATTCTTAAACAAAAAGAAGCTAGTATGTGTGAAGAATTGCAAATGATCTGCTGCTGAAATACCATGCAATATAGTTCAAAAATCTAAACATGATGATGCTAAAAACCAGAATTCAACAAATTACACAAACTCTTATGAAAAATTTGTATATGTGTTGGGAAGTACCTATATTTGAGAAAATCTGTTTTCCATTGTAAACTGAAGCAAACTAAGCATTGCTTAAAATTAAAAGATGCATTTCAACAGAATACACAAAAACCAATGTTGACACTACAACAGAAGAAAGTAAAACATTTTTTGTGTCCAAACCAGACTAACAATTAATGAAATATAAAGGTAATTGAAGGAACTAAACATATCTAATATTTTACATATCTGCTTCCTTTTTAACTAAAAGTAAATTAAAATATTTAATGTTTTATTTGTATAATATTATACAATAAAAATAAATTTGGACTGTATTTTCAGTCCATGGATGGATTTTTTTCCATCCATACAATTTTATTCATTTATATTGTCTGGCTGACCCAATGCTAAAGAAATGAGACATGACATTTTCATATAAAGAGTTTTATTATAACTGAAGAAAAACATGCAGTCTACTAGCTTAACTGCTTAGAAAAGGACCACACTAATTTGCATATAACTATAATTTTTACATGTCTTTATTTTATAGTCATGTTTAAAATTGCAAAATTAGTGTGTCTTTGTTAAAATCACAGGAAAATTTGGGAAAGATGAAAATATAAAGTACCTCAATTTCAAACCTTTAAAAAATTAATTAATATTGTATGATTCACATTTATCTACTAACAATAATTAGAAGAGTGACAATGTGTAAGTGGAGTCATAAATTTGTTACAAACCTGCAGCACAAACAGTACTAAATACTAAACATGAAAGCCAGAATTTTACACATCTCAGAACTTAGGATTGTTCAAAGATTCTATCCATGTTTGGAAGTAGAATTTTTTTTCAATAAAGAAAAAAAGTTAGAGGCCCTTCCAAAGATAGCATTATCTTCTCATTAAATACCAGATTTTATCTTTGCTCTAAATTGGTCTAAAAATTTATAAGTTTATGTTTGTCTTACATTAACAATGTTAAAGTCTCTATTTAAAATTATAATATTCTTTTCTGTCTGAGAAAACTCTTTCATATATAAATAATATCTCAATTATCAAGGTTATGATGAATTATATTGTAAAGGGTAACATTATCCATGTCTGCTGAAGATTAACTAAATTAAATGAGCAAAAAGATTAGATATAAAGAAGGATATTAAGAGATTATGGAATTGCTTCCCTCAAAATCTTTAAAAACAGTCCAGATACCCATCTGCCTACAATAGTTTAGGTAAAGTTTGCCTGAAGCCAGCAGGATGAAGCAGAAAGATAACCTCTAGAGGTTTTCTGCAACCATATTTTTTTTTCTCAAATTTCACTCTTTTGCCCTCTAAATGTACTGGCATCTTTTCAGTTTTTCTATGAAGATTCTGGGTAGCATAGATTTTTTTTCTTAATGTTAACACAGTGTCACTCCAGTGTTTAAGTTATGTTTTTCAATGAGAAAGAAAAGTAGTCCAAAGAGAAATATTACCAAAGTTCAGACTTTGTGTAAAACAATTAAGTACACTCAATGCAGGTGAACATTATTAAAAGTCAAGACTGCCAAGTTAAACTTTTTAAAACCCTACTGCATTCTTCATTGCTATAGCCTCACTGCCAAATATTCAAATGATACAGTATTTCAAGAAATTTTCTTAAATTTACATATAAATTTTAAAAACATAGATTAAATAAACTGAGATGTAGTTAATTAACACTAATGCTTAACTTAATCCTATAAAGGGGGTTAAAATATCTGCCTTATCAGAAAGAAAATACAAACGTATTGGGTAGTCCTAAGTAATAATAGAATTTAATCAGGGCAGCCTTATAAACCCTTTCCATTTGGGTACTTCCAAAAGTCTGAAATATGGAGGAGGGATTGCTATACACCCAGAAACCAGGAAATGAATGGCGCTCCATGAATTAGGGCAGGCAAGACCATCAGCAACAACTGTGGCTGCACTGAAATGACAGCTCAATCATGGCCTACTCCTTTCATAATTGTTTTTGTGCTGATTGATTATACAGAATCACAGAAACTTGGTTTGAATACGTGCTGATTATTTATGTAAGAAGTTGATCAGTAGTTCAGTATATAACAGAATCTTAAAAGATAGAGTTTCTTTCTAAAAAACACCTTTTCAAATTTGGCCAATCCCTTTTTCCCATTAGTCATTCATTCACAGAAATTTTGATCCTAAATTACCTGTGGTACTGATAATACTTTTAACTGGGTCATATCTCTAAAATTGTGACATTTTACAAATATTCTGATAGTTTTATTAGCTTCACAGGTAGGAGGAGAAACCTCTTGCTCCGTAACATATGTAGTAATGGCTTACGTAATGAATTATTGCACAAGATATTAACAATGGCATTTTACATGGAATGGTTTGCTAGCTATTTAGGATATAATTGCAAATGTTGTTTAGGACTGAGGTTTTCTGTAGTGAAATTTGTTTATTCAGTGAAAAATTGATCAGCAGAGATTGCAAGACAGCACAAGTCAACTACTTAGCAGATATTACAATGAAGACCCATCAAAGCACATGGGTAGTTTAATACATTTCTGCCAGCAAAAACACTGTGAAGTATGTGTGACTAAGAGTGGTAAATCACTTGAATATCATATGTGGTTAACATTATTCAGTGAAAGGGCATGAGAGAAGACAGCATTCCACTGAAAAATATGTGACAAACTTTTAATAATTCAAATGCCCTAAAAAGAATTTGCTAGCTTTGTGACAGACACCTAGGAAAATGGTGGCTTGTGAAAAATGTATAGGAATCACAACCTCCAAAAGGCATGATATTGTTTAAAGCTGTTACAATTTTCACATATTTTTTAATTCATTCATCAGAAGAAGAAAATATTTGTATTTCACAAAATAAATATATATGGTGGAGAATAGAATCAAGACATTGTCATTTTATAATTAGAAGTAATATGTAATAGAAGATGTATTGTATGTTCCTACTAGATTATTTGTAATAGTCATTAAAAGTAAAACAGAATATTTTGGTTTCATATAAGTGCCCAAACTGGAGTTTACTGATAAAGTAAATGACTACAAATGGATATTTCTTTAATTGAAATGGTTATAAAAATTTATTTTTTAAGCTCCAATTTCAAGAAGACAAATATCATAATGTGGATGACTATATTTCATTTTTAAAAAGACAAATGAAAGTGATGCCTACAGTAGTTTATATACAGCTGCAGAAATGGCTTACAAAGCTAGAGCCACTCACTGCTTTGTTTCTCTTTCAATTATGCTATGATCATTGAACGAGAAGAAACATTTGTCACATCTCTGATCTGATCCAAGAAAAGACCAGTTATCCTTAAGTTGTATACTTTTTTCATAAGGTATTGAATCTATTTATATGACACATTGTAGCTGCCTTACTGTTTCCACATAATGCACACATCACTTTCTACAAAGAATTCAATAAATTAACAATATTTCTGGCCACTATTCAGAGGAAAAAGAAAACCTCAAGCATACTGTATAAATCACTAGTCCAGTTTAACATGAATTAAATGCATAAAACCTGTAAGTGTTTCTGGAATTTTGCCCAAAACATTTGAAAACCACAAATAAAGAAAATGTGATGTTGTTTGGTTTGTGAAAGATTCTCTTTTCCTTTATGTTTCAGAAAGATAAAAACTTTGAGTTAAGTGATAAAAATAGTTTAAATGTAAGACTTAAAGTCAGTTTAGTAAAGTTTAGAACTGGCAGGAGACTTGGCCATTCTATGTTTTCATTTTTTGTTGTTCAAGATTTCCTTGTAGTACCTGGAAAACGTGTGTATATGCTAAGAAACATGCAGTTTATAGTACTCATTTCAGAACAGCCTGCATTTGAAAACAATGTTTGGCAGAAGAAATCAGCAAAGACATAGGAAAAATATTAAAATCACTGTGGGAATGACAGCAAAAAATGGAGGGAGACAGGTTCCTCCACTCTGATCCTTTATGATTCTTTTCTAGTTATTGAGTATATAAATTTCAATCCCCTAGTACAACTGAAGGGGGAAAACATGATTATCATATCACTCAAAGCTGCCCAACTTTGAATTCAGCTCTGAGATAAATTCACTCTGTATAAAACGACTTTTAATATTTTGTTCCTTAACATAAGTATTAAATTTTGTATGATTAAAAATTTATTTATTCTCTCTTCCTTAATTTAGGTTTTCATTTGCTAGTATTGCCTTTCCTAAGCCATCTTGGCAAAAAATATTTTTCTGTACATAAACAGGGGAAGTTTTAAAGTAAAAGGTATCTTTAGACTTGCACATAGACTTTCAAAGTAATTTTTGGTAAAATAAATATGTGAAGGGAAAGTGTGGTGACCACTTCAGCATCTTAGCTCCACAGATAGGCATCATGATGTTTCACAAGAAAAAAGAATTAGGAAGAAATAAATAGACATTATTGGAATTGTTTCTTTTAAAATTTTACTTAATAGGTATTAGCTAGGTAGAAGCTATAGGACCAAAATGAGGGATTCCGGGTACATCAGCCTCCTACAAAGAAAATATCTTTCTCCCTGCTGGTATAAACAGATTCTGAAAATTGTTTCTAAAACAGAAAAACAGAAGGCAGCACTAGCAAGTTTCTCAATACAAAAGAGAACCTGCAGAACTGAGACAGATCCATGCACAAGTTGGTGGAGAGCAATGTGGTACTCACGTTCATTTATTTTTCTAGCGCTATAAAGTCTTCAATGACTACAAGTAGTTGGCAGTGTTTGCAGAAGAGCTTTGGGTACAACCAAATGATAGCATTTTCAGAAGAGCTTCCCTCTTTGTCATTCAGGAGCAATTGTTCTCACTGCTGGGTTAGAGAAAAGGGGTGCCTTCCATTGATTGAATTGCTAACACCTTTCAGTATTCTGCTTATGATGATCTTGAAGAAAGTGCTATCAAAGTCTAGACATTTTAAATATCTTATCTGTTTAATATATTTAATGTTTCTTAGTTCTTAAAGAGTCTATTCTGCCTCTGATACATGTGCTCAGCTCTCATCAGTGCTAATGGAAATTAATAACAAAATGGACCCTTAATCATTTATCTTACATTATAGAAAGGCATGATTTGCAGACTTGATTAGGGCTGTAACTGAACAAGATATTATAAAAATTTGATTCTCTTCAAACATGTCCATTGCAATAATTCAACTGGAAATTTAGTATAAAATTTTCTTCTCCTAGGTATTTTACCATTGTGACCCTTATTTAAGCATATGACCGAGATGCAAAAACATTAAAGGTGTTAGAATACTATTTACAAAAACAAAGACATGCATTCATAGTTTATATTTCATTTGACATTCATTTAGCATTTACTTGGTATACATCAGTTTATAATACTTAATGCTTCTGAAAGTGAATAGTTTTTTTTATTTATCCAGAAAGCATTGTGTGAAAAGTATTTTCACCTGTTCTTACTAGGTTTAAAGTTTTTAAGAGATACATACTTTCAGCAAACCTTGCCATTTGTGTGGCTCATATTTCAAAATTCAAGCTGAGAAAAATACTAATCTATATAAATATACAGTAGGCAACACAGAATGTGTATTCCTTGGAGCATAAGAAAGTGAGATCTGGGAATTGTTGTGGATTTCAGTTATCCTGATACCGATTATCTGAGAATACCTAGTTTCCATGTGGCTTCTTGCTGTCTTTATCTCCACTGCTTTCCTCCACCTAAACGACGCACAGTTTACTTCCCCGAAGACATCTCTGCTCCTACCAAGCTACTTTATTTTACGACCCCCAGCCAGAAATGTTTACTATTGCCAGAAATAATGTTCCTCACTTCCAGTCTTAGGTTTCGGTATTTTTCATTGTGGATAGTATATCACCATCACATTGTAGGAGAAAAGAGTTTGGGTAAAGAATACAGATTTTAGAAGATTATAAACATGGTGATTCAATTTTTTTCATTTGATTGTCTTTGTGCCTATTGAGGTATTGTTATCTGAAATAATTTTACTTAATCTATTTAATTTCAAATTCCTTTAAAAGTCCACACGAAAGAGCTACGCATTAAACAAGAAGCAGAAATACTGTCTATATGTGGATTCTGGAAAATCTGTTGTACCCCAAAAATAGTTATCTAACTATCAGAAAGATGGCTGCAAATTATTATTAGATGCAAATTATTGATTTGCCTCATTCAAAGACTCAAGAACATTAATCTCAGAAATCAAACAAAAATAGCAAATGTCAATAACCAGAAAGGAAATATAATATAAAAACTCAAGAGATTTCTCATGTTATTATAGACAGAAAATTTTAAAGATCTCATCCATAATAAAAACAAAACACAAAATTCTCAGTGATAAACTTAACAAGAAATGTACAATATCTGCCAAAATAATACTGAAACTTTTACAAAGGAATCTTAAGGAAAATTGAAAGAATGTAGAGAGAAACCTTTTACCTGTGAAGAGAAAATAATTTAAAGATGTGGATTATCTCCAAATTTCTTTATATATCCAAGACAATTTCAAAGGCATAATAGAATTACTTTATTTTTATTTATTTATTTATTTATATTTATTTTTTGAGACAGAGTCTCACTCTGTTGCCCAGGCTGGAGTGCAGTGATGTGATCTCAGCTCAACTGCAACTTCTGCCTTCCAGGTTCAAGCTATTCTCATGCGTCAGCGTCCATGAGTAGCTGGGATTACAGGCATGTGCCACTTCCAGCTAATTTTTTGAATTTTTAGTAAAGATGGGGTTTTGCTACCTTGGCCAGGCTGGTCTCAAACTCAAGGGCCTAATACAATAATTTTAAAATGTCAATGATTGATTCTAGTTGTCCAAAAAACAACAGCTAAAAAAAAGTCTAAAAAAAATTAAAATAAAATCTCATTATACTTAATTAATTACAAAATAGTTCACAAAAATGATAATATCTAGAGGTAAGTGTGTAACAAAATGTTCACTTTAGTACAATGGTTTCAGAGTATAGATCAATAATAATTATAGGGACAGAAATTTGGCAGCAGGTTATATTAATAGTTTGATGTACATTAGTATATTTAATTCAGTAATTCTATATTGAAGAATGTATCTTGAGTAAATAATCAGAGCCCCTCACAAGAGTCATGCTCACATGCATAATTATTTTACTACTTTATTTTAAAGCAAAAATGCATGAATGATACCTATATAATGTAAAATAGCATGAAGCATTTTAATGTTTTTAAAATTAATTATATGAAGAAATGTTCAAAACAATTTGCTGCTAACAAAACATATTATAAAGGAGTATATATACCATTATATGAATTGGGTTTTTTTTTAAAAGGAGGAAGAATTTAAACAAGACAAAGATTTAATGATTTATATTTCTTTGTTTTAACAAATGGTATGATGCAAAACAGAAAGCTGGAGTTATTTTTTTGTCATGCATACTTTTAAACATACACAAAAGAAGACAGAATAACGTAACAAACCCCCATGTACCCTCACCCAGTCCTAATAAACATCAATTGTCAATTGTCCTTATCTATTTTTCCTCCCACATTATTTTGAAACAAATCTTAGATATCATATAATCTAATTTGTAAGTATTTCCATATATATTTCAGGAAATAAGGACTTTTGAAAACTAAATACAATAACATTATCATCACATCTAGAATATAACGATAATTTTTACTTTTATTAAATATCTAGTCAATGTTCAAATTTCTCATAAATGTCATTTTTATACATATCTTAATATAAAAGGTCATAAATCACGGTTGGTTGATATGCTTCTTAAATTATCTTGTAATCTGTGGCAGTTTCTGAACCTCATCTTATTGACATTCTTAGTCCAGTCATTGTTGTAAGGGACTGTTCTGTGTAAAATCAGATGATTTTCCCCTCTCTTACCTCACCTTCGCCCTCTCTCACCTACCAGATAATTCTTGGTTTCTGTCCCCTAGTTACCAATAGCATCTCCCTAGGTGTGATCACCAAAAATATCTCCAAACTGCCAAATGGCCTGTCAAAGACAAAATCACCTGTGGTTGAGAGCCACCGATCTATAGGCTTTTCCTTCCATCTTCATACTTTTCCCACTTGCAGAATATTTGTTGAAGAGCTTGGGAGGTTTGTTGTGTGGAATGTTCCACAGTCTGGATTTTACTGATTGCATTTCCATGGTGTAATGTAATGTATTCTTTCACCTTACATACTGCTTGTAAACTCTGTTGGATTTAGAGGATTGATCACATCACAGGCGGCTTGAGTTATTCTTAGTTCTTCCCCCTCTCTCACCTACTGAATCAATTAATCAAGTCCTTTGTCATCAGGTCTCTGTGTCTCTCAAATTTGCGTAATTTCCTCTTTCTTACTAAACTACGCTAGTTCTGGCTGCAATTATCATACATCTGGATTAATATCACAACCTCCTAACTGGTTTCTGTTCTTTCAATCTTATACCCATCCAGTCTCTTCTTCACACAGAAGTCAGAGTGATTTCTCTAAAACGCACACCTAATTATACCATGCATGCCGTTGCACCTCTCCTCAAACTTGTAACACCCTTCAATGACTCTCCATCCCTCTCGGGGTATTGTCTGAATTTCTTACTGAGCTTACTGGGTATTTTGTGACTGGACTTGCCCTTACATTTCTAGTCTCTTTTTCACTCTCTTATTTCCATACAGGTTTCCATACTGTTTCTTTATGTATGTGCGATTCATAAATAATTACATTCTTATTCTGTGTGTTTAAAATCTTGCATAAATGGTAGCATATCATTCTTATTCTTGTGTGACTTACCTTTTCTTTGAATTTATTTTTTAATTCGTGTTGATCTAGTTCTTTACTGTATGGCAATCCAATGTTTAAATAAACCGGTTAATTTATTTATCTTTCTACTTCAATATATTTGTGTCTCTAATGATTGGCATAGGGTTGCTATTCAAAGAATGTTGATATGCATGAAGAGCTTAAGCTAAATAAAGTAGTCAAAAAAGGCCTGGAGTGAAATTAATAAAGTGTAAAACTTGAGAGGTATAGCACTTTGTCTTTTCTTAAGCTTCATCCTTTTTTTTTTTTTTTTTTTTTTTGAGATAGGGTCTTGTTCTGTCACCCAGGCTGGAGTGGAGTGCTGAGGTGTGATCATGGCTCACTGCAACCTCCACCTCCTGAGTTTAAGCCATTCTCATGCCTCAGCCTCCTGAGTAGCTGGGACTGCAGGTGTGCACCACCACACCGGACTAATTTTTGTATTTTTAGTACACACAGAGTCTTGCCATGTTGCCCCAGCTGCTCTCTAACTCCTGACCTCAAGTGATCCACCCACCTCGGCCTCCCAAAGTTCTGGGATTAAAGGCATGATCTCGGTTCACCGCAATCTCTGCCTCCCGGGTTCAAGCGATTCTCCTGCCTCAGCCTCCCGAGTAGCTGGGATTATAGGCATGCACCACCATGCCCAGCTAATTTTGTATTTTTAGTAGAGACGAGGTTTCTCCACATTGGTCAGGCTGGTCTCGAGCTCCTGACCTCAGGTGATCCACCTGCCTCAGCCTCCCAAACTGTTGGGATTACAGGCGTAAGCCACCATGCCCAGCCAACCTCATTTATTTACTATTTACAAGTTCAAGTTTAGTACTTAAATATAAGCAAATATAAACATAAAGCACAGTAGAAAAAAAATTAGAATGCCTATTTAGCATCCAAAATAAAAGTTTTGGGGCCCATGAATTTATAATCTAAATTATGAGAGAATTTTTAATTAATAGAATAAAAATCACTAAGAACATAGGGAAAATAAGAAAAATCAGTTACAACATAAGAGTACTAGTATGTTTCTCACTTCATTTAAGATATATTGAAGTAATAAATTGGTGACATCTGACAAATTTCAGATTGCAGTTTAACAAACTTTTTATTCATCCTGAGCTTGTTGATAGCATTCATCACACCTTTTATGTTTTATTAATGTGCTAGACAATCATTATAGATAATTAGCACCTACTAATTCCAGATCTGTTGATTTAAGAATGCCTTTCATTTACTTAGATTTACTAGATTTTGTTTAGTGAGAAGACCTTTGAAAACCAAATACTTAACGAAGTACCTAGATTTACGAAAGATTTGAAGAGGTAGGTCTTGTGCATGATTGAGGTAGCACAGAAAATTCCCAGCATCAAGTACATTGTAGATGGCCATTGAATAAAAGGATAGATAGATGTGATAGAGTGATAGATGATGATAGATAGATGTGATAGAGTGATAGATGATGATAGATAGATAGATGTGATAGAGTGATAGATGATGATGATAGATATAGATAGATAAAGATAGATAGATAGATAGATAGATAGATAGATAGATAGATAGATAGATAGATAGACAGACAGACAGATAGAGATATTGGCACATAGATACATAGATAATGAAAATCTTCTTCTAAATCAAGTTTTTCCATTGTTCTGGGATTATTTTGTGCAAAGAAATTGCCCAAAATATTAGGAAGCCCTTTATTTAACCATCAGTACAAAAAACATAGCCCAACCCTAAGTTGTCATTAGTTTTGATAATCCAACATGTTATCAGTGCCTTTGTGCCTCTACTGCTTCTAGTATTACAAATACTTAACAATAGATTTAACTATTTTATAATTCTGGAACTCTGCTATGTGTTCTTTTTTTAGTCCATTTGCCACAAATACCATACAAGCAATGTGTGTAATTTCATCATTAAAAATTCTTCTAATACTTATCACTGTCTCTTGAGGTAGTTTTCAGTGTAGAGGATACATATAGATTTTTCAGACCAATTTTAGCTTATATTCCCAAAATATTTTAGTCGTACAGATTGAACTCAGGTAGGTATTATCAGCTAGATATTTTGGTATCAAAGCATGAAAACATTTGACATTAAATTTTGAGATGAAGAATAACCTTGAGGAGGAGAGGATGATTGAGAACAGCCTGATGTATTCTTTAAAATTAAAAGCAAATTCAGATGCATCTTCTGCAAGATGTCAAAGAATACCTGAAATAAATTTCTGCAAAAATATTTTTTCTTTCATTAAACTCAGGTTCCTCTTTCTTTAATTTCTTTTTACTTGAACTATACACATATTATCAAAAAGGGCTTATATTTAGTATCCAATTATCGAATAAACAAGTATAGCATTAAATCAATAAATACTTTTAATCCAGTGGAACACCTTGATTTTTACTTCAAAACAAGAAATTGATATTACCTTGGTCATCCTTGCCAAGTTCCTCTTTCCACAAATTTCCCTCTTCACCTCCAATCTCACAAAATGGGGAGCTCTCTTTATTCAGTTGTGTTCTAGACTCTATTTCCACACCTTCAAGAATGTCCTCTACCAGGTATTCCTTCCAACTCCCCTATCTTCAAACTTTTTCATTCTTGGTAACATTCTTCAAGCTCTTCAAGTTTCTCTCCTGTTTTACAAAAATAGATGACAGAGATAGATAGAAAGATAACTAATTATCTTAAAAGAAACACCTTTCTTTAACGTAATATACTTTTAAGTACACCTTGCTGGTTCTGAAGACAGAGGAAGGGGCCACATGCCAAGAAATGCAAATGATGTCTAAAAGCTGAAAAAAATGAAGATTTTTTCTGCAGCCTCCAGAAAGAAATACAGTCTCCCAACACCCTAATTCATTTTAAAATTTACTGGAGTTTATTTTCTAGAGAAGTTTTAGTTTCACAGTCAACTCAGCAGATAGTACAAAAGGTTCCCACAGACCACTTCTCCCCACTTCTCAGTTACCCATGTTACTACCATCTTGCCTTAGTGTAAGACATGTGTTACAATTGATGAACCAAGATTGATAAATTATTATTGAAATCTCACAGTTCACACTAAGGTTTACTCTTTACGTTGTGAATTCTATGGGGTTTGACAAATGTATCCCATGTATTCCTTGATAAAGTATTGTAAAAAATGATTTAACTCCCCTAAAAATGTCCTGTGCTCCATCTAGTCAACTCTCTCCTCCCTTGAAAATCTGGCAACCACAAATCTTTTATTGTCTCTGTAGCATTTTCTAGAATGTCATAGAGTAGAAATCATAGAGTATATAGTCTTTTCAGGCTGCCTCTTTTTACTAAGCAATATTCATTAAATATTCCTCCGTATCTTCATATGGCTTCATAACTTATTTATTTTTACTGCTGAATAATATTGCTGAATAAATTGTATGGTTGTGCCACAATTTATTTACCCATTCACCTCTTGAAAGCTATATTGGTTTCTCTCAGTTTTTAGCAATGATGAATAAACCTGCAATAAATATTCATGTGCAGTTTTGGTGTGGATATATTTTCGACTCATTTGGGTACATACCTAGAAGTACATTTTTAGAGTATATATGTGTGTGTCTATATGGGGGCTAACTATTCTGTTGCATTGATCTACTTGTCTGTTCCTTCGCCAGTGGTCACACTGTCTTGATTATAATAGCTTTATAGTAAGCCTTGAAGTTGAGTACCGTCCATCCTCTTGTTGCTGCATCTTATAAGACTATGTTTAGCTTTGTAAGAAATTACTAAACCATCTTCCAAAATGTCTGTATCATTTTGCATTCCCACCAGCAAAAAATAAGAGTTGCTCCACATCTTTACTAGCATTTGGTACTATCATATATTTTTTTAATTTTAGATAGCGATATCTCATTGTTTTAATTTACAATTCCTTCATGACATATGCTATCACACATCATTTTATAAGCTTATTGCCATCTCCGTATCTTCTTTGGTGGGGTGATGTTTCATGTATTTTGCCCATTTTTAATTGGGTTATTTGTGTCTTTATTGTTGAGTTTTAATAACTCTTTGTATATTTTGAATAACAATATTTTATCAGCTATGTCTTTAGCAAATATCTTCTCCCAGTCTGAGGCTTGTATTCTCATTCTCTTGAAGGTACCTTTTACAGAGCAGGAGTTTTAAATTTTAATAAAGTCCAACTTACCAATTTTTTTCTTTCATGGATCATTCTTTTGGTGTTATATCTAAAAACTCATCACAAAACCACAAGGTCATCTAGATTTTCTCCTACATTATCATCTAGAAGTTTTATAGTTTAGTATTTTCGCTTTAGGTCTGTGATATATTTTGAATTAATTTTGATGAAAGGTATAAGGTCAGTGTCTAGATTTTTTGTTTGTTTGTTTTGCATGTAGAGGACCAATTGTTCTAGCATCATTTGTTGAAAAGGCTATCCTTTCTCCACTGAATCGCCTTTACTCCTGTGTCAAAGATCAGTTGACTATATTTGCTTGTGTCTATTTGGGGGCTAACCAGTCTGCTGCACTGACCTAGTTGTCTACTCTTTCACCAATACCACACTGTCTTATTATAGCTTTATAGTAAGCCTTGAAGTTGAGTACTGTCTGTCCTCCTATTTTCTTTCTTTTTTAATTTTATTTATGTATTTATTTCTTTTGAGATGGAGTCTCACTCTGTCACAAGGCTGGAGTGCAGTGGCACAATCTTGGCTCATTGCAACCTCTGACTCCTGGGTTCAAGCGATTCTCCTGCCTCAGCCTCCCAAGTACCTGGGACTACAAGTGTGCGCCACCATGCCCAGCTAAATTTTATATTTTTCGTAGAGATGGGGTTTCATCATGTTGGCCAGGATGGTCTCAATCTCTTGACCTTGCGATTCACCCACCTTAGCCTCCCAAAGTGCTGGGATTACAGGCGTAAGCCACCGCACCCAGCCTGTCCTCCAACTTTCATTTTCTTCAATATTGCACTGGCTATTCAGAGTTTGTTCCTTTTCAATATAAATTTTAGAATCAGTTTACCAATATCAAAAAGAAAAAAAATAATGGCTGGGATTTTGATAGGAATTGCTTGCATCAGGAGAGAAGGCCCGTTCATCTCACACAGATCCAACCCACCTGCCCTGCTCATCACCAGGCAGGGAACCTCTGGCTTGGACCCACAGCACAGATCCCCCCATCCCAAGCTGATTACACTGAGTGATTGCTGACCTGCATCTCTCTGGGGTGGAGACCCCAGGAGACAAACAAAAGACCCTTGGCACAACCACTACTAAAGTCCCTTCCTCTGCTGCCTCAAAGTTGGGGAGGAAACGTTACCCCAGAGCTGCAGTGGGCAGCCCAGGAGTACCAAGTCATGATCTACAGCCAGCACTCAAGTGGGAGAGGAGCCCACACTTTCAGAGCACTGAGAGCTAGAACTGTGAAGAAACACAGGGGAGCTACACAAGTGACCAAGAATCTATCAGCTGATGACTATGCCTAAGTGCCACCTACTGGATCACATACCAAAGTTTCAATGCCAAAAATACCTCACTAACATACCCCTCTGTGAAACCAAAGACAGGAAATCAGCTACAAATAAAGACCCTGCACAAAGCCTTGGCCCTGTGAAAACATCCAGAAAGGAAGTCTACTGATTATGCCCAATCTACACTGCAGTTAAAGGAACACCCACATGCAGAGATGAGAAAGAACCAATGCAAGAACTCCAGTGACTCAAGTGGCCAGTGTCTTATGTCCTCCAAACAACTGCACTAGTTCTTCAACAAGGGTTCTTAACCAGGATGGGTTGGCTGAAATGAAAGAAATAGAATTCAGAATATGGATAGGAATGAAGATCATTGAGATTCAGGAGAACAGCAAAGGAAATCCAAGGAAACTAAAAATCACCATAAAATGATACAGAATTCACAGACAAAATAGCCAGTATTAAAAGAACCTAACTGATCTGATAGAGCTGAAAAACACATGACAAGAATTTCACAATGTGATGACAAGTATTAACAGTAGAATAGACCAAGCTGAAAAGAATCTCAGAATTTGAAGACTGGTTCTCTGAAATATGACAGTCAGACAAAAATAAATAACAAAAAATGGAAAGGAATCAACAAAAACTCTGAGAAATATGGAATTATGTAAGAGCCCAAATCTGTGAACCAGTAGTATCCCTAAAATGGATGGGGAAAAGGCAAACAACTTGGAAAATATATTTCAGGATATCACCCATGAAAAATTCCTCAACCTCATTAGAGAGGGCAACAGTCAAATTCAGAAAATACAGAGAACCCCTGCAAGATTGCACACAAGAAGATTATCCCCAAGACACATAATCATCAGATGTGCCAAGGTCAAAATGAAAAACAATGTTAAATGCAGCTAGAGAGAAAGGCAGGTCACCTACAAAGGGAAGCCCATCAGGATAATGGCCAACTTCTCAGCAGAAACCCTACTAGCCATAAGAGATTAGGGGTCTGTATTCAACATTCTTAAAGAAAAGAATCTTCAACCAAGAATTTCATATCCAGCCAAACTAAGCTTACTAAGCAAAGGAGAAATAACATCTTTTTCAGAAAAGCAAATGCTGAGGGAGTTTATTACCAAAGACCCACCTTACAAGAGGTCTTGAAAGGCACACTAAATGGAGAGGAAAGACCATTACCAGCTCATATAAAAACACAGTTAAGTACACAGAACAGTGACACTATAAAGCAACCACACAAACAAGCCAGAATAATACCCAGCTAACAACACGGGGACAGGATAAAATCCACACATAACAATACTAGCCTTGAATGAAAGGCATAGAGTGGCAAGCTGGAAAAAAAGCAAAAGCCAATGTTACACTGTCTTCAAGAGACCAGTCTCACCAACAGTGACACCCATAGGCTCAAACTAAAGCAATGGAAGAAAAATCTACCAAGAAAATGGAAATTGGGAAAAAAGCATGGGTTGCAACCCTAATTTCAGATAAAACAGACTTTAAACCAACAGAGATTTTAAAAAAGACAAAGAAGGGCATTACATAATGGCAAAGGCTTCAATTCAACAAGAAGATCTAGCTATTGTAAATATATATGAACCCAACACAGAGCACCAAGATTGGTAAAGCAAGTTCTTAGAGACCTACAAAAAGGCATAGACTTCCACGCCATAATAGTGGGAGATGTCAACACTCCACTGACAGTATTTGACAGATCATCAATGCAGAAAATTAACAAAGATATTCAGGACCTGAACTTAATATTGGACCAAACAGATCTGACAGACCTTTACAGAACTCTCCGAAAAAAATATTTTTTATATAAAAAATATATAAATTCTTCTTATCATCACATAGCACATACTTTAAAATTGACCACACAATTAAACATAAAACAATCCTCAGCAAATGCAAAGAACCAAAATCACACCAACCACACTCAGAACATGACACAATAAAAATAGAAATCAAGGCTAAAAAAAATCACTCAAAACCATGCAATTACATGGAAATTAAACAACCTTCTCTTGAATGACTCTTGGGTAAATAATGAAATTAAGGCAGAAATCAAGAAGTTCTTTGAAACTAATGAGAACAAAGATACAACATATTGGAATCTCTGGTACACAGCTAAGGCAGTGTTAAGAGGGGAATTTATCGCACTAAATGCCCACATCAAAAGTTAGAAAGATCTCAGTTTAACAACCTAACATCACAACTAAAAGAACTAGGGAACAAGGTGCAAACTAACCCCAAAGCTAGCAGAAGAGAAGAAATAACCAAAATCAGAGCCAAACTGAAGAAGAATGAGACAAGATAAGCTATTCAAAACATTAAAGAATCAAAGAGGTTTTTTTGAAAAAAAATTAATAAGATACATAGGTGACATGGTTTGGCTGTGTCCCTACCCAAATCTCATCTTGAGTTCCCATGTGTTGTGGGAGGCACCCAGTGGGAGGTAATTGAATCACAGGGGCAGGTCTTTCCAGTGCTGTTCTTGTGATAGTGAATAAATCTCATGAGATCTGATGGTTTTCAAAAAATGGGTGTCTCCCTGCACAACCTCTCTTTTCTCATCTGCTGCCATTTGAGGTGTGCCTTTCACCTTCTGCCATGATTGTGAGGCCTCTCCAGCCACATGGAACTGTAAGTCCAATAACCTGTGTCTTTTGTAAATTGCCCAGTCTCGGGTATGTCTTTATCAGCAGTGTCAGAACAGACTAATACAATAGGCCACTAGCTAGAGTGATAAAGAAGAAAAGACAGAAAGTGCAAACAAACACAATTAGAAATGATGAAGGGGATGTTACCACTGACTCTACAGAAATACAAATAACCATCAGAGACTACTATGAATACCTCTATGCACACAAACTAGAAAACCTGGAAGAGTTGGATAAATTCCTAGACACATACACCCAAGACTGAAGCAGAAAGAAATTTATTCCCTGAATGCACCAATAATGAGCTCCAAAATTGAATCAGTAATAGTCTACCAACTAAAAAAGCCCAGGACAGATGGATTCAAAACAAAATTCTACCAGATGTACAAAGGAGGTATCAGTCCTACTGAAACTATTCCATAAATTTGAGGAGGAGGGAATCCTCCCCAACTCATTCTATGAGGCCACCATTATCCTGATTCTAAAACCTGGCAGAGACACAACAACAAAAAAGAAAACTTCAGGCCAATATACTTGTTGAACATTGATGAAAAAATGCTCAACAAAATACTTGCAATCCAAATCCAGCAGTACATCAAAAAGCTAATTCACAACAATCAAGTACTCTTTATTCCTGGGATGCAAGTTTGGTTCAACATGTGCAAATCAATAAATGTGATTCATCACGTAAACAGAACTAAAGACAAGAAACACTTGATTATCTCAATAGATGCAGAAAAGGCTTTCAACAAGATTCAAAATCGCTTCATGTTAAAAACTCTCAATAAACTAGGCATTGAAGAAATATAACTGAAAATAACAAGAACCATCTATGACTAACCTGCAGTCAACATCATACTGAAGGGGCAAAAGCTGGGAGCATTCCCCTTGAAAACCAACACAAGACAAGGGTGGCTTCTCTCACCACTTCTATTCAACATAGTTATTGCAAGTCCTGGCCAGAGAGGAGTCAAGAGAAAGAAAGAAAGGCTATCCAAACAGGAAGAGAGAAAGTCAAGCTATCTCTGTTTGAAGATAACATTATTCTATACATAGAAAACCCCATAGTCTCAGCTCAAAAGCTCTATCAACTGATAAACAACTTCAGCAAAGTTTCAGGATACAAAAGCAATGTACAAAAAAAGTAGCATTTCTATACACCATCAACAGCCAAGCCAAGAGCCAAATCAGAAATGCAGTCCCATTCACAATTGCCACAAAAAGAATAAAGTACTTAGGAATACAGCTAGCCAGGGAGGTGAGATATCTCTATAATAACAATTACAAAACACTGCTCAAATAAATCACAGATAACACAAATAAATGGAAAAACATTCCATGCTCATGGATAGGAAGACTCAATATCATTTAAATGGCTACACTGTCCAAAGCAATTTACAGAGTCAATAAAATTTCTATCATACTAGTGATGACATTCTTCACAGAGCTAGAAGAAACTATTTTAAAATTCATTTGGAACCAAAAAGACCAAATAGTCAAGCCAATCCTAAGCAAAAAGAACAAAGCTGGAAGCATCATGTTACCTGACTTCAAACTATATTACAGGGCTATGGTAACCAAAACAGCATGGTACTAGTACAAAAATGGACACAAAGACCAATGGAACAGAATAAAGAGCCCAGAAATAAGGCTGCACACCTATAACCATTTGCTCTTCAACAAAGCTGACAAAAACAAGCAAGGAGGAAAGGACTCCCTGTTCAATAAATTGTGCTGGGATAACTGGTTGGCCATATGCAGAAGATTGAAACTAGACCCCTTCCTTACACTGTACAAAAATCAAATCAAGATGGATTAAAGACTTAAATGTAGAATATAAAACTATAAAAAGCCAGGAAGACAACCTAGGCAATACCATTTTGGATATAGGAACTGGCAAAGATGTCATGATGAACACACCAAAGGCAATTGCAACAAAAGCAAAAATTTACCAATGGAATCTAACTAAACGTAAGAGCCTCTGCACAGCAAAAGAAACAATCAACGGAGTAAACAGGAAACCAAAAGAATTAGAGAAAATATTTGCAAGCTATGCATCTGAAACAGCTCTATAATCCAGCAACTATAAGGAATTTAAACATAATTGCAAGAGAAAACAAACAACCCCGTTAAAAAGTGGCCAAAGGACATGAACAGACACTTTTTAAAAGAAGACATACATGCAGCCAACAAGCATATGGAAAAAAGCTCAGTGTCACTAATCATTAGAGAAATGCACATCAAAACCACAATAAGATGCCAAATCACACCAATCAGGATGGCTATTATTAAAAAGTCAAACAATAACAAATGCTGCCAAGGTTGCAGAGAAAATGCAACATTTATACACTGTTGGTGGGAGTGTAAATTAGTTCAACTATTGTGGAAGACAGTGTGGTGATTCCTCAAAGACTTAGAAACATGAGTACCATTCAACCCAGAAATTCCATTGCTGGGTATATATCCAGTGGAATATTAATCATTCTATTATAAAGATACATGCACGTGTATGTTCATTGCAGCACTATTCACAATAGCAAAGACATAGAATCAACCTAAATGCCCATCAATGATAGACTGGATAAACAAAATGTGGTATATATACACCATGGAATTCTGTGCACCCATTAAAAAAGAATGAGATAATGTCCTTTGCAGAAACATGGGTAAAGCCGGAGGCCATTATCCTTAGCTAACTAATGCAGGAACAGAAAACAAAATACTGCATGTTCTCACTTATAAGTGCGAACTAAATGATGGGAACACATGAACACATAGAAGGAAGTAACACACACCAGAGCCTACTGGAAGTTGAAGGGTGGGAAGAGGCAGAGGATCAGGGAAAATAACTAATAGGTACTAGGCTTAATACCTGGGTGATGAAATAATCTGTACAACCCACCACCATGACACAAGCTTACCTATATAACAGACCTGCATGTGTACTCCTGAATTTAAAATAAAAGTTTTTAAAAGTGGGCAAAGAACATAAACAGACACTTTTTAAAAGCAGACATACATGTGGCCAACAAACATATGAACAAAAGCTCAATATCACTAACCATTAGAGAAATGCAAATCAAAACCACAAGATACCTTCTCAAACCAGTCACAATGGCTGTTACTAAAAAGTCAATAAACAGCAGATGCCTGCAAGTTTGCAGATAAGTTGGAACATGTATACACTGTTGGTGTGTTCGTGGGAGTGTAAATTAGTTCCACCATTGTGGAAAGCAGTGTGGTAATTTCCCAAAGAGCTAAAAACAGAACTACCATTTGACCCAACAATCCCATTACTGGGTATATAGCCAAGGGAATATAAATCATTCTACCATAAAGACACATACACATGTATGTTCACTGCAGCACTATTCACAATAGCAAAGACATGGAATCAACCTAAATGCCCATCAGTGGTAGAGTGGAAAAAGAAAATGGTACATATACATTGTGGAATACTATGCGGTCATACAAAAGTCATAAAAAAGAATGAGATCATGTCCCCGACAAGAACATGGATGGAGCTGGAGGCCATCATTAGCAAACTAATGCAGGAAAAGAAAAACAAATACTGCATGTTCTCACTTATAAGTGGGAGCTAAATAATGAAAACACATGGACACAAAGAGGGGAATAATAGACACTGGGGGCTACTTGAGAGAGTAGTGTGATAGGAGAGAGAGGATCAGAGTACCAGGCTTAGTACTTGGGTGACAAAATAATCTGTACAAAGAACCCCTGTGACTTGGGTTTACCTATGTAAGAAACCAGCACATGTACTTCTGAACCTAAAATAAAGTTTAAAAAAAAAATTGCTTGAGCCTATAGCTCAGGTCGGAAAGAACTGACAACTAAATAATACTGAGTCTTTCTATCCACAAAATGAATATCTATTAATCTATCTTTTTTTATTTCTTTTGTCAGAGTTTTGTAGTTTTTTTTCATAGAGATCTTATAAAAATTTTGTTAGATATTGACATGGCTTGTATCTGTGTCCCCACCCAAATCCTCGTGTTGGATTGTAATTTCCAATGTTGGAGGTGGACCTGGTGGGAGGTGATTGGATCATGGGGGCAAATGTCTCATAAATTGTTTCATATCATCTTTTCGGTACTGTCCTTGTAATAGTGAATGAGTTCTCATGAGCTCTGATTACTTAAAAGCATGTGGCACTTCTCCCCTCCCTCTCTTGCTGTTGCTGTTACCATGTGATATGTCTGCTCCCCCTTCACTTTCTACCATGATTGTAAATTTCCTTAGGCCTCCCCAGAAGTCAAGCAGATACTAGCATCACACTTCCTGGACAGCCTACAGAACCGTGAGCAAATTAAATACTTTTTCTTTATAAATTACCCAGCCTCAGATATTACTTTATAGCAATGTGAGAATAGACTAATATAGATTTATACCTCAAAATTTCACTTTATGATGCTAATGAGATGCTATTAGGTTTTTAATTGCAAATTGCAATTTTTTTATTGCTATTATACAGGAAAACAATTGACTTTTGTATATTAACTTTCCACCCTGCAACTTTGCTATATTCACTTATTGGTTCCAGAAGGGAATTTTTGGCAATTTGGGGGAGATTTCTACATGGACGATTATGTCATTTGCAAACATACAGTTTTATTTCTTCTTTCCCAATCATATACTTTAATCTCCTCTTCCTGTCTTATTGAATTGGCTCAGGCTTTCAGTATGATGTTGAATAACAGTAGTGAGAATAGACGTCTCTGGGTTTTTCTCAGTCTTTGAAAAAAAGCATCTCATTTCTCACCATTAAATATGACATTAGCTGTAAGTTTTTTGTAAACCTTCTTTACTCATTTGAAGAAGTTCCCCTCTATTCCTAGTTTGCTGAGAGTTTGTATCAAGAAAGAATGTTAAATTTTGTCAATTGTTTTCTGCATCTATGGATATAATTATGTGAATTTTTTATGGGACATTAATGTGATTGATTACATTAATTGATTTTCAAATGCTGACACAGTTATGAATACCTGGAGAAAATTTTATTTAATCATAGTTTATAATTCTCTTTTTAGATTATTGGATTTGATTTGCTAATATGTGGTTGAAGATGTCAATATTCATGAGAGATTTCAGTCTATAGTTTCGTTTTGCATAATTTATACAGTTTTGATATAAGGTTAAAGTTGGCCCTATATAATGAATTAGGAATTGTTCATTCTGCTTCCATTTTCTAAAAGATGCTGTAGAAAATTTGTACCATTTCTTTCTTAAATGTTCTGTAGAATTTATGAGGGAAACCATCTGGGCCTGGTGCTTTCCATTTTGAAAGGTTATTAATTATAGATTACATGTTTTTAATGGACATGCACATATTCAAATTATGTAGTTTACCTTGCTGAGGTTTTATAGATTATGACTTCCAAAAAATTGGTCCATCACCTAAGTTATCAAATTTGTGGGCCATAGTGTCATTGATAATATTCTATTATTATCTTGCTAATGTCCATAAGATTAGTAATAATGGCCCTTCTTTCATTTCTGATATTAGTAATTTGTGTCTTCCGTTTGGTTTCTTTGGTGAGCCTAACTAGAGTTTTTTCTATTTCATTGATCTTTTCAAAGAACTACCTTTTGGCTTCATTGATACCATCTATTGTTTTTCTATTTTCGACTTTATTGATATTGCTCTTTTTTCTCTATTTTCCAAAGATGAAAGCTTAGACTATTAATTTTAGGTCTTTCTTCTTGTCTAATAATTCATTTAATGCTATAAATTTCCCTCTTAGTGCTGCTTTTGTTGCATTCCTCAGATTTTTCTTGTTCATTTAGTTCAAAATATTTTTAAAGATTTTTTTGAAATTTCTTTTTCAGACCCATGTGTTATTTAAAAGTGTGTTGTGTAACCTCCAAATAATATTTCACAGCTATCTATCTGTTAGATTTTAGTTCAATTCCATTGTGTTCTAAGAACATACTTTACACAATTTCTGGTCTTCTAAATTTGTTGATGTGTGTTTTATAACTTCAAATGTAGTCTATTTTGGTGAATGTTACACGTGACCTTGAAAAATGTGTGGATTCTGCTGTTGTTAAATGAAATATTCTATAAATGTCAATGAGATCCACTTGATTGATGGTGCTGTTTAGTTCAATTATATCCTTACTAATTTTCTTCCTGCTGTGTCTGTCAATTACAGATAAATGGATGTTGAAGCCTCTAACTAAAATAGCGAACTTGTCTAGTCTCATTGCAGATCTTTCCATTTTTGCCTCCTATATTTTGAGGCTCTCATGGTAGAAGAATATCCATTAAGGATTGTTATGTCTTCTTGTTGAATTAACCCGTTATCTTTATGTAATATCCTTCTTAATTTCTAACAATTTTCTTTGTTCTTAAGTCTGCTTTTTCTGAAATTAATATTGCTACTCGAGCTTTCTTTTGATTTGTGTTAGCAAGGTATATCTTTTTTCATCCCTTTACTTTTAATGCATCTTGTGTTTTATACAGTGCATTTCTTGTCAATAACATATAGTTAAATCTTGTTTTTTTTTGTTTTGTTTTGTTTTTTGAGCTCTGTTGCCCAGGCTGGAGTGCAGTGATGCAAACTCAGCTCACTACAAGCTCCATCTCCCGGGTTCATGCCATTCTACTGCCTCAGCCTCCTCAGTACCTGGGACTACAGGCACCCGCCACCATGCCCAGCTAATTTTTTTTTTTTTTTTTTTTTTTTTTTTTTTTGGTATTTTTAGTAGAGACAGGGTTTCACCATGGTCTCGATCTCCTGACCTAGTGATCCGCCCACCTCGGCCTCCCAAAGTGCTGGGATTACAGGCGTGAGCCACCGTGCCCAGCCAATTAAATCTTGTTTTTTAATTACTCAGTCAATCTCTGTCTTGTAATTGATGTATTCAGACCTTTCACATTTAAAGTAATTGGCCAAGCACAGTGGCTCATGCCTGTAATCCTAGCACTTTGGGAGGCAGGGGCAGGTGGATTGCCTGAGCTCAGGAATTCGAGAAGAGCCTGGGCAACACGGTGAAACCCCATCTCAACCAAAATACAAAAAATTGGCCAGGCATGGTGGTGTGTGCCCGTGGTCCCAGCTAGTCGAGAGGCTGAGGTGGGAGAATTGCTTGAATCTGGGAGGCAGAGGTGGCAGTGAGCCAAGATCATGCCACTACACTCCAGCCTGGGCGACAGTATGACTCCATCTCCAAAAACAAACAAACAAACAAACAAACAAACAAACAAACAAAAGGTAGTTATTGATATAGATTAATTAATATCTACCACATTAGTAACCATAAAAACAGTCATTGCCCTTGTTGCACTTGTTTTTTGCTTTTTTTTAATATTACCCTTTTGTTGTGCCTTTTCTAATTTTAATTGAGCATTTTATATGATTCCATGTTCTCTATTTGCTTAGAATATTATCTGTTTTAAAAATATTTTTAGTGGTCTTTATAGATTTTGCAGTATATATTTACAATTAATATAAGTACACATTCAAATAACAGTATATTAATTCATGTGTAATGCAAGTTACTTTATTGTAGAATACTTCCTATTTCTTTTTCCAGTTTTTTTATATTCCTATTATTTATTTTACTTGCCCATAAGCTATAATCATTCAAAACATCGTTGCTATCATTATTTTGAACCCAGTTATCTATAACACCAATTAGGAATAAGAAAATTAAAAATATTTATTTTACCTTTTTTTATTCCTTTCTTAATGCTCATCATTTTATATATGTATATGTTAAAGTTTCTTAGTAATGTCAATCTTCTTTCTGTAGAACTTTTAACAATTCTTGCAAGGCAGGTCTAGTGATGACAAATTTCTTTTTTTTTTTTTTTTTGTCCTCAGAAAGTTTTTGTTTCTCCTTTGCTTTTAAATATTAATTCCTTTAAACAAAATTTTAAGCTGGTGGGTATTTTTTCTTTCAATATATAAATATTTTACTCCATGATCTTCTTGCTTGCATGGTTTTTGATGACACCTTGATTTTAACTCAGTGAGATACATGTTAGACTTCTAACCTATGAACTATAAGATAATAAATTTGTGTTGTTATGACTCACTAAGTTTGTGGTAATTTGTTTTAACAGCAATAGAAAACTAATATACTAGTTTAGGTCTTCAGTATCTTTTAGCTTAAGCAGAATCTAATTGTTCATTCCCTCTCAAGGTTTATTCTCTTCAAATCCATCTTTAATACTGCTGTCAGAATGATTGATCAAAAACTAAAATTTGACAGAGTCTTCATTTTATTTCCTAAAACTCTGTAAGCTACAAAATAAATACTAAGCATATAACGTGAAAAAGGAAGCCCTCTATGACCTGGCCCCACTCACCTATTTAGCTTCAGTTTTCATCATATACTTACAATTTTGTCTACTCATGATACCAAATTGCTTGTAGCTTCTACTGGAGAAATTTCTTTAGTTTTAAGTAAATGGAAATAAAAGCTGGTTAACTTAAGTAAAAATAGAGTTCACTGAATGGGTTCTAGATTAATTAATGTAAAACTCTTGGAAGACAGGAATCATCTCTCCAGAGAGCTGGCCACAAATGACTCAGCACCAACACCAATTGCCATTGGTTTCCATGTGTCTGCTCAAGGCTTAAATTTCTGGAATAGTCCCGGTGCGGTGGCTCACATCTGTAATCCCAGCACTTTGGGAGGCTGAGGCAGGTGGATCACCTGAGGTTGGGAGTTCGAGTCCAGCCTGGCCAACATGGTGAAACCCTGTCTCTACTAAAAACACAAAAAAATTGGCCGGGCATGGTGGTGGATGCCTGTAATCCCAGCTACTTTGGAGGCTGAGGCAGAAGAATCAGTTGAACCTGGGAGGTGGAGGTTGCAGTGCACCAAGATTACGCCATTGCATTCCAGGCTGGGCGACAAGAGTGAAACTCCATCTCAAAAAAAAAAAAAGAAAAAAGAAAAAAGAAAAAAAAAGAAAAAAAAAGAAATTTCTGGAATAGAGAGGAGTAGAGTCACTTATTTTATATGGAAACTCTCACTTATCTCAAATCTCACTACCTCCATAGGCCAACCATGTGGCCAAGGAGAGTGGGATAGATTAATTATTTCATGCCTTTGATCCAAGAACTACAATCTGTAACGCAAAGGAGAGAGAGTGAAAGCTACTAGGCAAATAAAAATAAAAATTCTATACATATATGTGGTTCATAACTTTATGCCATTACCATCTTTCTTCACCTAGAATAACAGCACCAGGTTCCCTCCTTTCATCTCTAATAATACCTTAGATGTAACCTTATCTCATCCCTGAACTCTTTATATTGACATTCTCTTCATAGATGTCAGTTTCTTCAACTAGGCTTTAAAATGAAGGTTTTTCCACACTGGTTTTGGAAGATTAAGCCTTCCTCTCTCTTTCCCTGTCTACCTCTCTTCTTTCTTCTTTCCTTGCTTGCTTCTTTGCTTCCTTTCTTTCTCTTCATACACAGATACAGTTTCAACCTTGGTCCACTAATGTATAGGTCTGAGGCAAAGAGAATTAGATGTCTTAAAAGTTGTTGAATAGGGATTCAAGTCAATCTCTTCTAGATTTTAAGCTGTCTTAGCTGACATCGGGATTATAAAATCTAGTAATAAAGACACGTGTAATTAAATAAAAACATTAGAGTATACATACTACATAAAAAGCAAATCATAGAATTTCACTCCAATAATAGCTATAAGTTTTTTAATGTTGATATTCATTAAAAATTTAACTAACTGCAACAAAACATTGAGAAAGGCACAATTCATGCTATACTCTCCAGAGAAAACAAAAGTATCTCTTTTACATCTGGACGAACAACCAAAAACATTTATTAAATTATATAAAACATCAGATTTTAAGTCACTGGACTTGAAGCAACAAATTTCAGTGATCCCAGAGAGATAAGAAGCAAATAAAGTGAGCCCAGTAATTGGCCCAATGTGCTGCCTTGAAAGCATATTCCGGTTGCTGCACAGAGAGAAGGGAACCCAGCCAGATCCCACCAGAATCTACAAGTCTAGCAAACAGAGTTGATAGTCCAGGGAACGAGACCAAGGAGGCTAAACATCTAAGGACAGAGTGTCAAACAGAAAAGAGCTGCATCCAGAGGCAACTCTGATGACCTCCAGATGTCTCCGTTGTGTATTCTTGCTGGATACCTGTCAGCGCATGCATGTGAGAAAACTACCCAAAGGTGGGGGAAATTTTCCACTTTACAGAGGCACATACAGTGTCTGTTTCCACCAGACAGATTGAAAAAAACTTCATAATTCATGGAGCATAGAGTAAAATACACAGAGGGTCCCACCTCATTGGTGGGGAATAATAGGCTATAGATTAAGTACTGTTCCAGTCTCACATAACAAAGCTAGAATGCAAGACCTGAATATGTAAAATATCTCAAAAATAACCTGTGTCTCAGAACAAAGCTCAAGAATAAGTATAGAAATACAAAAGTATCCAGCACTCAATAAAGTGAAATTCACAGTAACTGCCAATCAACAAAAAAATTTATAAAGGTATTTAAAATAGCAGAAAAATAAAATCTATAAAGAAGAGGAAAATCCACCTTTCACATGTTTAAAAAGTTGTGTAGATAAATGCAAGATATTAAAAAAAAAGACCCAAATCAAAATGGAATTCTACTTAGCAATACAAAGGAGTAAACTATTGATACATACTACAACATCTATGAATCTCAGAATCATCATGCTGAGTTAAAGAAGCCAAATAGAAAATAGTGCATTCTGTATGCTTCTATTTATGAAAATCTAGTAAATGCAAACTAATCTATAGTGACAGTGGTTGCCTTGGAATGGGAAAGAGGGGAGAATATCGGAAAGGTAGGAAGAAGGGGTCACAAAAGGGCATGGAAAACTTGGGGCAGGGATAGATATATAATTATCTTTATTATGGTGATGGCTTCTTCGCTATACACATATATCAAACTTATCAAATTGTATTCTTTAAATATTTTTCAGTTTTATTGAATGTCAATCAATGTTTAATAAAGCTGTTTAGAAAGCAGTATCCACTGAAGGATACAAAAGATTGCTTTGTGGTTAGACATAATTCTAAATCTACCCTTCCACCACTTCTATTCCAACTCAACCAAGAAGCAGATCAGAGAAAAAAAAATGTCAAGAAGACAAAGACAGAATCCTGGGAAATCTTATTAATACTTCATTTTAGGGAGAAACGTATTGAAGTGCTGATGTTTCTCTCTTGACTCTCCCAAAGGGGTAAGATTCCCAACTAAGGGGCATGGATGTATCTCAGAAGATTAATGAAATATTGGATAAGAGAGAAAGACAGAGGAGTTGAGTTCTCCAAAAAAATTGTACATGGCTTCAGATAATTACCAAGCATCCTACCATGCCTTAGGTTTCAGAAAAATAGGTTAAGCATGCAATACTAAGTAATTTGAAAGATTAAGACGTCTCATATGTGGTGAGAAGCAAGTCAAACAGAGTTTTGGCTCTGACCGTGTTAAACAAGAGCAGTTACAAGAAATGTCAGATATGCAAATTATAACAGCCAAAAGGAAAAAAAGAAAGGAAAAAGGCAAATAAAGGTAGAAGAGGAAGAGAAAAAAAAGAGAAATGATGAGAAATAGTGGGGGAAAATATAACTGCAGAAAATGAAGAGAATTCTCCATGAATACTTTCTTCTGTACCATTACTTAATTAGAATACAAATTTGATATTTTTAAATCCACAGAGATAAAATTATTAAAATACAGAATAAGATTAGAGAGTAATTGTAAAGCTAAGAATACAAGTTGAAGAACACAGTTTTATAATTAAATTTTTAAAAATAGAGAAAAGCTGTTTAAGATTTTTACTTTTGGGCTGAGGATAAAAAATGTATTTGGATTCCTTTTTTACATATTTTTTACTTTTTCATACACACATAAAATTAGTACCATTAAAATGCAACAAGTAATTTTTTTTATAAATTGGAAACAGGCTAGACAAATCCAAAATGCAAAGTGAGACCTAAGAAAAGCACTCAATATAATCACAGTAAATTCATTAAAAATCAAGTGATTAAGACAATTAGAAAGACAATAAAGACATGGAATACAAATATGATCCAACCTAAATATTAATAGTTTTCCTGAATAAGCAATTCGGCAAATGGAACAGAAGAAGTTTTTAATGATATAATACAAGAAAACTTTCTAAAATTAAAGAACTGGATCTGCACTTTATAGGGAGATATTGTATTCCATGGGAAAAAATATATCGTCAATAAAAATGTAGAATGTAATAAATAGTATAAAATTACACTGTACCACCTCAATGCAGGGGAGGAAGATATTAAATTCTACCAATAGAATTGGTGAAGGATTCATGACAGAGATGTCATTTGGGATGTGCCTTGAAACCTAGATTTATTTGGAAAATAATGGTAAAGAAATATGCAACCAAAAATATGAGCAAAAATAAAATGAGAAATTATAAAAATTATTTGAGGAAAATGCCATGAATGGAAGGTTGGCAGAAAGGTAAATGTGGAAGCAGAGCTGAAGAGCAGAACTTACTGGGGAAAAAATTTCACTAACGTGCTAAATCTGGATTTTATTCTGTAAGCAACAAGAAATTGTTAGAATTTTTTAAATCACACTTCCATATATTCCTGAAAAGTAATTTTCAGTAACTGGAATATTTAGCTTTGGAATATTACTACTCCAATGCACAATTCCTTGCCTAAGCCAAGAAGTTTTAATAAAAGCTGTCATTAATATTTCAGATTTAGTACCACTTCATCCTGCCCTACAAAATTGTAGAAGAGCTTAGTCCACCGGTTTTCAACCTGGGACATTTGGCAATGTCTGGAGACATCTGGGATTGTCACATCTGGGAGGATAGTGCATTGGCAACTAGTGAGTAAAGCCAGGTTTGTTGCTGTTTGTTCTATAATGCAAAAGAGAGTCCTCTTACAACAAAGAATTATCAGGCTAAAACGTCAATAGTGTCAAGGTTGAGAAGGCCAGGCCCAAACCTAAGCTAATCAGAAAAATCAAAACAAACATTTACCAATTTTCTCTCAAGATGTCCAGACAGCAGTGTGCAACACTGCTGACTGGTAAGAGGCTCCAAATCCAACTCTTCACCATTCATAGACTCCTAGTCCCAACATAGAAACATCCTTCTACTAGAATTCTGTTCAAAATTCTAGCCTGCCGTGCTACCCATCCTTGATGTCCAAGGACACTGGCCAAGTAAAGTCCCTTTCTATAATCTATCACCTTTTATTTCTTAATCTGATGTAATTCTATACTTCACACCAACTAATTCCCTATTGCTGCCTTTTCAACTCTTCCTTTGTGCCTTCTGGAATCCCATTTCCTTATAAATAATTTTTCTGCATCTTCTACATCTTCATAAATCATTCATATACTTTTCTATAGCTTTCTCAAATGTCCAAAACACCATGAGGGCTTGGAAGAGAGTAGATGGTCATCTTAATTCCTATTTTTGTCTTTTCACACCATAATGTCACTCACTTGCAATTTTTTTTTAGGCCCATGACACCTGGCTACATACTCTCAACATCTCTATCTGCCATTTATTACCCTCTTGGTCATTGATATAGTTTGACTGTGTCCCCACCCAAATCTCATCTTGAATTGTAGCTCCCAAAATTCCCACATATTGTGGGAGGGACCTGGCGGGGGGGTCATTGAATCACGGGGGTGAGTCTTTCCAGTGCAGTTCTCATGATAGTGGTAAGTTTCATAAGATCTGTTTTATAAGGGGGAAGCTGGGTGTGGTGGCTCATGCCTGTAATCCCGGCACTTTGGGAGGCCACGGTGGGTGGATTATGTGAGGTCAGGAGGTTAAGACCAGTCTGACCAACATGGTGAAACCCTGTCTCTACTAAAAATAAGAAAATAAAAATAGCCAGGTATGGTGGCACATGCCTGTAGTCCCAGCTACTCGGAGGCTGAGGCAGGAGAATTCCTTGAACCTGGGAGACAGAGGTTGCCGTGAGCCAAGATTGCACCACTGCCCTCCAGTCTGGGAGACAGAGCAAGAATCCATCTCAAAAAACGAAACTAAATGAAACGAAACGAAACTAAACTAAACTAAACTAAAATAAAATAAAATAAAATAAAATAAAATAATAAAAGGGAGTTCCCTTGCAAATGCTGTCTTGCCTGCCACCATGTAATATGTCCCTTTCCTCTTCCTTCATCTTTGCCACGATTGTGAGGCCTCCCCAGCCATATAGAAATGTGAGTCCATTAAATCTCTTTCCTTTATAAATGACCCAGTCTCAGGTATGTCTTTATTAGCAGTGTGAGAACAGAGTAATGCAGTAAATTGGTACCAGGTTGTGGGGTGCTGCTGTAAAGACACCTGAAAATGTGGAAACGACTTTAGAACTGGGTAACATGCAGAGATTGGAACAGTTTGGAGGGCTCCAAAGTAGATAGGAAAATGTGGGAAAGTCTGGAACTTCATAGAGACTTGGAGAGCTCAGAAGACAGGAAGATGTGGGAAGGTTTGGAACTTCCTAGAGACTTGTTGAATGGAATGGCTGTGACCAAAGTGCTGATTGTGATATGGAAAATAAGGTCCAGGCTGACAAAGCATGCAATACTAAGGTAGTCTCAGATGGAGATGAGGAACTTCTTGAGAACTGGATTAAAGGAAACTCTTGCTATGCAAAGAGAATGGTAGCATGTGCCCCTGCCCTAGAGATCTGTGGAACATTGGACTTAAGAGAGATGATTTAGGGTATCTGGGGGAAAAAATTTCCAAGTGGCAAAGTGTTCAAGAGGACGCAGAGCATAATAGTTTGAAAAATTTGCAGCCTGATGATGCAGTAGGAAAGAAAAACCCATGTTCTGGGGAGAAATTAAAGCTGGCTGCAGAAATCTGCATAAGTAACAAGGAGCCAAATGCTAACAGCCAAGACAATGCATAAAATGTCTGCAGGGCATGTCAGAGACCTTCATGGCAGCCCCTCCTATCACAGGCCCAGAAGCCTAGGAGGAAATAATGGCTTCCTGGGCTGGGTCCAGGGCCCCACTGCTGTGTGCAGCCTTGAGACTTGGTGCCCCGCATCCCAGCTGCTTCAGCTCCAGCCATGGCTAAACAAGATACAGCTCGGGCTGTGGCTTCAGAGGGTGTAAACCCCAACACTTGGGGGCTTCCATGTGGTGTTGAGCCTGAGCATGCACAGAAATCGAGAATTGAGGTTTGTGAACCTCCTCCTAGATTTCAGAGGATGTATGGAAACACCTGGATATACAGGCAAAAGTTTACCGCAAGGGCAGAGCCCTCATGGAGAATCTCTGCTAGGGCAGTTGGAAGTGAAATGTACAGTGGGAGCCCCCACACAGAGTCCCCACTGGTACACTGCCTAGTGGAGCTGTGAGAAGAGGGCCATGGTCTTCCAGACCCCAGAATGGTAGGTCCACTGACAGCTTGTACCATGGGCCTGGAAAAGCTGCAGACACTCAATGCAAGCCCATGAAAGCAGCCAGGACGGGAGCTGTACCCTGCTAAGCCACAGAGGCAGAGCTTCCCAAGCTCATGGGAGCCCACCTCTTGCATCAGCATGCCCTGGATGTGAGACATGGAGTCAAAGGAGATCATTTTGGAACTTTAAGTTTTAATGACTGCCCTATTGGATTTCAGACTTGCATGGAGCCTGTAGCCCCTTTGTTTTGGCCAATTTCTCCCATTTGGAATGGATATATTTACCCAATGCCTGTACCTCCATTGTATTGGAGAAGTAACTGACTTGCTTTTGATTTTAAAGGCTCATAGGTGGAAGGGACTTGCCTTGTCTCTGATAAGACTTTGGAATGTAGACTTTTGAGTTAATGCTGAAGTGAGTTAAGACTTTGGGGCCGGGCGCGGTGGCTCACACCTATAATCCCGGCACTTTGGGAGGCCAAGGCAGGCGGATCACAAGGTCAAGAGTTCGAGACCAGCCTGGCCAACATGGTGAAACCCTGTCTCCACTAAAAATACAAAACTTTAGCTGTGCATGGTGGCATGCACCTGTAGTGCCAGCTACTCAGGAGGCTGAGGCAGGAGAATTGCTTGAACCCAGCAAGCAGAGGTTGCAGTGAGCCAAGATCACGTGTCACTGCACTCCAGCCTAGGCCACAGAGAGACTCTGTCTCAAAAAAAAAAAAAAAAATACTTTGGAGGACCGTTGGGAAGGCATGATTGGTTTTGAAATATGAGGACATGAGATTTGGGAGGGGCTGCAGCAGAATGATATGGTTTGGCTGTGTCCCTATCAAAATCTCATCTTGAATTTGTAGCTCCCATAATCCCCACATGTCATGGGAGGGACCTGGTGGGAGGTAATTGAATCATGGGGGTGGGTCTTTCTTGTGCTGTTCTCATGGTAGTAAGTCTCATGATAGCTGATGGTTTTATTTTTTATTTTATTTTATTTATTTATTTTTGAGACAGAGTCCTGCTCTGTCACCTAGGCTGGAATGCAGTGGCGCACTCTCAGCTCACTGCAAGCTCCGCCTCCCGGGTTCACGCCATTCTCCTGCCTCAGCCTCCCGAGTAGCTGGGACTACAGGTGCCCGCCACCACGCCCGGCTAATTTTTTTTTATTTTTAGTAGAGACGGGGTTTCACTGTGTTAGCCAGGATGGTCTCAATCTCCTGACCTCGTGATCTGCTTGCCTCGGCCTCCCAAAGTGCTGGGATTACAGCCGTGAGCCCCTGCGCCTGGCCGATGGCCGATGGTTTTATAAAGGGGAATTCCCCTGCACAGGCTCTCTTGCCTGCCACCATGTAAGAAGTCCATTTGCTCTTCCTTCGTTTTCCGCCATGATTGTAAGGCTTCCCCAACCATGTGGAACTGTGAGTCCATTAAACCTCTTTCCTTTATAAATTACCCAGTCTCAGTTATGTCTTTATTAGCAGCATGAGAACACACTAACAAAGCCAAATACCCAAATTCATTAAAAACACCAAACCTCGGCCGCGTGCAGTGGTTCAGCCTGTAAATACTAACACTTTGGGAGGCTGAGGCGGGTGGATTATCAGAGGTCAGGAGTTTGAGACCAGCCTGGCCAACATGGTGAAACCCCATCTCTACTAAATATAAAAAATCAGCCGAGCGTGGTGGTGGGCACCTGTAGTCCCAGCTACTCGGGAGGCTGAGGCAAGAGAATCACTTGAACCCAGGAGGCGGAGGTTGCAGTGAGCCGAGATCATGCCACTGCACTCCACACTCCAGCCTGGGCAACAAGAGCGAGACTCCGGGAAAAAAAAAAAAAAAAAAACACCAAACCTTTACTATCCCAAATACAGTCATGGTCGTGAGTAATTCCAAAGTTCATATGAATAATTTACCCAAAACCCTAGTCCCACAGACCTCCTCAATCCCAGTGTCTCTACTAAACTCTCTTTTAGTGCAGTACACAAAAGCACATCACTCTGAACTGTTCCACCTCTGCAAAAAATGACCACAAAATTCAAGACTCCTGTTCTTTACTGCTGCAAGAGCCAGGGTATCTAGGTACATCAGAAACTAACAGTTGCTATGTTAAGAAAAATGAAACACACTATTGAAAGGAAATTGGATAACTAGGGGAATAATCTGGAAGGTTGGAGTGAGGCTCTATAAATGTTAGGACAAAATGAAACTATAGACAGAACAGTAACTGTGATTATACAATTTAATTGATCCAATAAGTATATCACTGCACATTATCAATGCCACTGACGGCTGTGTATTGAAGCTTGATTCAGTGCCACTATCCCCTGAATATTGGAGGTAGCTACTACCTTCGTGAAAATGGATTTTCTATTGACTTCAAGTCTTCGCAAGACTAGTTCTTTATTCAAAATAGAAGGCAAATGTGTTTCATGCCACCACGTCTTGGCACAAAACTCCTCATTACTTTCTTCATCTGTAAAGTTAATTTTTCAAAATCTAACTCAGTGGTCTCCTATGAAGTCTTGTCTGCCCCAACCAACAGAGTTAACCACTTCTGTCTTTGTGTCATCTGTGTATCTAGTACCTCGAATTACAGCATTTTAAATATCTTATTGCAATTATTTACTTGTATCTGCATTTCCTATCAAACAGCCGGTGACTGGAAAGCACAGACCATAATTTACTTTTTAGTGAATTCTCTAATATAGTGCTCAGCACATCATGGGGGCAAGAAAGATTTTAATACTGAGAATATCCTGTCTTTTTCATTTTCACACTAATATTGAGGACTCCCTAGTTTGTTTTATAAAAGATCTTCATATAATTCTTTTTTATGAATGAATGAAGTTGATTTTTGGATAAAGTAAAAATAAAATATTGTAATGTGGACCCAACAGAGCTACTCCTAGGTATAGGCAGAGTAGGTTTGGGCTTAAGGCCACCTACCTTGGATATCACCTCTACTCACTTTGGAGATAGCCACTGGATTCTGAAAAAGTTCCTATTCTAATACAAATGTTGACACATATAGTCCTTAGGTTATTAGATTAATGTAGAGCAGAACAGGGTGTGAGGAGTGGAATCAGAAAGAGAAAAGGAAGACAGAAAAGCTCTGGGGCTTGAGTCCTGCAAGGAAAAGAGAGGTGAATGTGTACCCAATGCGGAGACCTATGGCTCTAAAAGGTATTGGGTGTTTAACAAAATGCTCAGGTTTAACTTCATCTATGTCACAATGTTCCTTGATCTAGTCAATTCTGACTGAAGGTAAGTGCCTTTCGGAAGCCTACAAAACAAATTCCAACCAGTTTCCTTAATCTCTGAAGTGAGAACACATTTACATTTTGAATGTTAGCATAATAATTTCTGTTTTCCAGGTTGCTTTTTTTTTTTTTGAGACGGAGTTTAGCTCTTGTTGCCCAGGCTGGAGTGCAATGGTCTGCCTCCAGGGTTGAAGCAATTCTCCTGCCTCAGCCTCCCAAGTAGCTGGAATTACAGGTGCATGCCACCACACCCAACTAATATTTGTATTTTTAATAGAGACGGAGTTTCACCGTGTTGGCCAGGCTGGTCTCGAACTCCTGACTGACATCAGGTGATCCGCCGGCTTTGGCCTCCCAAAGTGCTGGAATTACAAGTGTGAGCCACCGTGCCCAGCCCAGGTTGCTTTTTAAATAAAACATAGAATAATACTAAGAAATGTTTATAATTTAGAGTGAAAATAGAGAAGCATAGTATATTTTATAGTTGGGATGAAAATAAAAATACAGAAAGAATATGAAATTGAGATTTCAAACCGTGGCATAAGTTGGACTTGTGACTGTAACGGTCTAGTTTTGAAAAGAAATCATGTGTTAAGCACTCCTCAAGGTTAAATTCTCAGTACTCTCAGTCACTCTCAGTTCTCTACATGTTGTAAACTATAATAACAGAAAAACAGAAGTGAAAACTACACAGAAAGCTTTAAAAATATTAACTATCTTTCTATCTTTGGCACTCAACTTGCTCTTACAATAATGAAAAACTTCCCCTCACCACCCCCCAAAAAAACTGATGGAAGTCTTTAAATCCTAATTACTTTCTGGTTTTTGGTATCCACAGTGGGTACCTGAATAAACATAGAAATTATGAAGCTTTGACATCCCTACCCCCTAAAAAATCAGTTGATGAGCACACTTCATGCAGAACTACAAATAATGAACAGAAACTGGAAGACTTACTATCAGAAGATCACTACTTAAACCTAGAGATAATGAAAACAGAGGCCAGGACCTGCTTTGTAAAATAGACATAAATACATTTTATGCTTACAAAATATCTTGGCTGGATAAATTTTTGTTTATGTTTCCATTTATTTCATAATGACAAAAAAGAGTAGATTTTTATAGACATTAACATAGAATATGGGGATATAAGTTTTAAAGCATAAAATAAATAAACTTTTATAATGATTTAACCAAAATATACAGTCAGGTGCAGTGGCTCACTCCTGTAATCCCAGAACTCTGGGAAGCCGAGGCAGGCAGATTGCTTGAACTTGGGGGTTTGAGACCAGCCTGAGCAACAGATCAAAACCCCATCTCTACAAAAAATACAACAACAACAAAAAAATTTAGCCAGATGTGGTGATGTATACCTGATTACACCACTGCCCTCCAGCCCGGGTGACAGAATGAGATCCTGAGATCAGGTCTCAAAAATATATATATATGTAAATAAATATGTATATTTATGTTTCTATAAATATTGATATTTATACATCTATATGTAAATAAATATGTATATTTTATACATATCTATATATAGATAGCTAGATATCTCTATGAGAGAGAAATTTTATATATTTTATATATATTTTATGTATGTCTATATACAGATAGCTAGATATCTATATATAAACATTATATATTATATATAGACATATAGAGAGGAAATATATATTTATATAGAGATAGATAGCTAGATATCTACATATAGATAAATATTATATATTGTATATACATCTGTATATATATAGATAGCTAGATATCTCTCTATATATAGAGAGGGAGAAAGAGAGAGAGAAAATAAGTTTAGCATTTAGAGGGATAGGGGTCTGTAAGCTCATATAATCCAGTTGTCCCACTGTAAAGAAGAAAATCAAGGCCCAGAAGGAATGCCACCTGTGCAGCGTCACCTAGTTGTGAATGAGTGCTGAGTAGAGAAATCTGGAATTCCAGACTCGTGCTTTTAAGTCAGGCAAACTATGATGCGTGGCTTAAATTGAATTTGCTGGTTGATTTTGTTAGGGCTGAATGACTTATATACATTTAGTGGTTAAAAATATTTAAAAAGAATAATTTTCACTACAACAGTAGGGTGGAGTAGCTGTGACAATGATTGCACTACCTACCATGCCAAAAAAATACCATCTGGCCTTTGACAGAAAATGTTTGTTGACCAATGACTTAAGAAACGGGTTTAAAAATTAAATCCTGAAGCCTGCTTTCTACATTCACCAAAAAATAACCTGTACAAAATTTCTCATTTGTCAAACTCAGATTTTTTTTAAAGCGTATTCAGAAAGCCCGTCCCAGAGGCTGGAGCTAAAGGGTGTTTCTGAATTTTAGTTAGCCCTGGCTACTTTAGAAACAAGAATTCAATCACCTTTTTCTTGGTGCTCTATCATACTTAACAGCCATACTCCTCACAAGTGTTTCTTGTTCTCCAGTATCAACCGCCTCTTTTGGTTTATTTTAGCTCTGTGCCACTTCAAAACTTGACTTTTGATGTGGTCCCACACAGGCACCTTAGTCTAAACTCAGCTTTCATGGCCTGTTTGGAGTAGCAAATCTGATTAGCTAAGTTGATTCCTGAGGCATTAACCTGATTACTCAAAAATGTATCTGCTTAGCTTTACTCATCCTTTATTCTAGCTAACTGGCTGCTGGCAAATCTGTGATTTGGCTTCTCTAAGATCAAGAATTCCTTCATTCCAACCATTCCTGATTCAGAAGATGGCAGCCTGGGAAGAAGCAGCCCCCATCAGGGGCTAGCCCAGTGATGTTTCCTTTAGAAGAAGCTGTGTTTGGGGCACCATCGCCCAAAATAGTTCTTCTTGGTTTCCATATGTAATACTTTTCTCTACAGCTAGATTTGAAATCCCTTAAGGGAAAAAAAATACTTCTACTTTTATATCCATGGTTGTTCTTGATAAATCTTATTTAAGGATGCTTAGAATAAGTTGTGGCCTGAATGATCAGTCTACCAACTAGTATAACAAATAAATCAACAGACTTTAAATTGTTCAAGACCAAAATATAAAAAACAAACAACTGCAAAAATGTATTAGGTTTTTTTAAGTAAAATGTGATTTGTGTGTATGTGTGTTTCCTGAATAGCTAGATATTCAAATCAGCTCTCTAGTTCAGTTGAAGAGATTTTGACTTTAATTTTTCATATTAAATGTATTAATATAGTTTCAATAATAAATAGTTTAATAAAGCATAAAAACTTATTAATATAGAGTTTAATCCCAGAGAAAAACAGGGAACCTAGAAATAAGTTAAAAATAAAATAAAGTCAGGGGAATATTTGCATATTAATGACTAAATTTTTTTCCTCAAGGTAAGAATGAGAATAGAAAGAAACTGCCTACCTGGGCTTCTCTCATACAATGTCCCCAAATTTGATAATCCTTAAGTTTGGTGGCCCTGAATCTAAAGCTTTTCTTTAAAATCCCAGCTTTTAATATCAGTGAATGGTTGCAAAATGCAATAATACTTTATAGTGTAACTTGACAAAGAATCATTGGCTAATGCAATGCTCTTTTTTCTTTCACAAAATTGGTGACAACCACAATCCAGAATTTATAACAGATAAGAGTCTCATCTGTTAAAACATTGAGGGAAAAATTTCAGGTACCATTTCCACCATTCAGGATTAAACTTTTATTTCAAGTTAAAAGCAAAATACAATTTTATAATATTGTATATTTATTGTCTCCCCAAAGCCTATTCTTTTAAAAAATCTATTTAATGAAAAACATAGTGTAACTTAATTCAAGCTCATTTAGGACTTCATATTTGTACTCTACAAATAAAATTCAAGACAGTGGTAGCAAAAGCATAATAAAAATCTAAATTCAGCTCTTTCAAAAATATTATATATATATATGCTCAGCAAAGAAACAAAGGCAAATAAGTAACTATATATATGATGATGAATTTTTAAAATTAATTTAGATAACCAGAATAATAGTAAATGGTCACACACAATGTTACAGATTTGAAATAGAGAATGCACTCATGTATGTTATAAATAATAAAATTGATTTTCTTTTAAAAGTACATTAAAATAGGTGACAATAGTGATTATATATCTATTCCATAATATCAGTTAAATGTATCCATCTCCCTCTGACATATAAATAACACAATATAGCATTATTCTTCCTAAAAGAAACTGACTATATGAAAGTTCAACATATGGGGAAATAATAACATGCCTACAAAAGTAAAGAAGCTCTTATGATATGACATTAAATTCTAGATCTAAAGTTGTTCTGGGAATAGTTATTTACACTGCTGGTAAATTTCATATTAGAGGTCCTAGTCTATTGAGTACTTTCCTCCTATTCCCATCATAAAAAAAAAACACACACATAAAACAAACATTTCTCTAAATACAAAAATCCTGTCCTGGACTTCTAATATCTCTGTGTTTAAAGTCCCCACAAACTGCCTCTACCTGTAATGAAATATCTATATATATTCATAGTTATCTAATAATTTATACCATTATTCTGATAGCTTTATTTTATTATAAATTTTGTAAGAAAGAGTTTAAAATTGATTTGTTCCATAAGAAGAGTTGGTATCTTCTGGATGATTTGGATACAGAAAGTCTGTGTGAGTGGATCATAAAATAGTATTTTATTAAAGGCAACCGTATTTTAATGCTGACTTGGACACAAATTATTTAAATCATTTAATTTTTTATTTGTCATACATTTATCTTAATGTTAACATAATATAATATGCTACAAAAGACTGTGTGCTACATTGCTGGCCAATCAAATCCTGTCCTTATTATGTAAATTTGGTATTATAATTGGCCATCTGCCACCTCTATTCCCCACTTTTCTTCTGCAATATTACTATGTATAGGAATAGCCCAATATCAACATAGTTAACCAGGAAACTTGTCTTAGTCCTCTCCACACACATGTCAATAAATAGCTCAACATCTGTATAAGATATATGGAAATATTCTACTAATATGGACGTTTATGTATTATATATGTGTGTGTGAATCATTTCATTGAGTATTATAAAATATCAACTTTAGAAGTTCTTCCCCTCTACATATACTTGTCCTCCCACATATTTGAAATAATTCAAAATATGTGACTTAATTTTTGTGATTATTAAGTCCTATCAATGAAAGAGAATCTCAAGTCACACTAGAAGAAAAACATATTGCAAGTAGTTTGTATATAAATAAGAATTGTGAGTATATTGAAGTTGGTAAGTTTTTTTATTACATGCAGCCAGGCACAGTGGCTCACGCCTGTAATCCTACCCTTTTGGGAGGTCAAGGTGGGTTGATCCCTTGAGTCAAAGAATTTAAGACCAGTCTGGGTGACACAGTGAGATCTCATCTCTAAAAAAAAATACAAAACTTAGCTAAGCGTGGTGGCAAGTGTCTGTAGCCCCAGACATGGGAGGCTGAGAAGAGAGAATCACTTGACCCTAAGAGGCTTAGGTTGCAGTGAGCCAGTATCACACCATTGCACTCTAGCCTGGGTGACAGAGTGAGACTCTATTTCAAAAAAAAAAATATATATATATATATAATATATATTGTATATATAATTTTATATATATAATATATATTATATATATATAATTTTATATATATATAATATATATTATATATATAATTTTATATATATATAAAAGATTTTACCTGCCTACTGTCTTCCACTGAAGTAGCAAGTGAAAGAAACAGCTACTATCCTTTTATTCCCAATATAAATTCTTGCTCATTCTGTGCAAGGGAGGAGATGTGATAAATACATTCTTTTTTCAGAGAGCAAAAACTTACGTCCTTCCCAGTTACACAAATTGGCAGTGAAGTAGAATAAAATGAAGGATCCACCATGTTGCTTTCGCTTTCACCATTAGCATTAAGTTAACAGTTGCCTGCTTTTAGGAAGGTCAAATACTAGAAAATTAAATAAGCTAGGGATGAGAAAAATTTAAAATTCACCCCAGACCTGCATGAAATCTGGCTGAATATATTCTGACTGGTTATTTTGTTTAACACATTATTTACTGTGAAACACACGGAGTCTCTGGGAAACTCCATTTCAGTTCTAAAATAAATGTAACAGTACTAGTACCCATAGAATTTTAAAATTTCCAAGTTATGTGTCACAAACTTTGTAATTTTTAGGTACAAGGGATTAGAGGAGAATGTTAAAAATCAAGAGATAGCTGGGCATGGTGGCTCACACCTATAGTCCCAGCACTTTGGGAGGCTGAGATAGGAGGATCACTTGAGGCCAAGAGTTGGAGACTAGCCTGGGCAACATGGTGAAACCCCATCTCTACTAAAAATACAAAAATTAGCCAGGTATGCTGGCACAGGCCTGTAGTCCCAGCTACTCAGGAGCCTATGGCAAGAGAATTGCTTGAACCCGGGATGGGGAGGTTGCAGTGAGCTGAGATCACACCACTGCATTCCAGCCTGGGTGACAGAGCAAGACTCTGTCTCAAAAAAAAAAAAAAAAAAAAAAAAAAAATCAAGAGACAAGAAAAAATATGGGGAGAGTGGGAAAATAAGGCAAAATCAGGGAAACTATTTTCCATTATGACAACCAATCAATCATAAACTTTCATTGAAATTCTCCTTAATAGACTAAAACACAATGTTTTTGTTTGGATATACCTGTATTTATTTATTTATTTGTTTGTTTGTTTGTTTATTTATTTATTTTTGGTGACAAGTAGTTTTCCTGCTAGATAACTATGATCTTTACTCACGTAACTCTTTCCCAAACTCATAGATTTCTATCATAGAGATATGGGCCTTGGGAAATTCTCTTCTTTTTCAAGTACGTTTGGCAAAGCAATGGGCACAATGCTTTTTCTCTGTCCTTCTAACCTCATTTTTGCCTTCTAACCTCGTTTTGCAAAAGCAACATGGTGGATCCTACATTTGACAAAGGCATGGGCACAGTGCTTTTTCTCTGTCTAGCCTCATTTTGCCATGTCCTGGCCATCTTCATGTCAAAGTATTCATGTCCATTCTCAAAACAATGAATAAATAAAGCTGTCTTAACATTATAAATTAAATCTACTGTCCATATATTTTTTAGCCAAATACTCTGCATAAAGTTTTGAAGTTATATACATTGCATTTTTCAAAAAATGATTTTCAAAGGATCATACGTTGTTTTCTCTGGATCCTGAAATTTGTACAATTTACTGATATTTCCCGTGATATGTGTTTGACTTGTGAATTGGAGCCTACTACTCCGAGTGGGTTGCCCTGTGAATGTGGACCCGCACAGGATCTAGCCCAAGATTCATGTAGAGGGGCTCTACTGGGATTTAGTGCACCTTTGAGCAAAAATATCAAAGTACAAAGTGTGGAGGCTATTGGCCCATTGTGGCCTGTGGGGGTAGTGAGAAGTCATTGTGGAAATCCTCAAAGACGAAAATCTATTTTGTGTTGTGATTAAATCACAGGAGGATACACTAACCTAATGTGCCCAATGGCAGCTCCTGGCCCATATCACAGTTCTAGAACCTGGGTGAGGTACTGTGCAAAGATTTTTATTCTAGAAATCAAATGGTTGATTCTAGGCTTTACTTTTTAGACAAAGGTATCATCTCTGACAATGTAGATAGACTCTCTGAGCTCTAGTCTTTTTATTCACAAAATAAAAACTATACCTGGGCCATGAAGTGGCTGTGAGGTCTTAAGCAAAGTCATGTAAAGAAGTTCACACACAGCAAGTGCCTATAGATAGTGCTAACCCCTCTTTTTTCCCCTTAAAGCATTTCCCTAGAGGGGCTTATGAAAAATTCCAGGGCCGGTTCACATTTGCAAGAGACAGAGAAAGAAGCTCATTAAAAAACAAATCCCTGCTTCTTAACGAATGGCATAATATGGTAGGAGGATACACACCAAAGGTGGTGTGGACTCATGATGGAGGGCCATATAACTCGCTGTGATTATTCATTGTGAGGCATGGAGTCATTGGAGCTAAGTCTGGGGCGGGTGATCATTTACCTGAGAGCAGTATTGAAAGGTAATAAAAGAGGAAGTAATCAGATCAGATTCAGATTTTAGATAGATAATTCTGGTAGCAAAATAGTTCATAAATTGGGGAATGGAAGCAAGAGTGAAAGTGGAAAGCACAAAGCTGTTTGTTTGTTTGTTCATTTGTTTTTGAGTCTGCCTCTGTCACCCTGGCTGGAGTACAGTGGAGTCATTTCCGCTCACTGCACTCTCTGCCTCACAGGTTCAAGCGATTCAGGTGCTTCAGCCACCAGAGTAGCTGGGATTACAGGTGTGCACCACTATGCCTGGTTAATTTATGTGTTTTTCGTAGAGACGGGGTTTTGCCATGTTGGCCAGTCTGGTCTCGAACTCCTGGGCTCAAGCAATCCGCTGGCCTTGGCCTCCCAAAGTGCTGGGATTACAGACAGAAGCCACCGTGCCTGGCCTAAAAAGCACAGAGTTTAATAGTTCTCTTGAAGAATACCAAGAGCCTGAATGAGAACAATGACAAAAGGGCAGACAGACAGATAGAAAGTAACATCAGCACTTGCTTTCTAGTCCTGTGGAATAAAAGGCATAAGGAACATAGGAAGAGAAGTTTTGAAGGAAAAGAGAAAAGATATCACTGAAGACTGAAAAAAGCCAATGTTTTTCATCCCACCCACCTTGTTTAGGTGATCCATCCTTCCTTCCTTCTTTCCTTCCTTCCTTCCTTCCTTCCTTCCTTTCTTCCTTCCTTCCTTCCTTCCTTCCTTCCTTTTGTTTCTTTCTTTCTTTTTTGTGGGAGAACAAAATTGTCGGGCACAATTTTGGTTCATTGCAACCTCCGCCTCCCGAGTTCAAGTGATTCTCCTGCCTCAGCCTCCTGAGTAGCTGGGATTACAAGCACGTGCCACCACGCCTGACTAATTTTTAGTAGAGACCAGAGTCTCGCCATGTTGCCAAGGCTGGTCTTGAATTCCTGGCCTCAAGTGGTCCTCCCACTTTGGCCTCCCAAAATGCTGGGATTACAGGTGTGAGCCACTGTGCCCGGTTGGTTTAGGTTAAATTCAGATTTTAAACATTTCTTGTTTACAAACAGAAAATAATAGCTCAAGACTTTAGAGATTATAGTTTCTTCAATATTTAAGGGGTATTATATATGTCAATAATTAATGAAAACAATATTAAAATAATATGGTGTTAGGCTATGGATAAAATATTCATGTATTCTGGCCCTAAAACCAAAATATGTGGTTTGATAATAGACTGTTTTTCTTCTTTCTCATTTGTGAAGTTAATTACACAAAAATAATTCAAAAGGGAATTACCTTTTGAATTACCTTTATTTTAAAAAGAACATTTTTATGAAATCTAAACTGCACTGGAAACTAACCATAGAAGAATTGATCACTTAAACTTAAAAAACACATTTCAGCATAATTTTAGTCATAAAACCTTCAACCATTTTATGAAAAAATATCTGTGTTTTTCTGGGACTGAGCTAAACTTCATTATCATCACTGTCTATTTGAACCCTACAGTTTGAAAATAACAGTGTGATTCAACATGCTAATGTATGTTATCTCTTAAGACCAGTTCAGATATTAATGTTATTAGCCAGTGAATTAGTCTCTTTCCATACCTAGTCTAGGCGTTAAGGATCCAGGTGCTGCTTGTACCACTCTGATGCCACTTGGTCCACAGTGGCTTTGGGTGAGTAATACAAAATTTTTGTTCTAATTTTATTTGCTTCTTTTTTTCTTCCTAGAGAAACGTGGAAATCCATACAATGTCATTTTTCATTTTAGAAGCTGTAACCTAATTGCACATGGCTTGTCCTGCTAGTCTATATGTCTTCATATATTTTGAACTGTTTGTTTTGTTTGTTTGTTTGTTTGTTTTGAGATGGAGTCTCGCTCTGTCACCCAGGCTGGAGTGCAGTGGTGCAATCTCGACTCACTGCAAGCTCCACCTCCCGGGTTCACGCCTTTCTTCTGCCTCAGCCTCCCAAGTAGCTGGGACTACAGGCGCCTGCCACCACACCTGGCTAATTTTTTGTATTTTTAGTAGAGACGGGGTTTCACCATGTTAGCCAGGATGGTCTCAATCTCCTGACCTTGTGATCTGCCCACCTCGGCCTCCCAAAATGCTGGGATTACAGGCTTGAACTGTATTTTAATGTATGGCCAGTCCCAGATTTTATTAAAATATTTAAAGAATTATACTACAATATATTGTAATATTTTCCACATGTCAATTTTGTTTCTACTATAGTAGACACACAGAAATACCTAAAACCTGGGCAAATTAAAACGTAGGTCTATCAGCTTTTAATTTCAGTAGTTACATAGGAAAGCTTACATGCACAATTAACCTCTGTCATTGAACCATGACCATGTCATTTAAGTTGACCATAATTGCATCATGTGGTTTCACTGATATTCTTAGAAATTTTTAAGGAGTATATGAGATGACAAAATAATCCTCAGAAACTCTTCAAATAAAAACTTCCTACCATAGGAAAGTCAATGCTTAAGATGACTCTATTGCACTAATTTTAATAACATGCATGATTACCATTTTTTTAAAATTTTATCATTAAAAAATTTTAAGATGCCTCTTTCCCATGCAATGAATTCAAATACTCTCAACAGTTATCCTGGGCAACAAAATTTGTTCTACTGAGTTATATTATTTTATTCCAAGTCCCACTGAAAATAAAATTGATCATGCAGCTGAGTTATGGTCACTATAATTTGCTTCTTACAGTTATATCTTAAATGTCATCCATACTGTCTCAAATATAAATTACAGGATAACTCTTTGTTCCTTCTTCTCTGCCCTTATTTTACTATTGCTTAAAACTTTCAAATAATCACACTCATTTATTTAAAGCTTTGGGGTTTAATATAAAGCAGAAAACCAAACCACATAACCACAATGACACTAATTCAATGGGTCATTGAATTGCTAGCTTTGCCAGAGAAGAGAATCTTCAATGAACCACATTTGGCATGTCTTTTGCAAGAGTTTCTTTGAAAATGGAAAATAATATTTGCATGTCATGTTTTAATGACATATAGAAAAATCTAGAGTGATAATGAATTTTTCACTCTACGCAAAATTTCAAAGTAGAACTCCTTAAAATCACTTTATTGTATATAGAATAAAATTTCATTTGTAAAAAAATCAATTTCTGCACATTTTCAGAAATATGTCTATTATAAAAATGAGATAAAGTTATAACTGAGTAGCAGTTGAGATGTGACAACAATTTGGTTATCACATATAGTCTGGTTGATTAGACTGTTTGGCTCTATTTGGCTTGTATAATCATGATAGAAAAGGAGTTAAAAGGAACTCAAAAAAATTAAAAAATTAAAGAAAAGAAATGCTGAGGTTTCAACCCTTGAATTTTGAGGAAGCGTTAGAATTGTAGTATCATTGACAGGGTGGGCAAGTCATAGAGAGAGTTTCACTTTTTGGGAAAATGCCATAAGTTTGATTTGTGTCATACATTCAACAAAGAATGTTTAACAGGCAGTTCAAAATAATAAGTACCACTAAATAATGCTTTAAATTTAACAAAGTACTTTTGTAGTTGTCATCTCATTCGATCTTCACAAAAACGCTATGAGTTGATAGGACAAATCTTATCATAATTGAATTCATTTCATAAATAGATTTAGGAATGGAAACAATAGATTTGAGGAAAACACAAAATATTTCAACCCTGGTGCTTTTACAGCTTTTGATACTTTGAATCTCTATTTATAAAAATAAGTATTTTATCCCAGCCTGGGCAACAAAGCAAGGTCCCATCTCTACAAAAAATACAAAATTCAGCAGGGTGTGGTGGTGAGCACCTGTAATCCCTGCTATTTGGAAGGCTGAAGTGGAAGGATCAGTTGAGCCCAGGAGGCTGAGGCTGCAGTGAGCTATGATCAGTCCACTGGACTCCAGCCTGGGTGACAGAGCAAGCGCCTATCTAAAACAATTTTTTAATAAGATAAAATAATTTATCATTATTGAAATATTTATAAACTTTATTGGAAGGTTATTTAGAGTAAATCCATGAACCAATTTAATCCAATGGTCAACTTCTTACAGACTATAGTTAAATAATTTCCTCTTGTCAATTACCATTTTTCTTTTACTGAAAATATTTTAATTTTGATCAGTAAATTTTATGACAGAAAGCTGATTAATCAATCAGTTTTGCTCATATAAAGATGTCTTAATGTTTAGACTTTCTGATTGCTTGCTTTTGGTGATTATTCTACTAAGACAAATTTTCCTGGATAGAACATTATAGATGAATATTTCAATAAGATCTTATACTATATCCAATTTTATTTAGTCACATTTTATTTCTTGTGCAGTTATAGTCCTTCTGTTTTATTTGGTGTTGATTATTCCTAGCGATTTCATTTATTAGGGTTCACCCAACCAAAACACTGTTGGGGTTAAAATGGTAGCGTCAAAACCGAGATTGCTTTGAATTGGGTGCTATCTGCATTTAGTGGGTACTTACTGCAAAATCTGAAGTAATACTCATTTTAGGAAGCAAAATGAAAAAGATGAAACAGAAAAGGATTTTGGATCACTAAAATTTAAGCCTCATATATGGGAATCTCTAGCAACCAATATTTCTTCAACAGATTATATTTTCTACATCATTGCACTTCTTTTATGCTAAGAGGTAATGAGTGAAACTTACCATCTCAGACCAATTGGCATGGGGCAGAAGTCCTGAATTGAATGAGATAGAAGAAATCATTTCATTGGTATAAAGAATTTCAGATGAAATTTTTAACATTGAAAAATAGATGGAACACAAGAAGTAGATGCAACCAGATGGGATTTCAAAAGTACCCACTTGGATTGGTGAGCAAAATAACTTGGCAATAACTGTATTCAAGTTTTGTTAAGCCACCACTGAAAACGTTTAATACCCTAGACTACTTTCTTCACCTTTTCAAATAGAGTAATTCCATCCCTTTTCAAAGAAGAGCTCCCATTCTTTAGCAACAATAATGAAATTTGTATTTAATATATGGAGATATTAAGGCATTAAGGTGATTAGGGCGACACCATGAGAAAATAAACCCTTTACTCAGAAAAACTAGAGGGGTAAGAGTTTTAGAGTTACAAGTTTTAGAGTCAGACATGTACATTCAAATGCTTTCTCAACCACGTGAATCTCTTATGCAAGTTACTGTCTCCTTCAAGTCCTCAATTTCCCCATTTATAACTTGGAGATGATCATAGTTCTTATTTCATAGGTTTTTGTGAGGATTAAGGATGATAGTACAGAATATTTAGGCCAGGTTAAGCAACACATTAGATATTTAGTGAATATTATTTAACTAAAGTATACAATAATACATGTTTTTAAAGTTTTTTATATGTTCAAAGGACTATGATGTAAAAGTTTTACAGTAAATCGTGACTGTTATTATTATAGCATCACTCTCTGTTAGTATAAACATGGACTATAGAATCTAGAAAATGGTGTTATAAAATACCACCATCCTACATGCTACAAAAATATGTCATTTTAAAAATACACTTGTGAAGGGAAACCATAAAGATTTTTACACAAACATCTTCTAATAGAAATGATTTTGTGTTTTAGCTTTGTCAACATACAGCAAGTGATATCAAATATTTCCTACATTGTGTTTTAAATTCAATTTCAATTTCAAATTATCATTCTGAACTGTATATAAGATTTTACAAAGTAAATCTTTTTATATTCATTTTTGTAAATTATACTATATGTATTATCTCTACAGGCCTTTAGAAGGATTTTTGCTATTTGTAAGTGAAGTAAATTTTCAAGCTCTTTTGCCTAGAGTAGAATCTTAGTTTCATAGTAAAGTACAGAATATTTCTTAGCCTTTATGTACACAGAGAATTGTTTTAAAATCAAGAGAAACAAATTATGATGACAACATGCTGAAGAAGAAAATTAAAGCTTTACAGGAATCAACCTAATCTTACACTTTCTATATTAATCCATTGTACTCTTGAATAATTGTAAATAGATATCAGAATTACAGCCAAATTTAAGAAGCCCTAAGTTTTTAATTATTCCTCAAAGAGTAATTACATTGCTTGTGAAATATCAGTGCCTCATAAATATATTTTTAAATAGATCAAGGTGATAAAGAATGCATAAAGTAAGAAGGGGAAAAATAAACTAATGAAATAGACAATTGTATTTGAAGTAGTCATTTCTAATTACAGAAAACCTTCATTGATATCTTCTACCATTAGAGAAACCAAACAGAATTAAGTAAAACACAAACCATATACTCTAATAAGAAATGCAGATTTATTATTTTCAAATTCACAGTGTACATTTAGCTGCTAATAAAAGCACTTCTAAGTAACAGTCTTTCATTGCGTGCTTTAATAAATAGGTGGGAATCATTTGAAATTAGACCCATTTGTATCACACAACGTGTTAAAATCTTTAAAAACGGCTTGGTTAAAAGCCTCAAGCAATCTTGTTTACACTATTAGCAAATCCTTGCTTCATAGATCATACAAAAGTAAATTTCAGCCTTGCCTAGTTCAAATTATCATAAATTCTGAATTATATTCAGCATTTTAAAGCTGGAAGGGACCTCAGAGATCTTCCAGTGAAGTCTACAATAATGAGATTTTCCTGGCTGTTACATCTAAAATGCATGCCATATGTATAAACAAATTCTAAACATTGTTGACTATTTTCAAAAATGTTAGTGACACTGTATTGTTACTTCAAATGGTATATTTTTTCAAACATATCAAGAATTTCATGAGCTATTCAGAAACTTTTTGTCTGCATGATTTAAAATCATTAGCAGTGTGTTGCATTGTTTGTATTCCTTGCTTTATCATTTTGTTTTCTTATCCTACTCAGCTCTAGAAAGTTCAGGAAAATAGTCTTTACACTAACAGTTTGACTACACAGTATATACGAATAACATAGCCAACAATTTCAAGAACTTGTAAAAAGTCAAACCAGAACTATTACACAGATCTGAAATCACTAGTGGTGGGAGCCACCATGTGGCTTTCTACACACATGAGAGAAAGCTTACAATTTCACTCCAGTACTCTGTTCTGCTGAAGTGTATTTTATACTGGGAGGAAATCAGAGAGGCCCTTGTATGCAACATACTGCAGTTGTATAACTACACGTTGCAAGTTCCATGAAATTGGCTCTCTCCTTGCCAGCCTCCTTAAGTGCATATTCTAGTTCTCAGATACTTTTCTAGGACCTTATGGGAAATTTATCAAAATATGCCATCACTTCAAGCAGGAAGAAGTGGGGCTTTTGTCATTTGGACACCATCTGCCCAGTCACCGTACTCCCTGATGTAACCTACTTTATTTATCCATGCAATAAATACTTACAGAGCAACAACCAGGTACCCAGCATATGCTTTGTTGCCAAGAGGAATGCAAAAGAAATGTTAGAGTTTCTGACCTCAAAGAGTTTTAAATCTGATTATGGAGAAAAATCACACTTTTGTGATGCAGATAAATTACAATGCATAATAGTCTGCTCTAAGTGCCAGAGGCAAGGTACACTTAATGTTTCAACAAAAAGAGGATCAGTACAGACTCAAAGGCAAGAAGATACTCTGTAGAAGATAAATCTGGATCTAGATCTATTAGACTGGGTAACATTTTCTAAGGCTGGACATTCCATGTGTAAGAAATATCTGTGTCAGGAAGTCAAGAAAATAACTCTTAAAGTGCAAAATGGCTACTCTCTCTGCCATTACACTACCAGTACATGGTGGCTATTAGTCATACATAATTATTTAATTTAAAATTAATTAAAATACAGGCTCACTTTCTCAGTCACACAAAATATATTTCAAGTGCTCAATATCCACATGTGGCTAGAGAGTAGAGTATTGTACAATGCAAATTGAGAACATGCCTATCATCCTAGAAAGTTATTTCAGACAACTCTATACAGTATTTACTTCACAGCAAGATCAACCTAAAAGAAGTAGAAGACTCAATTCAGGACACAGAAAACTTGATTTAATAATCAATGAGCCAAGACAAAAAAAAAATCCTGCATGGAAATTCCACTGTGGATGCAAAGCATATTTCAGCACTCCATAAAGCCTATATGTCATGTAGAACTTACCTTCTCAGAAGGATGGACCAATTAGTATGAAGGATATGGCATATAAGGAGGTAGGAAAGGAGGGGAATGAACTAGCTTATTTGGAGATGCCATATATACAAATGGGAAGTAGAATAACTATTTAGCAATGTCCAAGGGCAAGAATATGAGCACTAGAGAAAGGAACAATAGAAAGCAATTTATGGATCTGACAAAAGTTCTGTCTTGCAAGTATCAGCTCATCTGTAGACACAGCTAATGCCTTAGATTGCCGTAAACTTCGGGTGATTTGTCTGTAAGAGTAAAAGAAAATCTAAACTAAATGGCTGGAGGAGGAAAGAATTAATAGGGGCAGAGGAGGAGGAGGAGTTATGAATATTCTGTTGCTTCAGTCGCCTCATTGTGTTGAAAAGGATAAAAATCTGGGAAGAAGAATTCTAAAGTAAGAAACATTTCTTGTACACCATCTCTGATGACCAGAGATTACAAGCACTCCTTAGCTCCCAGTACATTAGGACATTGTAACCTCCCTTTTTCTTCTTTTAATTATAATATTTACACATTTATACAGAGTATCCTTAGCCTCCCCCCCCCCAATAAAAACCTTGTTTATTGTTTATTTCTAATCATGATGCTATCTGGTAATATCCAGGGGAACCTAGACCATGGAAACACCCTCTTGACCATGTTATCGGTTGTGACTGAGATTTTAATAGGTAACTAACAGGGCCCAATTAGTTGAATTAAATCTTTAATAACCACAAATTAACGTTTACATATTTCTCACAATCCCTGGCATAGCTAACTGATTAATGAGGGAATTTGGGTGACATTGTATGTGTGTGTGTGTTTGTGTTGCTAATAATACTTAAAGAATTTTTAAAGATGTGGCAAATTTTAGAGCTGAAAAAATGCTAAGAAAAAATATAGTTTAAGACATTTGTGTTAATATATAAAAAACTGAGGCCTAAAGAACTTAAATGATACCCTTATAGGTACATAGTTTGATGACACTTATGTGATCCTATGTCCTAGCCTAATGTTTCTGTTTTATTACACTCTGATATTAGCTGTGCTATTACTTTTAGTAGTCAACATATTAGAAACAGCTCAACTATCAGTTCTAATCTTGGCTAATCAAATAATATGTGATTCCATTTAGAGTAATTAATATATTTAGCCACAAAATCTATATATCTTGATGGATATTTCTAAGCACTTTTATGAATATATACCTATCTTCGTTTCTTGCTTTATCCTTGTCTAGAGTTGCAATATTTGAAGATGGATAATCAGATGCAAATTATTAGCCAGCACAGACAGAAATGCATCTAAAACCCTTCCGCTTGGCAGGCTGTTACACTGATGGCTTCTAAAGCACCATGTCTCATAGTATTCACACTCTGGTATAGTTCTTTCCCATTCTAGGCTTGGCCATGTGACATGCTTTGCCCAACGGGACAGTGGCAAGTGTGATGCAAGCAGAAGCTTGACAAATAAATACTTGTACACTGGGACTTGTCTTCTTGGCATGATTCTTCTTGGCAGCCAGCTGCCATGCTGTAAAGAAGGTTGAACTAAAGGGGAACTTTATGGAGGAAAGACCCTGGAAGATGAGGATATCTTAGATAGTCCATGACCAGCAGAGACCTAACTAAATGCAAGCACATGAATAACCTCAGCTATAGCACAAAAAATAGAAAACCACCCCAGCTGAGCACAGCCAACCTAAAGCTGCTTCTTAATTTTCACTTTGTCATATCATATGGTAATAACATAAACACAATAGACTCCTAAAAGTATAAAACTGTATATTTTCCTTAAGCAGCAATTATGGAGATAATCAAGTATACCAGCCCTATTTTTTAATATTTTGAATGACTGGGCTCTATAGGAACAACTCTAGTATTTCTTATTGGAGGAAAAACAAAGGTGGCTTGGATCTTTGAACTATTGCTTTAAGATTTTACTTTTTTTAACTTTATGGAATTTTTTTAAATTATAGGAACTCAAAGAGGATTTAGGAAGAGCTTTTAATACAACAAGTTTTTAAAATTTGATATTTGTATCTTCTAGTGAAGACAGTTATGTATTTAGGAGTAAAGGTCTCAACATTGTATATTTTTGCCTCAGAATACATCTTTTTTGATCTGGCTAACCATCATCTTCATTGCTATTGACAATTTATATGGTTCTTCATTAGTCACTTGTATGGTTCATGTATAATTCTGCTCATGATTTTATACTCTTATGTGACTTTGTTGGTAGTATTAGCTGTTCTTTGCTTATATGTAATCCTAAACTAAAAACAGTTAGAGAAAAGATATTTCTTTATAATTTTGCCCTTATGAATGTCTTTACCAAAATTTACCTGAGTTACATGGTGCAGTTTTTCAGAATCTAATGCAACTTCTAAAGTCACTTAGGCAGTGAAGTGGAGGTGTTAACTAACAGGCATGCCTCCAGAAAGGTGATGTCAAGCAAATTGGGGAAATACTTTGTACTTTTGCAGATTTATGATGAATTTTCATATATTAAAGGTGATGAGAAGGTAATTACACTAATTTTGTTCTTCAGATTTACATGGTTACAGAAATGTTTTCTTGCCAAATAGGTTATAATTGTTCAAGAAACAAGCTGCTTACAGATATCTTAAAATTATGAAAGCCAAAAGGGTCTCTGTTTTACTCTTTCCAGAGCTGTCTTTACTAGTGGTCGTTTTGGGGTAAATATTCTTAAGTACCTACTGGAAAAGCTTCCACCTTCTATGACATGCCTCTGATTCCTCTCTGTCATTCCTCTTCTCTCCTGTCATCTTTCTTCTCTCTCTCTCTCTCTAATATTGCCTCTCTGGCTAGCCTCAGCAGTGTTGCTCTCCTTCTCCAAGTTTAGCATTGGTTGACCTCAGGGATTTCAAAGCTAGCTGATCATCAGAATGACTAGATCTTTTGAAGAATAAAAAAAAACAAATATGAGTTCTGGGGCAATTCCTTCCCTGGGATTCTGAGTCAGCAAGGGTAGTGTGGGAATAGTAAAACGGCTTTGCAGATTTCCCCAGATAAGTCTAAATGTAAACCAGGATGGTGAACAACTGGTCTGCCTCCAAACTTTACTGGCCATAAGAAGAAATGTGTTTTGGACTTCAAGCTTCTCCATAAAGAAAGAAAAGAAGAGATATGATAACTAAATGCAGTGCCTGATGCTGAATTGTATCCTGGATGGAGACAGAATGGGGTGGGTTATAAAGGATCTTAATGGGATAATTGATGAATTTTGTGTATGGACTGTGAATTAGATAATAGTATTTTATGGATGTTAAGTTTTTCTGATTTCTATAATTGGGTTTTAACTACTTCAGAGAACATAGAGATTTCATTTTTTGCTCTTGTTTTCCCAGAAACACATGATAAACTATTCAAGGGTAGAGGGGCACAATGTCTCCAATGTATTCTCAAATATTTAAAGGAAAATTTGCATGTATGTATACATATGAAGAGGGAGACAGAGATTTATAAAGTAAATGAGGCAGCATACAAATAATTGTTGAATTTGGGTAAATGGTATATAGGAGTTTCTTGTACTGTTTCAGCAATTTTTCTGTAAGTTTGAAATTATATCAAAATTTATTGTTTAAAAAAAAGCTTTACTGTAGCTAACTAAGGGTCCTCATATTTCTTTCCAAAAAATGTAATGCTAAACTATCTGATTCAGAGTAATCAAACAAATAGATGTCAAAAAAGCAGTTTGGAACCTACTGTCATATCAACTGAATATTAGAAAAGTAATTTTTTACATATTAATACCATTATGCACAATAATTGTACACTTGAGAGTTGAACAATAAGGTTAAACTGATTGAAGTATTAAGTGACATGAAGATTGTTTCCTTTTTTCAACTCAAATGATGGTATACAACCAAAAAAAAATACAAATTACCATTTTCTAAAAATCTATGAAGCAGTCCTATGTTAGGCAAGATATGGAGCACATATCTGATTTGAAGTCAGAAAATGTAAGTTCAAATTTATTTCTTACTTAGTGTGGTGTCTTGAGAAAGTTGGCCAAGCATCCTAAATTTCCTAATCTGTAAAACAAATCTAGTCGTGATAAAGGCCTCATTAATGAGAGAAATAAATGATTTTAAAAAGTTGACAATATATTGCCATATAGATAGCAAACAGAAACTATCAAGCATAATTCTCAGCCATGTAAATACAGTTGTCCCAGAGTATCCATGTAGAATTGGTTCCAAGACCTCCCGCAAATATCAAAACAGCAAATGCTGTAGTCACTGATATAAAATGGTGTTGTATTTGTGTATAACCTATGCACATTTTCCTGCATACTTTAAATAATCTCTAGATTACTTGTAATACCAAATACAATGGCAATAGTTGTTTAGGGAATAACAACAAGAGTATGTCTGTATATGTTAAGTACAAATGCAGTTTTTTCCGAATATTTTTTATCTGTAGTTGGCTGAATCCATGGATATGGGACCTACAGTTACAGAGGGCCAACTGTATGATATTTTGGACATCTCGCAAGTGCTAGTTAGTTTCCTAGGTCGTTGGACCTAACAAGAGGCTCCATCTGAACTGTGAGGTTTGCAATGAGACATGAGAAATATATTTCCTGGTGATGGGGAAGCGGTCGGAGTTGAAGAGAATCAAATGAAATCACAGGATTACAGAAATACTCTACTGCTTGATGAAATATCTAACATTGCACCTAAAATTTTGATCCAAATAGATAAAGGCAAAACTCCCAATCCTTTTGTGCCATGACCCTCCCATGTTTGGGTTTTAAAATCTGATTCTTTTAGATTAATTTAGAGCAATCTTTCAAGTCATTTGTTTTGTAAATGTACATAAATATTCATTTTGCTGATCTTTTATACATACAAACCATCCTTAAATGGTTTTTACATAAGAAAATACATTGTGTAGATATGAAATTCTTGGTTCACAATATCATCCTTTTAAAATTCTTATTTTTCTTTTTTTGAAATATTTACAGTTAGTGTCTGAAGCTAGCTGGATACATTTTTCTTTGGTGAAAATCGCTTCTTTTCCTATTTCCCCCCTATTTGGATACTTGAGTTTCTAAATTATTATTTGTTTCTTTTGCAATTCAGAAGTTTTCAATATGAGTTTTGTGGGTCTCCTTTATCATTTTATCTTGAAGTTAGTAAAGTCAATCAATTCTGAATATGTAGGTCAAACAGTCAATTTTTCTGTTATACTTTTATTTACTGCTTCTGTTTACTATGTTGTAATTCTTTATTCAGGACCACTAGTTAGTTACATATTGAAGCTCCATAATAGGTCTTATAAACTATCATGTTCCTTTCATACTTTTCATCTATTTGTCCTCATCCTGTACATTTTATGACAGCTTCTCAGCCCATCCTCCCTGTCACTTCATTCCTGCTTCAGTATTACCATTACTAGAGTTTAGTATTCTCAGTACCTTTTAAAGTGTGTGGCTTAATTTTTCTGTTACACCTTAAGTTTTGTTGAAATTCTCTTTTAGCTTTTCTGTCCCTCTTTTGTACCTCACCCTTTTCCTTGTAGGCTGATTATCCTGCTCCATGGAGGTTCATGAAGCATTTCTTTTTGCATTTTATTGAACATAGCAAACAGGTTCCAGAAATGTTCTCTTGAGTCTTACAAGAAATCAATTTTAAAAACATATTCTTCCTTTGGGCTTCCAGGTTGGTAATTATTTTTCCCTTATTCCACAGTAATTCTTGGTGCTTAATGTTTTGTTTCTTTTTACCTCTCTTTACAAATCATTACATGGAGTACTTTCTAAACTCAGTGACTCTCAGAATATAGGATGAGTGGATTGTCCTTAGACACACTCTCTGACCAAAAAAATAGCATGGCAACAATGGCAACAAAATCTCCTTCTCAGATTCACATCTAGAAAGGAAGTTGATTGCCCAGATTCCAATATGATTTTTAGTTTTTAACTGAGTGGTGATTTCTCTTTTACCTCCTGCCTGGTCCTTTGAAACTCTGAGAAGATATAATACACAACAGTCTAAAAGTCCCAGCATTCAATGTATTTAGGATGTTTCTCTCACCATCTTCAGATCATTTCTTCTGGAGGAAGAAGCAGCCAGTATGCAATGAGCAATCAGTAGTCCCCCCCTATAGCTTCTGCTTACTTGTTTCTGAAAGATGTTGTTTCTAAATGGGGAGTGAGATGGCAGTTGGGGAACCGGATGGAGGTCTGAGAATTGACCTAAAATTGCCTCAACAATCAACATTTGGGCATTCTTTTTCTTTGGTTAAAATACACTCTGGGTATAGACCAGTAGGCATAACATGATAAAACTACAAAGCGTCTTCCTATCCACTTTAGGTGTTGACTTTGTCATGAGATAAAACCTGAGAGTGCCAAGAAAATTGGCCTAACTGTAATTAGTGGGTGTTCCACCTAGATGCTTTGCTTTAGCGTATTTGAGACTTGATGCCATGATTTTGTCTTTTTAGTGTTTTCTTAAGTATTTTAGGACATAATGAGGAAAAGCTACATCCTTTTAAATGTCACCTAAGATGTTCTATCACTATAAGTAGACTCTTAAAGGTGTTATTTGATATCTGATAGTAATAACTAATAAATATCCTCTGCCTAGCCTAAGCATTCTTACCACTATAAACCTTGTAAAAATTCTAAATGTCTGTATATTATAGGAAGCTTTTGTAATTCTAGTTTCTGTTAAAATTCTATTGACCTCCATTTTGTATCTCCCTTATTTGTCACAGAAAGCTAGTGATTTTAAGTAATGATAATTTTATTTAGATTAACTGTCCATTGAATCTTTCTATTTCTTCTTATTTTTCTATTTTGCCATTCATGCAGTAAACATTTAAGTACTTACTGTGTGCTAGACTGTGCCCTGCAGATACTAAAATATATGTTCTGCCTGTAAGAACTTATGGTCTACTCATGAAGACAGATGACAAAATCAACATTTACAGTATGCTGTAATAAATCTTTTTAAATATTTGCATAATGTAAAAATATCTAATTTTATTGTATTTTATTTTATTTTTGAGACAAGATCTCACTCTGTCATCTGTCAGGTGCAGAGTGCAGTGAGTGGCATGAGTGGCTAGAGTGCAGTGAGTGGCATGACCTTGGCTCACTGGAACCTCTGCCTCCCAGGTTGAAGCGGTTATGTGCCTGCCTCGGCCTCCCAAAGTGCTCGGATTACAGGCGTGAGCCACCGTGCCGGCCCTAAAATATCAAAATGTTATCAACGAACATCTGACTTTACTATGCTTAGATTTTTATTTTTGTCAATAACTTAGATTTAAAATTTTCATTATAAACATTTTCTTTAGCACTGTAGCTTCTTCGTTTAATTCAAATCAATTTGATCAGCATTTAATAAATGTCTACTGTGAGCAAGACACTCTACTTGGCACTGTGTGGTATGCAAAGCTAAATAAGACAAAATATGAATCCCCCAGGTTTTTAGACTAGCAGGGAATACAGACTATCCATAATTCACTTTCAATAAACTACAGAAAGTGTTAAAGAAGCACAGAAACAGAGAAGATCACAACAAGAATGATTGTACAATGAGGAGTAAAAAATTGAGCTGGGCTATATTGAATATGATAATAATTAGTACCATTTATTAAGATGCTTATATAAGCTAATCACTATAGTAGATGCTTTCTGTGCATTGTCTCTAATCTTGGAAAATGCAGATATTTTTAACTTTGTGTTATCTACATCAGTTCAGAGGGCCTAACTGAAATGGAGTAACATGCCTTTGAAACATTGCTTAAAAATCTTTCCACCCATTTCTTGGGGAGGAATGAGGGTAGGGATGGGATTCAGTGGAAGACAATTACTTGATGCAAACACAATAAAAATTAAGTACTTAGAGAATGATTGGGCAACCATTATCTGCATTAAACTTAGCACCTTTGGCAGACTACATTGCCTATCAGACCTCAGACCTGGCTTACAGCCACATAAAGATGTAAACTTTCTAACAGTATCCAGACTCAAAAAGAAATAGTTAGAGGATTGTAAAGTAGGTGCCATCTTCTTTTAGATTGTATACATCTAACTTCTAAAAGAATTCAACCAAGATAAACATATTAAATTTGTCTCTGAAATATGAAGTGGTGACACATGTTTTCCATGTAAAAATAAATATTACAACTTAAAAATAAAACAACTCTAAATCAAATTGAATAGGGACTGGCAATAGCCAGAATTGTGGTTGGCCCAGATTCTTAAAAGACACTATCATTTTAAAGCCTCAGATAAGTTTTCTTTTAGCAGTGGCTAATGATTCTGTTCAATGTGTGGAAAATTGAAACAGAAGTGTATAATTTTGGAGAGAAAATTCCATTTATGAATGAAAACTTACAAAATTTGCAGGAGGGACAGGTGGGTCATTTTTACTTTGCCTTCTTAGCTTATTTTACATGAAATCCAGTCTGCTGTGATGTCTGTATAGGTAAAGAATTAGCAAACATTTTGAAAGCTCATTTAGCATATTACACACATGTAAGTTACAACTTGTCATGCAATATGATTTAAACTGAGAGCAGTTTGCTCTTGTGGAGTGATTCAGAGGAAAGGTATCAAGCCTGTTAGAAACTTTGTTTTGTTTGTTTAGCTGTTGTTTTCTTTTTTCTTTCTTTCTTACAAACTGAAGTAAAGTATTGCCTATTGTTAGGCTTACTACCCACCCTAGGTTATTGGAAATTAAAACTCATTTTCATTTTCCTCAAAAAGTATTCATTGTCTTTAAAAAAATACTATCCATGGAAAGAATTGTCAGGGAATTGAAGCCTGGCATGGTTGCTTAATAGTTCAATACATTGTGTAAGGATATTTAAAATAATTACATATTTTTCCCAGCTGCTTGGAGGCATATGCGAATGCCATGTACTACTTTGTTCAGAAAGTGATTTTCTTTTAAAGTGATGAAAATTTTCTTTCAAATGAGTACAAACAACATGATATTTATTTCATTTTAAATTCTTCTGAAAATAATCTCTGGTAAATTATAAAATTAATCTTGGGGCCTCATTTTAGTTTCTTCTTTTTATCTTAAAAAGGTATTGAATATTAGATTATTTGGTTTCACTTTCTGCTTCCATTAAATTAGAAGGAGGCTGCTTTGCCATTTCAACTGTATAAGAAAATGACTAACCCCATTTATTTCTTTAAGGATTACTCTTACCTTAAATTTGTTCACAAAATGTTAAAATAAAATTACACTATTGTAAAGCTGCTCCCTTCTGACCAGGGTAAATTTAGGGTTCTAAATTTAGTGATATTTTGAAAGCAGAGGCTATGTTTCCCTTAAAAAGACGTTGATACTACTACAAAAATTAAATGAATAATGTGTGTTCTTTTTAAGAATCTTATTTATTCTACATAGTAGACTTACAAGTCAAGCACTAGTTTGATATAAGATAAATTTGTTTAATCAATCACTGTGACTACTGTAAAATCAGCATCCCTTTAGTATGTTGGTGTAAGTGTAATATCTAAGTGTAATTTTTAGGTGACACACTAGTATAGCTGAGATGGCAATAGAGCATTTGAATTTATTTTGGAAAAAAGAAATAATAAATTAGATAAGATCTTACTAAATTTTAGATTAATTATCCCTCAAACAATCTACCCTATGTGTATTTACGTGTAGGAATATGCATATCTGTGAATAATAGCAGACAGCAGAGAGAGGGAATGAAAAAATTGAGAAGTATCTCTTAGAGCCATTGGAGAATTTCTCCTAAGTGTTAAAAAGCCATTTAAAACAGTATTGAGAACTCGATGCTGCCAGGTTCAAAGTGTTCAGTTTCAAAACCCTCAAAAAGACAAATATTAACTCTTTGTCTTAGGATACTAGTCCACATTTTTTTTTACCAGTAAGAGTAATCTTGTTGCTGGAATTATTTAAGCTACATATTTCTTTAGCACGGCAAAATGAAAGTGAATCCTAGGCACCTGTGTGTGGGAAAGTAGTCTACAGCAAAGCCCAGAGGAGCTGGGTGAAACACCAACCCAAAGAGATAGCGACCAGGGGCAAGCTAGACACAGGGGTTTGCCAACTTGAAATATGGGTTCTCTCAAACTTTGTGTTTGCCTTATGGCCTGGGGCTTTTATTCAGTATAACATTCAAATTCCTAGAAAAACAGCTCACTCCAGTTCTGCACCTCAGTCCTGTGGGGGTTAAAAAAAAAAAGATGAATGTAGCTATGAACTCTGTTCATCTTCAACCTAATGGACTCACCCTCCCTCCCCCATCTCTCTTTCCCTCCTCCTCATAACACCCTTTGTCCACTTTTATGAATTAAAACATGCACACACACTTGCACACACAGGGAATCCTGCCCATTAATTAAAGGACTTGTCAGCCCCAATCCTAGATTCTTACAGTGCAGGAAATGTCTCTCCTTTTAAGTGCAAAACCATAACATTACCATTTCCCCAAGTGCTCTCTGTTTTAGGCTGCTTTCCTAATTAGAGGGATGATAACAGCCCTGCTGATTGGCATTATAAAAGCACTAGTTTGGCTTCATCTGTCCCAGGTGTGCTGTGTAATTTTTTTCTTCTCACCGTTTCAGAGCACTACCTCTCTCCTTCATTGTTCCTTAAAGTTTTCATCTGAGGAATTAATACAGATAAAAAGACATTAGAAAGGAAGCACCACTGCCAAAGCTCATCACTGAAACCTTTTATCAAAAGTACAAACTATACAAGTTAGAGGATTTTTTTTTTACCCTTTTGTTTCTGAGGGTTAAGGGGGTGGGGTGGGGGTGGTAGTGTGGAGAGGAAAGGAGAAGAGAGGCTGGGGGAGAAAACACAGCTCTGTCAATGGACTGAATGCACCATTAAAACTGGCGTCACTACAAAGGTTAGAGCAGATCTAACTGTCAATACAGTGAGTAGAGTGGAGTCCGGTAAGGGGGAGCTTTGGTGAGAGATACTTTGATATTTTGGAATGTTAGAAGGGTGAATGTGAAAAATTGGAGGTTGGGGATCTAATTACCCAACCATAATTGGGGGCTAGGGAATAAGTTGCAGTCCTCTCAACTCACCGCAGATCAATTATGTTAAGAGAACATCTGTAAGTAGAACTTAATGAGGTCCATTAGAGCAACATGTACAGCCTCCTCTAACAGTACTTGTCAGCTTCTTGGATGAGCTGAAGGAAGCTGCTAACTAGGGACCTGGCGAGGTGTTTAAATACTGGAGGAGCAGCTCTGGCCCACTCAGGTTTTGTATGCAGTTCGGGAAGAAAGTGAGAAAGGGAGAGGCACACAAGAAAGACAGGAAGCCTGAAGCAGAGGTTTCTTTCATTTGTGTTGCTGAATTTCGAAGAGTGATGGTGGGAGTGTGTGTGGTGGGGGCAGTATCAACCTCATCCTTCCCTTGACCGAGACCTTTCACTGCTCCTGGACTTTCAGGGTGTGCTATCCTTTGCCTCCCCCCAACAACCTGTCTGCTGCCCTAAAAAAAAAATTAAAAAAAAAAAAGACGGCAACCTAACCGGAGCATCTCTGGGACGCCACAGAAATCGTAACTGAACACCCGCACACAAAAGTAATCTGTGAGGTGTGTTTTAAAGAAAGAAACAGCTGAAAACTTGAAGACGTGTTTAGAAATATACATATATACACACTATTTTCTTGTGGGAGATCTCCTTTGGGCAAAGGTAAGTAGTATATATCTAATCACCCCCTCAGCACCCTCCTCCACCCCATTTTGTCATTCCCCTCCCCTTTTCCCCTCATCAAGGTATCACAATATAAGACCCCTGAAGAAGACAGTCTGCCTTTTTTTTTCCTTTAATAAGTGTTGGGATGGGGGCTGGATGAAGTAAATTCTCTCATCAAACGTCTGATGATGAGTTGCAGAAAGAGGGCACAGGCAAAAGGTAATCGGACCAAAAAGATCTGGCTCTTTATAGCAATCCTTTCGCAAAGATTTCCAAAGGATCTGTAATTAAACTGGGTAGTTTACTCTCAGGAAATGAAGAAACTGCTTGCCTGGCTGGATCCAACCTTTAGCTTGGCTGAGTAAACAAAAGCACAAATTCTTCTTTCACTTTTTCCCTCGCGGGAGGGGTGAGACTTTGGGGTTGGGGGGAGCCAGGAAAACAGGGAGTTTGCTGAGGGTTAATGGTGTTTTTCGCAAAGTGTCAGCAGAAGATGATTAAATTCCACCTCTTGTTCACCAGATCACTTTGTGTGCACTTGTATATTTCATTGTCGGCAACCGCTGATGATCACATCTGTGCAGTACATTAAGTGGCAAGCCTCTTCATCTGCACGGGGTTTTTCTGATGATTTTTTCTGTGAATAATTCATATGATTATGAAGAGAAAAACTGCTATTTTCTATCTCTCTCCCTTCTGTAGCACAGATTAAAAAAAATCTTGCTGTAAATTGCGTGATTGGGGAGATAGCCTGCTTTCAAATAATTTAATTCATGACAAAACCTAATTACTGTCAGGTAATACCCTGTCAGCTTTAATGCATTTCATCAGTCATAATGAAAAGAAGAGCATTTTATGACCCATCTAATTATCATTACATTTTAGGGGAAAATGAATGGCATGGAGCTGAATGTTAACTATTCCATTTTATTCCTTTACACATGTGGTTTGGCATATTATTCGCTAAGTTCCTCTCTCTCTCTCTGTCTCTCTCTCTCCTCTGTCTCTCCTTCTCTCTCTCTCTCTCCTCCTTGCTTGGCAGTATTACTTGCTTATAAGTGTGGGGGAAATGGTAAAATTGAGAGGAAAAGGAAGATTGGGGAAAAAGGAAGAGGATGGGATGCACTTAGAGATCTGGGTGTTTGTCCCTTAAGAAAAAGGTGACAAAGTGGTTAATGTCTTTGCAGGTTGGTGTTGATATCAGGAATCTTACTGCCACAGTCCAAATAGAGTACTAATTACCGCGAATGATGTCACCGTAGGCAGAGGAATAATCCCATCATTTAATTAGTTGAATGATTTAAACAAAGATTTGCATAGATGCACTAATCAGTTGCCATGAATTACAGAGCAGCAGTTGCCAGCGAGGGGTAACAGATCATACAGTTGGAGGGAAAAAAAATCTCATCTCCTTGAACATAATTAATTTAATTGTCCTCATTAGCTGTACCATTTGTTTTGATTTTATTTCTCCCTTTCCCCACACATACTTCTCCCTCCCTCCCTCCCTCTTTTCTTCTTCTCAGTGCATTGGCTGAGACAGAGCGCACGAGACACACACACATGCATGCACACATATGCACACACACACACTCACACATACTGGGGTGTTTTCAGAGTGGCTGTAGCAGAGAGGTGGGGTAGAACAGTGGGGAGCTGTGCGGATGGGTGAAGTGCATGTATGCCTGCCTAGACGGGCCAGAAAAGCCAAACTTAAGAAATCTGCCTATGTACAGAACAAGTCAACTAAGGGGTTCTCATTAATCTACCGTCTGTGAATATCGTTATTTTTCAGGTTAGTTCTGAGTTTTGTTGCCTTTTAAAGGGAGAGGAAAGCAAACCACAGGCTATTTTATTATGAGCCTTCAAAAGGGAGGGGGTAAAAACTAGTTATCAATGTTGTGCCTTTATTCTTTATGAAGAAAAACAAAATTTAGCTTAAATACTCATGGGGGGGGTGCTTTGATTTTTTTTTTAAAACTAGAGCTAGATTAAAACTGATGGTGAAGAGAAGAAAAAAAGTTTTTTGTAGTTCAACAATTGAATATTTCTTGGCTCTTAAACATTTCAGTGAGTGTCTTTCAAATGTGGACCATTTTTAAGCTTGACCTCTGACAAAGCTTTGTAAAATCTGGTGAGGGTACTTTAAGAGCAGCCCAAACAGAGGGTGACTTTGAAGTTTGAAAACTTAGAAAAATAATAAGGTATTTTAAAGCTACCAGTGGCCTTTATAGATGCCAAGGAAAGTTAAGAGGAGAGGAGGTTAGAGAGAATGGGACCTATTAGAAAAAAAAAAAAAATCTGTCAAGGCCTTAAAACAAGCCTGTGAAGACAAAGCAGTAATGGTGCAGAAACTATGGTTCTTTGACCAAGTTAGTCCTGAAAACATGTTTCTCAGTGCTGTTGGCTGTTTTTCATTGGAGCGTGTGAGTTTTAAATAGTAAGGAATTCAAGTAATTGCAGGAAGTGTGTTTCGGGGTGGTGGTGGTGGGGGTCAGCATTAGTGAATGGAGAACAAGTTCACAGTTTGGGTCTTGGGCCATTAGAGGAAGGGAGGAAGGGAGGAAGGAGAGTGTGTGTGTGATCCCCTGAACCAGGCTTGTGTGGCGGACTTGCGGAGCAGCGACTTCAGAGAGTTCATGAATGGAAGTCACAGACAGACCAGCGACTGCAGCCACCTCCAGGCATTTCTTAAAGGGGAGGGTTGTGTGCTTTTTCCAGGGTATTCTGGTAGCAGTTTGATTCTCTTGCTTTTATTTTAATTTCCATAATTGGTAGCTTCAGAAATGGCTTTGGAAGGCAATTTGCTTTAAATGTAGCCACCTATTCCAAAATGCCCTGGTTATTTTAGGAACCCTACCCTTTTCCTCCGGAGCTCTCTCGCAGGAGTTCTTCTTTTGGACTGGTCCAGGAGGTAGGGTCCTTCCTCAGTCGACTCCTGCAGAGGTCACATTTTGTGTGCGGGTTTGTCCCCAGCGTTTGTGAGTAGCATATGCATGTGGTTGTGCTGACTGCACTCGCAGGCTTGTAAATTTTCACCCTGGGAAATTAGCAACAAAGCCCGATCTGTCTCGTGGCTGCTTTGCACTTTCCGAGGGCGGCTGTACTTGACTGAGCTGCAGAACAGGCACACGAGAGCGAGCGAGGGAGCCAGCGAGAGAGGGAGGGAGAGAAGGAAAGAAGAGGGGAGGGGTGGGGGCGAGAGGTAAATAGTCTTAAATCGGAAGGGAGCTGCTTCTCTGTGGTCTTGACAAGCGCTGCCTGGGCTCCGCCGGCTCACTAATAACTGAGTGACCTTTTCTTTGGCTGTATTATGTCTGGCTGGGAAGGGATTGCATTTTGCAGCTGAGAGCCGGAGCTTCCTTCAGCTCGGCTCCTCGCACGCTGCTGGGGTAAGTTGTCTTGAACCAGGACGGAGAGAGACAGCCTCGGACTGCAGTTGCCTAAAAGGAGGACACCTGTGGCTCAGATGCGGTCAACACCATTGCTTGGCGTATCCTTGAGGACCTCATTATTTTAAACTTAAAAAAAAATAGACATTCCCTCCCCCGTCTTTTTTTTTTTTTTCAAACAATGCTTCTTTTTGACCTTTCCCAAGGAGAAGCGCTACAAAGCAGCCACTGTGCTTACTGAACGGCCTCCCCCTGTATCGCTTAATTGAGAAGGTAAGTGCAGCAACTGTGTACACACGCGTCGGCTTATTTGTGGTGTGTGTGTCTGCGGGTGCGCGCGTGCGTGTGCGGATGTGGGTATTTTTTTCTTCCCCAACCTCTGCTAATGAGGCATAAACTGGAGCTGCAACCCAGCTCCGCACTGCAACTTTCACTCGGGCTGCAGCTCTACTGAGACGGTTTTGTTTAAATCATGTGAGGCTTCATTATTTTTATGATGAGACATGAAATAGATGCAGGCGGAAGATGTTGATGGAAGGAGGGAGAGCGGCTGCGGCGCGGAACGTCTCAAGTACGACTCGAGTGGATAATAGTCAAAGTTCACCATGAACTGCAGTATTTCCACACCCCTGACTCCCGGGGAGAGAGGGGCAGGGAGAGTTTGGAATTAGGAAGTGTTTGCTCCCAGCCCATAGGAAAAGAATTCAGTCCTGGGTGGGTTTCCGGACCCCTCCCCCTTACTTGCTGGAATTCATGAACCCCCACTTCTTAAAGAGTTGATATTACAATCTTTTGGTCCTTGTTGACGCTTCTGCCTCTCTCCACGCAGCCATAATAACAAAATGTTGTTCCTTTGCCGTGGAAAAGTGGCTGTGTTTGGGCATGGGGGCGGGGGGGGGGGGCAGGCGGGTAGGGGCAGAAGTGGCTAGAAGAGGGAAGGTCCCTGGACCAAGGTGCCTATATCCTAATAGATTGAGATTCAAACTGATGCAGCACATTTTTTACGGGGACTACTCAGATTGCTGTTATGAAATACAAGTCAGATTTATGATCTTTTTCATATTGAACATGATATGCTATGCTAACGCTGCATGTGACAGTTTAATCAAATCCATTTGTTACCAGGAAGCTAAAAGGGGCCGCTGGGATTTTAGGATTACGGGCAGAGTTAGGGAAGCATGTGGCTTTGTCATTCGCCATCATTTTGCACACTGCGAGGGGCTCCGTGTGTGCGCCCTGTCTTGTCTGGCCGTCCTCATCCCTTCCCCCACCCCCTGCCGCCACTCCGACCCGCTCCCAAAGTGGCTTCACAATAGTCGGTCCTCGGCGGTGTAGGCTGCGCACCAGGTCCACACTTAAGCGAAATCAAGGAGACCCCCTTCTACTTCTACCTTTGGGTTTGGTGCTCAATGCGAAGCTGCTGCAACTCAGACACGCCTAAGTCAACTCATGCAGAAAAAGGAGAAAAGTTTTGGTAAGGTTACAGTCTATCATAGATGCACTTTGCTGGCGCTCTGCACTCCTGGCCGCTCAAAAGCCTTTCTGCTTTTCCGCTGCTTTTGTGTCTTTCTGAAAGAACCGAAATATTATTGTTGTAACTGCTTTGAAAGACTGCTGCTTAAACCAATTAATCTTGCTAGATGCAACAAATACTGCTACATTCTTTGCAAACCATCCCTGTGTGGCTGCAAAGACACAACCACAAAAGGCTGGAGCATAAACTCCGCAAGGGATTCTTTGTTAGAGTGTATGTATGTTTCTTATTTTTTTTTTTTATTTTGCATGTGAGCTGCATCAAAATTGAACTCAGTCTTGCAAATCTCTTGTTGGCCTTTGCCAAGCACTAGCACTTTGCTGCCATGGTAACTGTAATTAAACTGATAAGAGTGGAAAAATGTCAGTATCTCTGAGCCTTGCAGCTGCATTGGAGAAAAAGGGAATCAAATTGGTTCCCAGCTCCATTGCTCAAAAAGGGGAGGGGGGTGAAGGATAGGGAAGGGGGCTGGGAGTTGAAGGGGCAGAACAGAGTTAAGCAGCTCCAGTGCCTGAGATCTGGGGACATCTATTTGCATTGTTGTCCCTTAGGGGGCTGCAGCCTGTAGGGATGCTCTGGGCCAGTGAACAGAGAGAAACAAGCTTTTAGGCCCAATCCAGTTTTCCAACCTGGGTTGGGGGCTGGGAAGAGGATGAAGATGGGCAGGAGGAGAGAAAATCTTTTGTCTGGTGCCTCTTGGCAATCGAATGGCCATGTTGGCCAAATTCTTTTAATCTGTGTCAATGCTCCCAGCTGCAGAACCTGCATTCCCATTTTAGCATCTTTCTGAAGCACCTCATCTCTTCCAACCCCCTTTATGTATTCCCTCTTCCTCTTCCCTCTCCCAAATTGTTCTCTGTGAATTTTCCGACGGACAAAATGTTTTCTATTCACTCTGTGTAGTTAGTCCAAAAATGTAAGACTGTGTCTAAGTGCTGCAAATCTTTCATTATTATTATTTTTTTTAAACCCCTGTGTGTTGTGGAGTTGTGGTTACTTTGTTGTGTTAACTACTGAAGCTGAGACTGTGCGGATGAATGGTACAGAACAAGGGAACATAATGGAGGCAATCAACCGTTAGGCCGCTTCACAATGCAATCCAGGCAATTAAAAGCTCACCAGAGTTTAAATGAAATGGTTCTACTTATTTCTGCACACCACACTGCACAGGCTATTATTTATGTCTTTTTTTTAATTATGATTTCCCTTAAACTGTCAAATAACTCAGAATGGCAGGGTCTCAGAGGCAATAAGAATTTCCCTCAGAACAATTTACATGCCAATCTAAAACTAGTTATGAGTTCTGATGTGCTATGAGCAACTTGTGAAATGTTTCTTAGCTACAAACACGTAACTCTACCCAGACATGTTCTTCTGGTGGAAGAGGGGAGACTGCTGACTGCTTTATGCCTTTTAAGTACACGGTAACATGGTGACTACAAAATAGTTCTTTTGCTACAATTGTTAACTTGCATGGAATTCAAGAGATTCCATTTTCAAGAGAATTGCCATGATGTTCTTCAAATAAGGTACCAGGATGGAGTGTGAAATATCAAACTCCTTTTATGCCCAAGGCCAAACAGAATGTAAGAGTTTCAAATATTAATTGGCCTCTGAGTGCTAAATTAAAATGTCAACACAACAAAAACATTTTGTGAAGACAAGTAGGGTAGTGTTACTTGTGCCAAATGTTGGTATCCCCTGTCTTGGTTGCAAAGCATTTTGAATAAAACAGCTGACCTTCTATGCTTGATGGTAGAAACACAACTGTGGGAAATATAACTTAGCTGCTACTGGGATTTTTTTTTTTTTCGATTTTTCATCTTTGAGCTTTGTGATAAATAAAAATAATAGCCTTACAAATTTAATAGAATGGCCGTTAATTAGGATGGCTTAATTAGAATGGCTTCTCTTAATATTTATTATCTAGGTGTTTTCAGTAACACCATCCAGAATTTCACTGAGTAAATCAAAACTTCCCCTTCCCCCTAGATATGTGGTTAACAGGCACTTGGATCTGTTGTTCACTGTAATTAATGGGATTCACTCCTTGTGGAACCTTGCTAGAAGAGGATAACTAGTTCTGATCAAAGAAACTTCATTTGTTAGAAGTTCTAGAGAGTGAGATTTAGCAGAGCTATCAAGGGTTATGATTAATCTACACTAGGCCCTTAGCTCCTTCAAAGGAAAGGAACAGAAAGCAGGCTATAGGGATACCACCTGCTCTTCTTACAAATCCAGCTGTTAGTCTGCAGCTCCGGTGACTACAGCTATGCTTATGATGCAGAAAGAAAGAACAGCTACTCTGCTTTATTTCCTGCCATTCCCTACACAACTCTACCAGACGAGTTATTTTCTAATGAAAGTTCAACATCCTAACAATATTTTGTGCAACTCATGTATTATTTGTAGTTAGAAAAGTTATTCCGCTCTGCGGATGCCTTGATGTCTCTTACCAGTGGGATTTTTTTTTTAAAAGGTTGTGAAAGTTGTGATGGGGGTGAAGCCTTCATCATAAGATATCAGAGGAAACTGGAGGAGGTTTAGCTGTTTTGGAGAAGGAAAATGTACAAAAGTGCAGATTATAGCTTGACATTTCTTATCCTATAATGCATGCACATTTGGTGTTTTGTATCCTTCTACATGCAAGTTTAAAACTTTATGCCTAGGAGAGCAAACATAATGCAGCAGAAGGGTCTCTGGACTGTAAGAAGGCCATTTGGCTGGAGTCTATAGCGTAACTGTCTTTCAGCTTTGAGCAAGTCTCTGAACCTCTCTTGGGCCTCGGTAACATAATTTGTAAAATGAGGGAATTTGGAATTGATGATGTCTGCAGTACTTTATAGTGCTTAAAATGAGTTATTTGATAAATATGAGGCATTGGATAGTTGGTCCAGCTTCTTGCTAAAGCTGGGTGTTTTAATACCTAGGAAATAAGAAGACACTCAAGGTGAATGTCCATTCATTCAAAAGATTTCAATCAAACTGTAAAGCCCATGGAATCCAGCTGGATTCCTTATTTATGATGGATTTATACCTTTAAAATATATAAATGTTTCTATGTTTAGCATAGTATACATATAACATGTATATATTTACTTATATATGTTTGTATAATTGTATATATATTTAGATCTTGCCTTCTATTGTTTTTTCTTTCCTTTATAAAACAAATAATTGCATGTTTATGGTAATAAATGGTATAATCATATACTTTAGGTTTACATAAAAGCATATAGTATATAGTTAAGTAATCTGCCATTAATATAGGTGCTGACTGATGCTTGTGAGTATAAATGTTATATTTGAACACAATGAATACTTTGAAATATCAAGGACATAGAAGAAGTATTTGGATGCAAGCAAGAAATATAGGATTGGTGAGCTTTTTGGGTAGCTGTTCTGTGTACTTAACTATAAACACCTCTACTGCTGAATAAGGTTAGTGTAACCCCATACCAGGTGCCCTCTCCTTCCACCATCAAGCACATATTAAGTGAAATTTTTAAACAGTTAAGCAAAACTCATTTTTTTACTTGTAGGGACTGTGCATAGATTAATTTGTTAAATAGCTTTCTTTTCAGATTGTTATTTACTCACATTTTCTTTCTAAAGGAACTGCTCTATGGGGAGAATGAAGATACTATAAAATTATTTAATGTTATTGAACTTCATATTTATAATGTCAATTTACCATGGTCAACATGAATTTATTATTATTGTCACTTGGCATGTGTAACTTTTTGAATGATTTAATAAGCACTTGATAAAGTTTGAGACTTTTTGTTTCCAAAATTGGGTTTGATTTCAGTATAGCCCTAAACAAGAAAAGCTAACACTCCTAGAATAAGGAAATATTAAATATTTAACTTGTTTGAGGTCTTTTTATTCTGTCTGGTAGTCTCAGCTCTCTTTTTTGCTTTTGTCTTCCTTTAGGTATACAAATGCTCTCAGTCCAGCCAGACACCAAGCCGAAAGGTTGTGCTGGCTGCAACCGAAAGATCAAGGACCGGTATCTTCTAAAGGCACTGGACAAATACTGGCATGAAGACTGCCTGAAGTGTGCCTGCTGTGACTGTCGCTTGGGAGAGGTGGGCTCCACCCTGTACACTAAAGCTAATCTTATCCTTTGTCGCAGAGACTATCTGAGGTAGGAATTATCCTTGCACACCAGTGATGACTGGATGCCTTTTAAAGTACTTTTGTAAGTGTATTTTTTGTTTGCTTGTTTCATTTCCTTACTGCCAGCTTATATTCCTGAAAGAAGTTACCTGTCAGCCTTCAAAGCGTTGCCCTGTGTGTGTTACTCAAATTAATGCTTAAGGAATAGCCAACAAACCACAATATTTAAAGTATTTCAATTTGGCTTGCCTGCACACTCAGGCAGTTGGTTATGGCGCTGCCTATGTTGAAACTGCCAGTTAATGTCAAGGATGTATTTGGTCGAAATCAGCATTCAGGTTGATTTACTTATTTTTTCTTTTTTTTCTTTTTTTTTTTTTTTTTTTTTTTTGGAGCTTAAGGGGGAATGGGGGTTGAGCATAACACAAAGAAATTGATCAGCCATTTGGCAAAATATCTTAACTATTTTTAAAAAGTTCAACTTGAAAAAAATGGACTGTGTAAAAGAGTTTAATTGTTGCCTCTAAGTTGGACCTGAATTTAGTCTTCTAAAGTTATTCAGCTGTCTTCTCTGTTTCAGGTGTGTCAGAGGAAGTCAGGTGCAAATCCTTGGTTAATATCTATTAGTGCATTTATTGTAGAGTTTTGAAAACTTTCCCCAAGTGTAGATACATCTTCCTCTCGCCCCACCTCATGACATTCTAAACGGGAATCTCAAAAATACAACTAAGCAATTGAACCGCCTCAGACTTGCCAGTAGTTTTATGGATAATAACAAAGTAAAGACCTCCATCATTATAGGAAAATGACAGCCACTCTCCAACCTGTAAACATCTGAATGCTTTCAGGACAAGGCAGGTGTTCTTGGTTATGGAGCTATGAAGCCTACTAAAGCTTGTTTTCCAGCATTAAGTACTCAACACAGAATTTCTGCTGAAGGAAAATTATTTTGCTTTTCAGGCAACTTTGTGACTTACTTCAGCTGCAAATTACTTATATTAATAAAGTAGGATCTATCAAATTAGAGAAATGATATATGGCATCATTGGGATTTTCATATTTAATACAATTTATCATTTTTCTGGTCTGACATTAAGCGATTTATTTGGAATTTTTTCCCTTATGACAAAATTTATCAATCAATGGTAACTCCTTTAGTACCTTGGTCATTTGATGAGGTGTTTTCTAGGGAATTTGGTCGTTCTTAGTATATAATTCAGCTATTTTCAGTCAGATCCAATCTTTAGATATAAAAATATATCATTTGATTAATGGTAGTTACAAGAGGGTGAAAGCGGTACTGTTTATCAGATTCTACTCCTTCTCGCTCTTAGGACGGCCTCATCTGACAGCCTCCTGACTAATTATGGCCACTTGTTACTACTTCTCTGTGTTCCAAGTGCGTAAAACACATGCAAGGTGCCAACAATGAGAAGTCACTCTCTCCAGCCAGGATTTCCCTCATTGTGTTGGCACAACGAATCAAAATTAATGTACAATGTTCATTTTTTTAGAACTCTCCGGTCTTTGAACTTTCCTCTTTGAAATAAAAATTTCTCTTCTGCCCATTGTGAATTAGAGCCTCATTTCCACATAAAGCATTTGTATTTGCTTTTAGTGATTTAATACTGCTTTTTAGTTTTGCTTTATCTGTACTAACCAATAGTCATAGCTTTTTGACTCCTTTTGACTTTTACATTTGTTTGTAATTTCAGTATCTCAAGTGGATTTATGTTACCATTTCAAATAAGGAGTTTATATAGCCCGGGCAATGTTAAGGTGTTTTAATAAACCAAAGGACAAAAATTAAGTAAACTTGAAAGAATGTCAACTGAAATATCTGGGGTTTTTGAAAACAAAAATAAAAATTTGCCAAGGAAATACCTATATTGTGAGTATAACATGCTTCTTAGCTGTCAACATAGCATCGAGCAAAGACAGTAATCTTAGATTTGTTTTGTTTTCTTTTTCCTTGTGGTAGTAAAAATATATTTGATAGTCTCAAGTGTTTTGCTAAAACGCATTTATCAAAAATAGTTTTCATATCAGAAGTTTTTGTATCTCTATAAGAGTGTATGTGGCTTTTTGTAGAATAACTTTCAGTTACCTCCTGATAGGCTCAAACTTTTAATGGTGGTTAACTTATTAAAAGTATATAATATTCTTTCAAATATAAACCCTGGTCCTGATTGCCAATATATTCATTTCTCAGAGTACGATTTCCGCTTAAATTGGTCATTACCACATTAATGGCCAGTTGTTATGTTAACAGCCTAACGGTTGTTAACATTTCAAACTAAGTTGTTAACAGCAATCTTGTCCCTTATTTAAACTGAAAGTTTGTTGTATATAATGTGACTTATTTGGCAACTTCATCAACACTTAAAATTGCAGAAGTGAAGTGGAGAATTGGTGTGTGTAAAACACTGTGTTACGTGTTATAGATTATGCCGCAGATGTGGTATTTAGTTTTATGTGGAAAGCATGTGTCTCAGTGAAATTGTGTAGATGTTCAACTGCATATGTCTCTGATTGGCAAATTAAAATAGTCTGATTCTGTATGGTAAATCAACAAATATAGTCAAGCAGATTTTATTTACAAATTAATTTCTTTGATTAGATACAAATAGTTGTTCAAAAATGTTTATTAAATGCTTACTGTGTGAGAGGTATGATTTCAGGCAATGGGTGAAATTAGCTAAAGGAAAAAGGAAGGTACACCTAAAGTTGCCACTATCTAATTGTTTATTTAATTACATAGAATCTGTAATATAATCAGTGAACAAGTAATATTCTGTGGTTATTTTCCTGAGCTTTAAAAGTAATTTTTCTCATTTTCCTCCAAATTCAGCATACTTCCATTTTGTATTTTATATAACCAATGTTTAATCACTTAAGTTCTATTTTAAAAGTTGTTTTATTTTTGGCCCTTTGATATTATGTAATTTCTCTGAGGCACCAAACTGAACATAAATAACTTACATATTTATATTTCATGTCTAAATTATTAAGAACATAAGTAAGAATAAGGAAAGTAATAAAATAGTAATTTGCCTGTCCACATATATTGTTGGTTACAAGTATTGTCCTGGGCCAGATAATTTTTTACATACAGTGAAAAGTAAAATATTTTTGCCAATTACATTTAGCTTCTTAATACACTTCTCCCTCCATAAACAGAAAGAAAGAAACACTCCTAATTATGAGCAATGAGACTTAAAGATCTGTGTTTTACTTGTGTTACTTTGAGTAGTGATAATGATGATGTGATTTATAAGTTCTTTGAATGATGATTTGAGATATTAAATAATATGAAAATATAATAATTTAGACTGTAAGATATTTTCTTAAGGGTTATAGAAACTATTATTATGGAAAATTTGATGTCTTTCCATTTTTTTTCTCCTTTATGGCACTAGTAGCTATATTTAAGAGAAAAAGAAAGAAAAATCTTCCATAGTTTGTACACTAAGTATCAAATCTTAACAGTGGAATTTTTCACTTTCCAGAACTGGACTGGCATATCATTCATTTAGCTGTGGAACATAAAATGTACATATCTGATGAGACAGAATTTGCCCATTTGTGGGATTGCTTTCCTCCTTTGGAAACTCATTAGCTAAAGAAAGAGAAGGACTGACTTTTTAAAACTTCCTCTAACATGTTTCTGACTGAAATTATGAAATCTACCCAGTCAATATTTATATGCCAGGCAGACCAAGAAATGTATCTGTTAAAAATCTATCCAATGCATTTATAATTATTTTTATTTTTTTGAAGAGTAACTTATGACAAATTAGATATAGAAACATCTTTGTACTTTAAGTTGGAGCTTAAAATTGATATTGTCTAAAGTAGATTAAAAATGACTGTGTAAAAATAGCAAAGTTGTAGTGATAATGTTTAAGGTACTCATCACTGCGATCTATCCGCCTTATTTCAGTTTGAAAAAATATGAATAAAGTAGCCAGCCAGTGCATAATCAGAGTCTTAGAATTAGGAATTCTACATGCTTTTATTTAATGTTTTGCAGCAAGCATTAAATAGAACTAGGAGAAATACCAAAATACTTTCTTTTTCAACTTGAAGGCAATAAAGGATGTCAGAATGTAACTGGAACTCAACTTCTGGGCAATTTTTTTGTTGTTCTTTCTTTGAACCTGCAACTTTTTGTGACGTACTTTAAGCATTAAGTCTATATAGGCTGTATGTATCTTGTATCTCTATGAATGATATCTTGCCAGAGTTTATTCAAAGCTGTTTGCTGTGGTATGTGCCATGGAAGCTGCTTATAGCTTTTCCTATATAAGAAGCTGTAAAATGTCTTATATAAAATTTAATGCAATTTGCTATTTTTATACGTGAGGATGATTTGTTTAAAATGAAACTACTGGGAAAGAGTGATGCTTCATGCTTCACCATAGTTGCTAATTAACTAAAATGATTTGAAGCTTGCTATGCTGACTACAAATTTTATAGGCTTTAATATAATAATATAATAACTCTAAAAGAGAAAATAAAAATAAATTGCCACATAGGGCATAAATCTAGCTGTAACTTTATCTCACGCTGATCAAACCTGGTGCTTCTAAATTTTTATGTAAGGTCAGCTTTATATTGGTACATAATTATAAGTGTAAAGGTAAATAGGAATATGTTGTTAATATTATTTTATCTGGCAATTTATAGCACAGATGCTTTTTTAATGTTGATACAATATTCATTCTTTTTTCTTTCATTGTCATCTTTTTAATAATCATTTGGAAGTATTTTTCCAGGAAAGCAATGTATTCTTATTATTTGAAAAACCACTTTTTACTGTTCTAAATTCTGAAAGCATAAACTTTTATATGAAATGGAACTCTACAAATAAGCTTTATTTCTATAAGCTTCATTTGAGCTTTTAAACACCATATTATTGTCATAATTTTTATGTTTGAATGTCTAAGTTAATTTTAGTATTATGAAATATTTTGACATGAGCATATTGAACTCCATATCTGTTACAAAAATACTGTTATATTCCTTAAAAATTATCTTATTTGCAGCTTTATAAAAAGTTACAATTTTAAGATCATTTTTCCCTTTATTGTAGAAGAAGCATTATTGAATTCTGTTTTAAATATTTTAGCGTTTATACTACCCTGAACCAATACAAATTAGGAGTGATAATTTTTTTGGATAATTCTTCAGAAGAGTGCCCCTCATTCTGGAAAATAGTAGGTGAATTCACATTAGACTTCCTGAGCAAAAACTGCCCCCAAACAACTTCTATTAAAAATATTTACTGCACATACAGAATTTCTTCTCATTGGTAAATTTATCTGCAATATCTTTCTATCTTTAATTCTATAATGCATTCATTTTCAGTAAATGAGTATTTACCAATAATATAATTATTTTACTTTTGTGGCTTTTTGTTTTAGTTTGTTTTGTAGACTTGAGATAGTTTCACTGGAAATTTCACGACCCCCCAGAGTATTAAAAATATTTTATAATGTTTCTGTATCTTTATAGTTTTTTATCTTTTAATAAGTATGAAATACTTCAGTCAGGATAGTTTTTACATGTAAGATGGATAAGTTAGACATACCTGACTTAGCAGAAAAATATTCTGTTTCTACAAGTGTATTTAGGATTAAATGCATCTGGAAAACCTACATTTGAGAATTGCTAAAATTGCTTATTTTGCACTTTATAAATACATAGAATTCTGGGAAATAATTTCTATTTTTGGTTGCTCTTAGACTATATCAAAGTAAGCCAGCACTTCATTTATAAACTCACCATTAACTTCCATTAAGTGACTAATAATAAATTTTAATGGTGTGTTTTGACTACATAAACATAATTTGTTAAGCAATCTCATTTTTAAAATATGCTGAAAGTAGTAATTTTGTAAATGGTTTTGATGAATATATAAATTGTAGAAATGTATTATGTAGTTCCATTTTCTGCCTCACATAAAAATGAAATAGCCTAAAAAAAGAATTGCACCAACCTAAATGACCGTTGTATTTCCCTTCATTACACTGTGGGGCACTGAAGTCTTATTTTGGTATTTGGTTTGAAAACATTTTTCCAACTCGTATGAGAATGTCTTCTATTATTCAAAGCCATGTACTGCATCCTCATCCTATCTTCTGAAAAAATTAGCCAATGTTTCTCACTTTTATCAATAAAAAATACAATATATGAAGTGTAAATGCTGGACAAGATCTGGAAAACAAAGGGAATAAAAATAAAAATAGCAATACTCTGTTCAATTTGCTAGGTATTTTTATAAAACTCCATTTGTATTAGCCATGTCTCTATAAATGGCCTTTTTCTTTCTTTTTTATTTTTTAGTTTAATTGGCTTATAAAAATTGGTTTGTGTATATGATTACTTCTGCTGACACATGGCACTTCCTCTTGTTAAGCATTTGAAGAGGTGTGGATCTATATACATACATGCTGCACATACAGAGATTGGAATCTGTGTAACCTTAGAATGGCCATTACCTTTTGTCATCATTGACTTTAGCCAACAAATCACCATAGCTTGGTAAGCTTTAAAACTTGTAAAATTCAAACACCTGACGCCAGCTAATTCGTTAATATTGCAAACTATAGCACTCATCTATTCTTACAGGATATTAATCAGTCTAACATGTAGGACAACTTTTATAAAACTACAGAATGCCTAAATTTATTTCCTTGTGATTTTAAATATCTAATTCTGTTTTTCTTAGCTCCGAGGGAGTTTGATACTGCCTGTTCTAGTTCTGTTTTTACTATGATAATATACTTGTTTTGATGATTAACCATGTATTTCCCTTTTCAAGGTGCTTACACGAAGCTTATTTTGAAGTGGAAGTTTATACTGTGAAGCAAGAAATGTGGCATTTAGCTTTTCATTTCTAACTTTAAAACAATTCCTTTGGCTTATGCCTTTCCCCCCTTTATTATCAGTATTAATGGATAACTTTCTCTAAAGGAATTAGGACCTAAGCATATCCTCTTATTATAGAAGCCAAACGTTTTCTATCTTCACAAACTAACTACATCAGCCAACTGTGCATTTGCTTGTGCCATTTTTTGCTTCTGTGCTGTATTATGAAATCTTCTTGATAAACCTTTTTCTTCTCAACAGTATTTTTGTAGTTATGTAATGATTCTCTTTTCGCCGAATTCCTTTGCGCTATCATGTTAGTGTTTTCTGATGCAAAAATCTCTAGTTGTGGGCTTTACAAGTTTAAAATGAAATCACACTTGAGATGAATAATCATCTTGGAATAGTCAAATCCCTGATTTGAAGGTGGAAAATTAACATTAAGCTGCATGTATTAAGTTAGACTCTAATCAGCATGTGTTGTTATGATTCAATTTAATATTAAAACTCTCCAACTGGGCTACTGGGAAAATAAAAGACTCTTAGGAATTGAAAGAGTATTTGCAGAAGAGCACACCAAAGCAATATTTAAGTAAAATTGTTATCACTAATGCAGTGAAGCATCGTCCACATTAAACCCAAGCTATTAATAAAAAGAGAAAATCAATTTTAGTAAACATAAATATCAGATATGACAAGGACTAGTAAGCAGGCATGGAACTTCATAAAATGTGCTAATCCTAATGTTTAACAGTAATCCAGATACCACAGAGAAAAAATAAATTCCTGTCTCATTTATGCTGTGGGATCCCAACAAGCAACAAGAGGGAAAAGCTAATTTTAGATGTCATTACTTTACTCCTAGTTTCTAAAACTTTTAGAACAATGTTATGTTTTTATTTTAGCAGTTCTAACAGAGATGTTTATTTACCTGTTTTTGAAATTATTTTATTCTTTTTGTTTTTAAAAGATTTTGAAATCTCTTTAGTAATTATTTTTAATGTTTTTTAATTTTCCATCTCTAGGATAGTGTTTTTTGACATACTGCTCACATTTCACCAAAAAATAGAAGAATCAAGACTGTTACATTTTAAAATACCTTACAACATTAAGCATACCACTTATTTTTTGTTTATTAGCTGCTCAATAAAAATATATTCTTACCAATATCTATGTATAAAGTTGGTAACATGAGTGGATCAGTACCTGTTCCTTTACCTGGGTGGGTAGGAGTAAGGGAAGTGGATGGAAAAAGCAGTTGTAACTTCATGCAAGTATTAGTTTCCATGAGCAGGTTATTTGCATTTTACAGGTGAGATGCTCACTTATACTGTGAATGTAATTTTAGAGTCTATAAATATTGCATGTGAATATCCACTGAGGAACATTTGCACTTTGGGAGATACAAAGAAATTATAAGTAATTGCCTTCAAATTTATAAGCCAGTATTTTCTGTGACCATTTATTAGGAAAAATATTAGAAAGTTCCTGAGCTAGAAGAATCTCTTCTTTCACGGTGCAACCCTTGCTGAGAGGCAGGATTGGGGTTTGTGTTTATGATTACTTGCTTTGCTATCTCTTTAAAAGTTCTACAATGAAACCATTTAGTCACTTGACAAATATTTGAGTGCCAATACTTCGTTCTTATAAATAATGAATGTGAAATACTACATTTCTAATTAATTTTGTATAATATATAAAGTACAAAGTTATACATACTTTCTTTTGTGAAGAATAAGCTATCCAGTCTGGGAAAATTGGAAAGAACTTAAGAGCAAGTTATTTTTCAAATTTTCTACACCTGATAAACATAGTCACTATTATTGTCAAATAACTAAGTAGAATATATAAAGAGTTTCACTCCAATTAAGTCCCATGGAACCAATATAGAGAATGACAAGAGGTATGATCAGGAGAGATTAGAAAATATTCTGAAGCAGGGAGGTTATAAAGTATCTGGACTTCATAAAAATTATTTCATAAGCCAGTGGTCCTCTTATGAAAGCTGAGCTTTGAGCTTCACGGGTTATATTTTGGGTGCAGAGCAAGACAGACTTAGCTTGTAACTTTCATGCTATTTGTATTGTTCCATCTCTTATCACAGATATCAGTAAGTTATCAATAATTGACACCCCTTGCAAAATGCTTATCTTTCCTTGTACAATTGATACCTCTTGCAAAACAATCATCCCCATTCCCATTTTTTCATTCAATAAATGTGATCATTCTGTATATTCTAGGTACTGTAAAAGGCCTTGACATAAGCACTAAATAAAACACAAAAATACCTGCTCCCCTTGTAGAGTTTATATTCTACTTAGGGGAAATAGGTAATCAACAAAATAAGTATAGGGCATGAGGAGATGATAAACACAATGAGGAGAAAATGAAGCAGTACAAGAGGTTTGTAGAATTTTGGTTTGTGTGGAGGGGGTGCAGACAGCCTCACTGAGACGGTGACTTGAGTAATGACCTGATGAAAGTGAAGGAGCTAGCCATGATCACGTATGGGAAGGACATTCTGGGCTCAGGAACATCCAGTACAAAGGCCCTGAGGTGGGAGTTTTTCTCATATGTTTGAAGGACATCACAGATACTAGTGCAGCTGGGGTGTGGGAGAGCAGGAGGGGCAAGAATAAGGGGTAGTCACTGTGTAGGTCTATGGTACCACCTATCACTGTTGCAACAAACAATGCCCCGTATACATTTCTAAATGTCCCCTAGAAAAGTGATAATACTTCAATTTGAAAACCATTGTAAAGCTTATTCAGTGAGGCAGTTGTGAAATCAATTTCATTTGGGATTATAGAATTCATCTGCTGAATTGAATGAGATTATTTTTCATTTATTTACTGGAAGTTTTTTTGGATGTCTTTTTATTTGGCCCCATTGATGACCCTGTGTGATTAAGTAATAGTTGTGAAATATGAATTTGAAAATAGGCTTCTGGATTTGGTCACGTGATGATCTGTTGCCAATCTAAGGGGGATGATATAGTCGCATGTTTGATTTTAAAGTGATGCATCTACATTCGTCTATTAATATGGCAAATGGAATATCTATACATCATAGTATTTCAATGTGAAATTCAAGGAAATGCCTATATTGATGAGCTAGGACTGCCAACACAGCATTTATGAGAGTAAGATCTTGACCAAAGATGTCATCAAACTGTCCTGATCACAATGATACCGATTTTTTTTTTTAATTCTTAGGTAATACAAATTGCAAAGATGTGGATTTTTCAAAGGCCATTAATTTTCTACTCTTGAAGTCCGCTATTCTAGGTCTGAGGGGTGATATTCTTGTATTTTTTTCACTTTTTAAAGTCAAGCCAAGCCCTATTTAATTATCTTATAGTTACAAAACATGTAAAATAATATATTTGCTCTAGTTATGATAAATGTTTCTAAATCCAGCACTTAGAGAAGATACATTAAGGACATATTGTTATTTAAAACAATTTCGTGAATTACATTCTTGATGAGACAAATGTTACATGAGAGTTTGTTTATGCTTATATTTCTCACCACTAACCTAACCCACTAACCTTAATCCTAGCTCACTAATGTTAGTTTTGCTTCAAGAAGAGCTAAGCATAATCCTCAAAGCCAAAAGTTAAATATTAATTTCTATTTATAACAGTGGGATTTGTATGTACAAAGTGTCTTTTAAAAATGTTTAAGTTTAAACTTTGGGTACAAATCAAAGTTCTCGAGCTTGCATGTATATTTATAAAATGGGCTGGGATATCTTCATGCATACTTGGCTAAGAAGCTATGCAAATGTGCTTTGAATCTTATAAGGAGGTACAGGATGAATGGGTGGGCTTTCAAAAACGGTGGCATTTATACTTCATGCACAAAAAAATCCAACACATACTTCCCAGAAAGCTAGACGGAGACAGTAGCCAGAGAGCTTTACGAGGCTTAATTCCTACTGTGGTCTGCATCTTGGGGGCTTTTTTCTGTTACAATTTCTAACAGTCCCCCTCTGTTCTTCCTGGCAGATGCTTTTCTTGTCCAGATTGAGTTGAGGAACCTATATTCCTAATCACTTGGTGATCCTCGTCTTCCAAGGCAGATCAATTTGAGCTTGATCTTAAAGAAAAGTTGCTTGATCTTGACCTGATAGTTTGCTTGGTGTTTAAATAATCTGAAATAATCTTGTCAGTGATAGTTATTAAACAAACCACTGTCTTTATAATAGAGATGATGTGCTTATTTGATTAAATATGTTACATTCCTTGTCTTCTTGGTTAGCTCTTGACTTCTGCAGCAACCTAAAAAAGACATAATTTTTCAGGAGATTTTAAATTAATTTTTCTTAAATTTTTCCTTCCTAATTTATACGGAGGCTTTCATCTGCACTACGACCTAATTTTTTACTGTGAAGTCACAAGTAAAAGTAAAGCCACAAGCTTATACTGCACTCATAGTAATATGTACAGTATATTTTAAATGTCTCATCATGTGTTTCTCATTATTCTACTACATTAGGTATTGCCCCTTCTCCATCAATGATCATCAGTGGCAGATAACTTATGTATTCCTATTAGGATGCATTCATCTACTGTTGTTATAATCTTCTGTGAATATCACTTCATTAAAAAATAAAAAGTTACATGAGTTCTTGTCACTTCCCTAAAATCTTCCAAACTGGGTGAGGTTACATCTAATTCGTAGATCTTAGAGGCATGTCAGGTTGCATCACGGTGAGGTATCCAGACCTGACGTCGACCCCCTTCTGCTACACCCCAGCTTCACATTCCTAGGCAACTTACTCAACCTCTCCAAGTCTGCGTTTTCTTCTCTAGAAATAGGAATCCTATTCATAAAATAGTTAGGGGTGACAGTGGACCACAGTAGGGAAAGAGCGGTACACATTGGCTGATACTCCTCCAATGTCAGCTTCTGTTGTTATGAAGGGAGAATGGCACTGAGTTATGAAGATAAGATAAGGGAGAAATTAAACATGAGGAGAAGATTGAAGAAGAGGTTTAAGAGTGATTAATAATGAAGAATATGAAAGGCTACTAGTATAATGAGGTCGTTTACCAACTTTTCGTGTGCAAAGGAGATGGGTGGAGAAATGTCTAAATATGTGCACTTTAGGCTGTATGGAAAAAATATCTCAACACTGGAGATTATTGGAATTTGGAATGGATTGTTAAATTAAGATTGTAGTGTGCTTTATATAAATTAGGATGAATTTGGATCTTTGGGAGAATTACTGAAAATTCTATTTCCTTTGTAACTGAGGTGATAGTTTTCTAAAATACCTTATATATCCATGCTCTCCCTGTTTTACCTTATAAAAGTTCTATGGCCTTGTAAAGCATTATATTTAATATTCCATAGAGTAGAATTATATTATAAAATTTTAGGTTGTTTTAGGTTTTCTTTATAGTGTTGATTTTGCATCTTTTTCTCAGGTGGCAAGGAAATTGAATACCAACTTTTTTACTCACATTATTTTTCACAGTGTTCTTTAAACAATTTGATTATATATCTTTATTCTTAAAGAAATTTGAGTGCACACCTTCAATTTGTATATTTGTATATATTTATAAATTGTAAATACTTTATTATACATTTTAAAAATTATGAAAACAATGTTTAAAGGAAAAAGTAGAAAATGCATGGAAATGCTAATAATTTTTTAAGCATTTCTTGGAGTATTGCACCTTAAATTTGGAGAGCACTATGTCTTAGTAGCTTTTTATGTTTAATTGAAAGTTGTTTGATAAAGATACTTGTGAATAAAAGGGGGAAAATACCAAAGCTTGGGAAAGAAGTCGTAAGAGAAAGACAGGGTAATTATCTGAAAGAAAGGGACTTTTTAAGCATGAATTAATATTCCTTGTTTTGTTCATTTAAAATTAAATCAAGGTTTTCTTTCATGAGAAATGTAGCAATGCTTGTGGACTTTTTCTAACACTATACCATAGCTACTGGCAGCATTAATATGAGACAAGGTTCCTCTCCCTCCCCCTGAAACCCCCCATTCAGGACACAGTGAGATTTTTAGACAGATAAATGCTAAGAGAACCCTGTGTACCAAAGGCAGTGTTTACTGCATGTAATACATATCATTGTTTGTCTCCTGTAGTGAAAAATACTTGTGTCGTGCTGTTAAAATGCACTCCTGACAGACCAGTGCTTGCTATTATAGGGTCCATTGCTTAAAAAAATGATACACTGACAGAAATACAATTTAAGAAAATTTAACACCAAGGGTAGTCAACCATGTAGGCTACTATTAAGGGGCCAAAACTCAAGGCCAGGGGTTTATTTAAAAAAGAGGCACAGTTTATTTGCTAGTAGTAGGCAAAGTAAAAGAAAAAAAAATCGAACTTGAATTCCTTGCTCTCTAGTCTGTAGAAAATTAATGAAAGCAACAGTTCAATAAGATTTTATTGCAGAAATGTTTAAGTGAAACGTTTTAAGAATGCTTTGGAATTTTTAAACAGTTACTTACCATTTAGAAAGCTGTAACACTGCAGTGCGTAACAAATTGTTAGCATTGGATCCTAGGCACACCCAGTGATTTTCTTAAAATGGATAGTCAGAGCTGTTTAATCTGAATCACTTTGTTCATTTCATTTTCGTGTGTGTAGCTTATGAATATATTTGAGATTGACAGGTCAGCAGCACCCACAATTGCTATAATTTAAAATGTAAGCCATTGTCCAAGTACCCTTGTGGGCATAGTTTGGTAGTTAAATGCATTAGATTTGTAACAAGACCTTTTGAGAAGGAAAATAACCAAATATGAGATGTGACGAGATATGTTGGATTTTTAGAGGAGTACAGAATGTTCTAATGAATAAACTGCTACTGAATGATGATAAAGCATGTGTTTTTAAGCTATCACATGACTCTATTATTAGAGGGGAGAATTCCATGAATTTAGATGAGACGTATTGTCTAATTTTACCATTTTAAAAACAAATCTGTCATCCAGTAATATTTGATGCCAACTGTGTATGGCTTACATGTTCCTTTGGGAGAAAGGTTACAAAAGTAATGCAATAAATAATCTGAGCCACAGGAGCTTAGCTCAAGTACCAGAGAAATGGAAAAAAACATCATCTACTGCAATGGGGGGTCAAAAGATGTGTATCTTGAAATCTCTACCCCGACGGTATAGCCTTATTGCCACATCCTAGGACAGGCTTTGGGAGACAAGTGGTCCTGCCAAGAAAGGACGTCCAAAGATGAAATGCAGTGTCTTTGCATATGTCCTCCAGAATTCAGTTGGCCTGAATCTGACAATATTATACAACAGATTTTTTTCTGTGGACGTAGAAGATAATGCTTAGCGTGAGATTTGTCCAGACACATTGTCCAGGGCCTCTGTGACTCAGCTGTGTGTTGGAGGAGAACCAGAAAGCCTTGCTGGGGAAGATTAGGATCCTCCGCTCTCCTTGCCACAGCCATGCAGTGGTTCTCCATTCATGCACGTGTTTTAGTTGTTTCTTAGTTGTTCCGTATGTGGACTTCATCGTATCATGACATCTTAACACTCTGTGTTCTTGCCAGAGATTACAACTTCAAATGCTGCTTTTCCATTCTTATGTTTTAAGAAGTCATCTGAAGGAAATAGTATTTATGGCAGATTACCTGAAAAACTGGATGTTGAATTATTCCTTGTGATGGTTTTTAATTTATCCTTCCCTGTGTCTTTGATCTTGACCCCTATTGTTTTGGCCCCTCAAAAATTTTTATGGAATTGTACATCAAGGTTTTGCTGTTTTCCTGTGTTGAAGATTTTCATTAACAGCTGCAAAAACATCAGTGTCCTAAGGATGCTATTGGGGACTTTGTTTACTGTATCACACAATGTCCTACCGCCTCACTGGTGAAATGTCGCCCAGATCTTAGGATAAGCAAGATTTCTGAGACTATAAATGACTAAATGATGTTTTACTTGGGCCTGTGAATCATATACATGTTGACATTTTCCCTCTTTTCTTTGTTTCCTGGGAAGCCCAGATCAAATTTACTTTCTAACAATTGTTTAGAAGTATATATGTTAATTGATTCTCCAGCCTTTTGTAATTTCTCACCCATATTTTCCTTTCTATTATTATATTTGGAGCTGCTTACATCACCTGAGGATTAGTTTTGACATCATTCAAATGAAATCACTTAAATAATTGGAATGGGTGGACTTCAACGGAAAGAAAATACAGGTGGGAACATAGGGCCTGATGCATGAGAGATGCTCAGATAGCTGAGTGAGAGGAATTTAGGAAAGGGGAGATTGTGATGAAATTAGTTTTCTAATCTGCAATTATATGTAAAATTAGGTGAATTTGAATAATATTTGGGAACAATATTTGAAACAACATTTATGCTCACTGTGTAGGATGAAGATGGTAGCAAAAATAACCTTTAATATAGGTTAATATTAATCTTTGTGGCCAAGTGATTGTTTAACATAAAGTTAATCCACTTTTTAAAAATATATACACAAATATGCAAATCCTTTTTCTTGAAGCAGTAATCAATAACTTGTTTTCTACCATGATACTTGAATGTAAATAAAATAGGCTGAATTATTTATCTTGCCAAGGGCTAAGACGGGAATTACAAACTCAATTGCCTCCAGGTTCCGGAGTCTGGAAGGAAAAATAACGTTGTGAACTGGGGCTTGCATGCGCCACCCAAAGGGGGAAGCCATGACTTAATTCCAGCACACTGTACGAATGTGGGCCTAATGTTGCTGATTTTTCTGGATAAACCAGATATTTTTTCTAGATATTTCAGTAAAATCTCTTGTATATAAGACATTGGCAACTAACTCTAATGTGGCACACAGCTACTAGTATGTAACTTTTTGGTCAGAATCATAAAATTCTGGTTTCAGATAACTGATCAGGCCCTTTAATGTGTACAGTTCGCTAAGGTGTTTGAAAATATTTCCTCGCATCCTGAATTCTTGAAGAGAGGATCAGAGCCCTTCATCCAATGTATACCAGTTACACTCCTGCTTCAGAAATCTCCTGGGAGCTTTCAGCCTAACAAGGAGTCTTGGCACTGCTTTGTGAGGCGAGAAGCAGCCCGTCCTGATAAAAGAAATCTCTTGCTGTTTCTTGAACTTCATGGCAGCCATTGCAATATGTTTGGACTTAAGTGGGATATTTTCTGGGACCCTCACTGTGCCAAAGCTAAGACATCTGAGGCCATCCACCTCTAAACAGGCCTCTTACCCCCCCCACTCCTCCACTTGCCAATGTTAATCTAAAACGTCTCTTGTTTCCATTCCTTTCCTCATTCTCTGTATATTTCTGCTGTTACGTTCACTCAACACTTTTCCACTGGGTCCTCCAGAAACCTCATGTCCTTGTCAATAACTTTTGCTGTGTCCACAATCTTTTGGCCAGATGCCTTTCCCATCAAAATATTGTTTTAACTGAATTTCATCTGTTGCCTTACCTGAAACTTGCCTCTCCTTTAAGGAGGCAACTTTTCTTTCAGCTGTCAACAGGTGCAAGGTACTACTTACTCATGTAAATCCCACATTCCATGAAGCCAAGAGGAGAAACTGGCAATCTTAGATACACATAACTCTCCCCACTCACTACTAAAAAATGCATCCTCCAACAAAACTCGTACATCTAATTATACTACCTTTTACCCCTACTCACTGCTGTCATTTCCCTCTTACCACAATTCTAGGGATTCTAAAAGGCTTAGAGATGACTCACTTGAAACCAAGCCCTAACTTGTTGAGCCTCCTTGACCCTACTGAACATCAGCCTGCCATCCCAGAATTATATACAGTGTCTTTTCCTTATGGAAAAGTATTTCATCTCAGGAATCTTAAACTCCACACTGTAGTCCTGTTTCACTTGTAATAGCACTGATCTTTGATTTCAGACATTCAGCTCTCCTGTCATGTCTCTTTCTCCTAATTTGGTCAAACCTTTAAGACTTCTATCTTTCCTGCCCACTATGAACCCAACTGTCAATCAGGCAAGTCCCCTTCACTTCCATCTTCTGTGTCTCCTCCCATGCCTGTGCTAGCTCAATTTTCACCACTGCTCCAGTCTAACAAATTGCCATGGGTATGCTACCCTTTTTCAATCCATTCCTACAGTGTGGTTAAGCATTGCTAGAAACAAGCAAATAACATACAGATTGATATTCCCTGATGTTTTTTATCAGGTTTGATATAAATCAGCCTCTTACATTTTATCTGCTTTTCCATTTATCTTTAATTTCTTTTATCCCATCTATGGGAATGAGGTCTTCCTATTCCTTCTAAGGCCAATTTTATGTCCTTGGCTCCATTCCCTCCAGTATTCTGTGTGTCTTCATTTTATGAGGTAACTTGTTTTTCTTCAGTCTTTAGTATCTTCTTTTCTACAATTACTTGACTGTCAACATATGGCTGTACCCAAGATTTTTCTGTTCTGTAAAAAGATGCTTTATCCCTCAAATTTATGTTACTGTTATCAATTCCCCTATTGTCTAATTTTTTTAAAAAAAAAGAACAGTCTGTTGTTGTCATCCATACTCCCTCAACCTCCTTTGCACTCCTTACCCACTTGTGATCTGGCTTCTGTCTCTCACCACTCTGCTGATACTGCTGTTACTGACATCCAATTGCTAAAGCCAATGGGCATTTTATCCGGGATCATCTTACAGTCTCTCTTCTCTTTTAATAGTGTTGATCATTTATTCTCTTTAAAAGCTTTCTACTGTCTTGGATGCCATGACCCTACAGTTTAGATTTTTTTTTTTTTTTTTTTTGAGGCGGAGTCTCGCACTGTCACCCAGGCTAGAGTGCAGTGGAGTGATCTCAGCTCACTACAACCTCTGCCTCCCAGCTTCAAGAGATTTTCCTGCATTAGCCTCCTGAGTAGCTGGGATTACAGGTGCATGCCACCACTCCCGGCTAATTTTTTTATTTTAGTAGAGACGGGGTTTCGCCATGTTGGCCAGGCTGGTCTCGAACTCCTGACCTCAGGTGATCCACTCAATTTGGCCTCCCAAAGTGCTGGGATTACAGGCATGGGCCACCGTGCCCGGCCTAGTTCTGATTCTTTTCTGGGCGTCTCATCCCAATCAGATACTTAAAAGAGTGAGGGACCGTACCTAGGAACGGTGATCTTGTTGTGGTATACTTATTTTTCCTAGGAGATGTTATTTGTCCTCATGGTTTCAATCCCTCCTCTTATTGTGATGGCTCAATCTCTACCCGTAGCCCATTACTCTCCAACAAGCTTAAGCAATGTATATCTAGCCACTTCCATAGTATCCACAATTAAGTGTTACACAGGAAGCTTAAGTTCAAAATATGTAAAGCAGCTTATGCAAAACTAACATAACTCTAATACAGTACCTTGACCTGATAAAGACAATATAAAATATAAAACACTAATGCTATTTTTGCATACAGATACAAAAACTTGAAAGATATTAGCAAATAGTCTGTCACTGTCTAAAATGAATAATACTATAGGAACAGGTAAGATGTTTTCTAGAATTCAGAGAATGAACACCAGGACATATCTCAATCTAATTCATTGTATTATCAAACTGGAGGAAGAAACACCATAGTTATGGCAGTCTGTACCAAAAAGGCAATTGATAAAATTCAGCCATTTCAAAACTTCCAAATAAAGAGAAACAGGAAGAAACCAGTTAAATATGATTAAGAAAATTTACTGAAACCTAACTGCAAATTTATAAAACAGCTAAATACTAAAGTAATTTCCATTAAAGCCAAGAAAAAGCCAGGGATACTCATTATTGTCCCTCATATTTAATGTTTTAAAGGGTCTAGCCAATGTAATAAGATAAGAAAACGAAGTAAATAAATATAAATAGTAAAAAAGATAATTATTTTATCTGCAGAAAATCGAGAAAACTCAAGAAATAGGTACATTTAGCATAGCAGCTAAATAAAAAAGTAAATCAAATTTATAGTTTTATTCTATGCCAAAAATAGCTTGTTAGGAATATAAAAGAAATTAATAAAGAGTAGTAATACAATTATTAAAATATATATGCTTTAGAGTTCAGCATTCATATGAAGAAATCTTTTTAAAGGAAAACTCTGCTGAAAAAAAAGTCCTCTATTTTTCTGTTCTTCCCTGCTAGATAAGTATCACAGAAAAATCTCAATGAGACTGATGGTAAGCCTGTTATAATAGCAATGGAATTTTGAGTGTTTGTTTTAACATTGTGAAAGAAAGTCAACAGAATGAAACTCAGATCATGGCAAATATTTCTTGAGGATTTACTCTATAATGGGTAGTGTTATAGGAACTGAGGCTCCAGCAGTTAAAAAAATGGACAGAAATATTTGCCTTTATGTATCTTATATTTTAGTATTATTTTTCAGGTATTCTCAATGAGTTATATATGTGCTAAGTGCTGTACAGATGTAATCTCCTCTAGCCCTTGGGAACTACAGTATTATTAAACCCATTTTAGAGAAGAAGGCACTGAGGCTGAGGGTAATTAAGTCATTTAGTCAAAGTTCCCAAGGTGCAAGTGATGGAGCTAGGATTCAAATCCAGACAGTGTGACTGACTCCAGAACCCATCCTTATGAGCTGTACTCTAGTGTTTAGTGACTGAGGACATGGCTTCAGGGACTTACTCCGAGGTCCCCATAAATTGATCCTGTCATCTGTAATTGAATTTTCAATCATTCAAACTCAAGCACTGATGAACTTCCTTTGTTTCTCTCCAGATAACCAATGGTTTTCTTGTACCTAACTATTTACAATGTTGATTAATTGTAGATTAGAAAAAAATTTGTTAGTGGCTGCAATTTCATCAAAACATTAGTTATAAAATAGCACAACAAACATAAACTTGAGGGATGACTGAATGTCTGTGTTGTATATAGCATGTCCAATACACAGTATACTTATTCATAATAGATTTAAAACAAATAAGGTGTTAACAGTGGTCAATTCTGTTTCTTTGTATAATTAATAAAAGCTTTTATTGCAAAGCAACTATAAGAACATCGTGAAAAATTTAACAATAGAGATTAGCAAAAATGCAGTAACAAAATCACCATGATTCTACCAGAACCTACTAATGTTTGCTCTAATTATTCATCATTCCAAATCTTTTTCTACCTGTATTTATGCACATGTATGTATTTTTTATCAAATTGAGATTGTATTTACATTCTGTTTTGTAACCTAATTTTTTAGACTATGATCTACATTTTTCCATGCTAGTGAAATTTTATATAATCTACTACCTGATCCTTGTTCAGATTTCTCTAGTTGTCCCCAGAAAAGTCCTCCAAAGGTTTTCCAAATCAAGATCCAATCCAAGATTTCACTTTACATCTGATGGTCATGTCTATGAAGTTTCTCTTAATCTTGAACATTGTCATTTTCATGACATTCACTTATTAAAGAGACCATAGAAGTGGTCCTCTAAAATTTTTCACCTACTTCATTTGGTTGGTTGCATCCTTGTGGTGTCTTTGCTCTTGATCCTTCTATTCCTAGTGCTCCCAGTAAAACAGAAGTTGCTTTAAACATTGACAAAATTCAGATATTGCCAGAAGCAGTGGCATGCACCTGTAGTCTAAGCTACTAGGGAGATTGAGGTGGGAGGACCACTTGAGCCCAGGAGTTGGAGGCCAGCCTGGGCAACATAGAGAGATCCCATCTCTATTAAAAAATAAAAATAACGTAGGTGTATATTTTGTTTTAGAATACATGATAAATGATATCATATTGTATAATATCAGGAAATACATAATATCTGTTATCTCACTATTTGTGACACTTAAATTGATCATGAGATGATAAACTGATCCTGCTTTTGTACAGTTACACCTTTCTCATTGTGACCAGAAAGCACCCTGTGCAACATTACTTAAATACCAACAGATACCTGGTTCTCTGTTGGCAATTAAACCTAGTGGGTATAAATAACAATGGATAATCATTATCTAAATCAGTACAGGTTGAAAAATTAGATTGTCATCCTATCACTTCTACATTTATAAGCTGGTATTTTTCTGTAAAGTATCGCATTCACTCGGCCACTGAATCTATTGGTCATTCTGAAATGCTATTTCTACTGGAAAAACAAGATAAAAATTTTCTGAATTCTTACTGAGTGCCTAGTAGGCTAGGTGGGGTTGAGAGAGAAGAGGCAGCCTCAGCCTTCCTACTGAGTAAGACTTCAACTAAAGGATTCCACCAACGTGATCTTTCTTTACTTAGAGCCATTACCCTGGCTAAGATTCTAAAATCTTTTTTTCAAATTATTAGGCCATAATGCCGACAAATAAGAAGCAAGGGAACTATTCACTTATACATCTGCGTTGGCTTTTAAGCTACTGATATACCATCACCAAATTGTTAGTCAATTAAATGTAAACTTGGAAGGTTATGTAAATCCTACCAAAAAAATTGTTTCTCATCAGTGGCATCAGGCACATTTGATTTTACTTCTTTTCTGAGGCTCACCAAAGACCTCCTTGTGAAACACAGCTATTGTTTTTCTGGTAATAATTATCTGAACAAATTTGGACAATTCTTGTTCTTGGTTTCCTAATTCTATTGGAAAACAGCCAAACCATTTAATGACGGTTACCCTAAATATCTAAATTATGTGTATCTAAGGGAATATATATATACAATTTAATGCTAGAAGAGAAAACATGTTGTTCTCTTCAAAAAAAAATCCCTGTGGAAGTTTATGACCTTTATAATCAGTGCCTTTTTAAAAAACTAAGCTCTAGAGAGTGTTTGGGTTGGAAAAGGTCACCTATTTGCAATGATACAGTCTGTCAAGAGTGTGTACAAATGTAATATACTAGACCTTAACAATGCAATATACTTCATTAGAATAAAGAACTTTTTCTTTTCTTTTTATTTCAAGTGAGACTTTGTTAAGTATAGAACCATGAATTATTTCTCCTTGAATATATTCTTCTAGTGAATTAATGTTTTGTTGTTGTTGTTGTTGTTGTTGTTGTTGTTGTTGTTGTTTGAGACAGAATCTCGCTCTGTCTCCCAGGCTGGAGTTCAGTGGCTCGATCTCGGCTCACTGCAAACTCCGCCTCCCAGGTTCAAGGAATTCTCCTGCCTCAGCCTTCCAAGAAACTAGCATTACAGGCATGCACCACCACACCTGGCTAATTTTTGTATTTTTAGTAGACATGGGGCTTCACCATGTTGGCCAAGCTGGTCTCGAACTCCTGACCTCAAGTGATCCACCCGCCTCAGCCTCCCAAAGGGCTGGGATTACAGGCATGAGCCACGGCGCCCGGCCTAATGTGATTTTTATTTTAATACTTTGAAACTTTTATACCTAAGGTCAGACCTGAGCATGGGCCAGCCTGAGACCATCTACTCCAAAGAGAGCACAACTGCTTCTTCTCTTCCCTGTTCCTCCATCCCTTCTACCTGACCCCTCCCCTTTCTCCCTCTACCCCATGTAGAGTTAAAAGTAGGAAGTTATTTTTAATTTATATTGTTCAGGTAAGCTAAGTAAAATACAATTGTTCTCAAACTTGAGTAGTTTATACAAGCTTTGGAAGAAAAAATTCTCTTAGAATTCCCCTAAACATTCATTGTACATGAATTTGAGAAAATTGCAGTACTGTCACTTTAGGTAGTTAGTTAACATTTTCTAAGTTTCATGAAACTATGAGTTTAAAGAAAAACTCAGTCTCTGTTGCCTGGCAAGACTTCTGGGAGGCGATGAGGTGCCGTGAGCAATGAGGACAGAATATATTTCTTATGAAAGTTGTTGCCTACTGAGGACTGGAGTCCATTGTACATCTAATTCCAAATGAGATGGTGGAATTAGTTGTAGTGTTGCCAGACAAAATACAGGATACCCAGGTAAACTCAAATTTCTGATAAATAATGGATAATTATTTTAGTCTAAAAATGTCACATAAAATAATTTGTGATCCTAAATCTGGCAGCCATAATTAGGTGACACATTTAGAAGAAAGTTAGAAAGAACTGTGGCCCTGTTAAATTGATCCAGAGAACCATCATGGGCAACCTGAATATTATTATGTTGGTGAGATGGAGCCATTGTAAGTTATTGAACAGATGAGTGAAATGAGGAAATTACTGCCTTAAGGAAAAAAATTCTCCTCTAGATGTGTGCAGAATGATTTGTTATGAGATGAGAATGTCCTTTCTGTTTGTTTGTTATTATTCTTACTTGTCCTCTTCCAAAACTATACCACAAACGTTTTGTGAACAGGGGAAATTCTTATTTGTTTTATTATATACAACATCTAGTAGAAAATCTGGCTGATAATAGGTACTCAATAAATATTGACTGGAGGGTAGAAGGAGGGAGTGGGGTAGAATAATATATTTAGGAATGCTGAAATAAATGCAATAAGATGACAACCTATATGATGAAAATAATGAAGAATAACTGCCAACTACTTAGGAAAATGTGATTTTAATAACTCAGCTTATTTAGGAGGCCTTCATGGAAGAATTGTGATAAGAGATGGTCCTAGAAGCTGAAAAGGAAATTTAGGAGATGATCCTAAAAAGAAGAAAGTTTACGGCCTTTCAGAATTCAGGTGGGTGTTGGTGCACCTTCTGACTGTCTGCCTAAGTTAGGTATATAATATCATGCTGTTTGTTAACTCTTTAGAGTAATGGGGTAATGATGGTAAAGAAATATCACTAGATATGAGGGATACAGATGTTACCAGTCACAAGTTTTCTGCATCTGCTAATATTAGAATTCTGATGTGTTGGCACCTAAACCATCTTGAGTGTGATCAAAGACAGATGGAATTGGTGCTAAGTTTCAGCAAGTAGATTCTCATGTTGCCTAGCAAGCTTCCAGTGTAGTTTTACTCATATAGCTTTGCCCTTATTGGGTTATTTCTAAAATAGATAGTTTAGGAAAGAACGTGGGGAGGGTGGTATAATCATTTCTTTGTAACAGCTTTTAAGTAATTTATTTTTGACTTCCACCTACAGGTCTTATGTCCATTGTACACTGAATTTAAAATGGTATTTAAAAATAGATGGTACTAATCTAGGGGTCATAAGTAAAATCCCTGTATGCAGTCTATATAGTTGGACAATGCAAGAATGTTAATTTCCATTTATATATCTCTACATTCTAATTCAGCAGTTATGGAGCATATGAACATCACATGTGTTAGGTGCAGAGTAAAGGAGAAGGCAAGTTTTCAGGGAGCTTATTATGTAGTGAGAAAGAGACAAACAGGTACGTAACTGATACAGATTCTGAAAGATGAAGTAGTATATGAAAACAAGTGCTTAAATGTCTAAAGAAGTGTGTTATTTATTCTGCCTCAAGGAAATCAGAGAGGCTTCATAGATCCATTGACATTTGATCTGAATATGAAAAAAAAGCAGCAGTAGTCTTCCAGGAAGAATAGATTTAGTAGGAACTCAGCAGGCAGGAGTGGTAGGACATCAGGTGTGAAAGTAGATGCTGAGTCCAGGGAGTAGACAGCACATTGGGGCTGAGGCTCAGTGATGGGATAGAAGACAGAAAAGAAGACAGACAGGATGGACCTTTCATGCTTCCCTGCATCTATCCTGCATACAGTAGGGGAGCTATGGAAGGTTATAAGCAGGATCAATGGGTTGGAGCTGTGTTATAGAAAGGCTACCGGCTGCAGAGTGGAAGGCGGACAGCAGGGCAGGGCAGGCTGGTGGAAAGATGTTCAGCTGGGAGGTTGTAGTATGAGTGCAAGGGAGAAGCGATGCGCGCTAGAAGTAGCTTACTGAGACAAAAGAGGACAGATCCCCTTTTAACACAGCGGCAGGGCTAGATTTGGGGGTCTGAGAAGAGGAGGCAAATTCAAAGTTAAGTTCAAGACCTGTGGCTCGAGGGACTTGCAAATGTTCCGACATTCATTTCTACGTGCATTGAACATGGGGAGAGGGAGGGTAATGTAGTCTGCAGAAGAGAAGGATGTCACGTAGGGAGAACTAGACTGTAAGGCCCTGGTGAGTAGAAAGTGAAGAATTTAGCTTTATGTATAAGCACTTCCTACAGGTCAGGACATGAAAAGTGATCTTTAAGAGGTAGTAGTGAATAGCCTCTGAGGCTCCTTCTGTTGTTCTCTTGACACAAGAGGGGAAATCCTAAATGGCTCAGTGTGTGGAGTCCAGCTCTCCTATTATCTATCTATGTGACGCTGGGTGTATTACATAATTCTGCATGCCTCATTTTCCTCATCCATAAAATGGATGAATAAACCTGCCTCATTCAGTTGTCCTGAGGATTAATGAAATAACTCGTGTCAAATGCTTAGAACAGTGTCTGGTACAGAGACAGGGCTCAATAAACATTAGCTCTTATACACTAAGCCCTTACATAATTGACCAAATTTCGTATTGATATTGATTTCAGATGTTTCTTTAAAATGTAAGCAAAGGGAAATCTTTGGACTAATTTGTCTAATTTGCGGAGGTATCATTATCAGAGAGGACTTGGTCTTTTAGTTGCTTTTTCCATTAAAAAGGCTTCGTAGACAGTATGACGTTTAGTGTGTGGAAATTGACCTTATGCCTATATTTTTGAAGATAAACAAAGCTTCCATTTTAGTGGGGTTTTATTCATATGGGTTTATTTATGAATTTTGAGCTGCAAAAGAGAATAGGGAGCTTTTTATAAAAACATGACGGACATCATAATGTTAAGTTTAGATTATAACTTGGAAGTCAGTACCAGGTTACATAATACTGTAGATTGCCCTGTTATGTTTTTCTAGGTAAAAATAAACAAACGAAAACACCTTTTCTTTTGTGTGTTTTGTGTTTGTTTCTTTTTGTTACTAGTTTGTCATACTATGTATCATACTTCAATTGAGGGTAAGAAAGGAGGTGCCTTATGTAGGGAGCACCCTTCTAGGTATCAGAACACATAGACTCGGACTCGGCCAGATTTCTATCACTGCTGTTAATGACTATGAGATCTTAGACATGTCACTGCTACCTCTCTATACTTCTGTTTCCCCACTCACAGAATGGATGCCACCTACCACCTCTCAAAATGTATGGTAAGGATTAATTTTTCTATTACAGATTTATAGAAGACTTTCTTTTCTAATGGCCGATAAATCCTTTGCGGTTGGAAACAAGCCATTTTTCTTCTTTATGTGTCTTGCAGTTAACAGAGCACAGATAGGAATTAGCTCCATTGTGTCAGTAAGAAAACTGAGATTTAAAATTTAAAAAGTGGTACAAATAGGGGGAAAGTTCCTAAGTCACCTTTTATCCCCTACCTAAAACACATCATTGGTTAAGTGCTTTGAACCTGTCAGAAAGACTATAAGAAAAAATACCAAGTAATATCAGCCTGCTAGTCTGGGCTGTTGGGAATATCTATTATGCCATCTGTCACAGGAGATTTTAGGTTGGAGAGCAGCAAATCCGTGACTGGGGACTCAAAGTTCAAAAGCAGAAGGTCTCTCCTCTCTGCACACCGTGTGGTGTCTAAATCACTATCCGAGAGACAGGCGTTTTCGTTGATCAGACATCCTGCATCTGCAACTTCATTTAAAAATAAAAGGTTTAAAGAGTCATCGTTTATACATTGTTCCAAGGTCCCTGTAATTTAAATCAATGTGATCGAGATATGTAATACAAAATTTCTAGCCCTACTGTCTTCCTCTAACTTACTCTGGGTCTTGGTGGTGTTGCATTTTTATAATGGAGCAAATCGGCAGAGTAGGTGGAGGAAGGTTGGTTTTCCAAAGGGATCAGGTAAGCTGCAGGTCCACGTGGACACATTTGTTACTTCGGGGAAGCGGGGAAGCGGAGAAGCAGCAATTAGGCAGTGGAGTAATGCTCTGAGGGGCACGGACTCCAGTTCCGTAATACATTCCTTTCTTAATGTGACTTGATGTAGATAGAGTGAGGGCCTATCAGGTGTGAAAAGCCCTGCTGCTCCTGGCGTGGAGTGGCCTCCAGACGGTGATTTGGCGACGTCAATCTAGTCATGCTTGATTTCGACACTTAACGTGGTAAAGCAGGATTTCTCTACCCCCGATCAACTTCTCAATTAGCAAGCTGCCTTGTGTAACGGCCTTGTTTTGCAATCCCTCAGGGCTGCTTCAGGGGTCATTAGGGTGAGAAAACTTGAGCACTCGCTCCAGCTCGAGCAGAGCAGGAAGGGAGCCTCAGAGATTTCCTAAATACGTATAACCCTTTTTCAAGTTGTTTGCTTTCATGGGATTGATTCTTGGCACATTAAGAAGCTTAAGGCTCCAGTATCTTCTTTTAACTGCCCCCCTTATCGCCTTTGCAGCTGACAGGTTTTTTTGACAGGCTGAGAGTAAAAAGAGATAACTAGTAGGTTAGTACTTTATTTATACATGTGGACACACAAGCACATAGAAAGACACGCACACACGCGTTCAAATATCTTTTAAGTTGTCTTTTCAGGGCCGCTGGTTACCACTGAATATCAGCTGTCAAATGATTCCAGTACCTCATGTTTTTAATATTCAATATGTCTGAGTTCAAAATTTTTGTTTCAACTATATCTGACTTCATTCACTAATGATTTTAAATTGGACCTGCCTTATTCAATATTCTCTCTAAACCCCCAAATAGTATTTATATGAATAATATGTTAATATGAGGTTTTTGTCCGGGGCACTTATGAATAGACATTGGAATATATTTATTTAATGTTTTTTCCTATCTGTGATTTGACTGAGTGGCTTACTCCTAACTTTCATAGGAAAAAAAAAAGGTATTTTTTCTTTCCTTTTATAAGATGTATCTGGATAGAGAAACACATAATAAAAACAGGAAAATTTTAAGAATTGCACTCCTTTAAAAAAATCTCTACTTTCAAGCATTGTGGATTTCATATTTATAATTTCCTATTTTGATGATCAATTTTATATCCACTTGCTGTTATCAAACTGTTAAAAATTAGGTGAATAAATTCATATCAAATACCTTAGCAGGTTTGGCCTTAATGTAGTATCCTTAGAGCAAATTACTTTAACCTATATTTTGTGAACAGGTTTTCCCAAAGTGGTTGGTCTCTGTTTTTTACAAAAATATTTAGTTTATTAACAGTGAGCAGAGCATTATATGGTTTATAATATATTTAAATTATATATAATATATTTAAATTATATATATAATCTATATATTTAAGTCAGAGGTAACTGACTTAAATATATTTTACAAGTTAGAAGTTGGATATACGTGGATATTACACACCCTAACACATACTCTATTTATGAAGGGTTTGACATCCAGTTTTAGATCTGTTTGAGAAACAGTTAAAATTCTAGGCACTTTGGCATAGCAGCTTCTAAGAAGTACTTCAAATAATAAGTCCTAAAGGTGACCCAATAAAGGAAATAGCTTAGTAGCTCTGTTTTTTTTTTAATAAAGAAGATAGATACACATTCTAAAATCGTTAATTAAAGTCAGCACTGTAGAAACAGCTCTTTACAAAAAAAAAAAAAAAAAAAAAAGAGTTTGGACCACTATGCAGAAAACATAGAGAATGTTTATGAACAATATTGTATGTGAACATATAAATATGTAATCTACAGGTTTTATTGTAATTCCTTCTGTAGAGCTTTACTACGTAAAAGTACAACTTTAGTATTTCTCCTTCTTAATACTGGATTGAGAGTTGTGGTAATTTATTATGGAAAGCATCAAGTTTTAACAAATTAATACTAATGAAATGTACCTTTTTCTTGCAGGATACCATTTTGTCTTTTTGAATCTCTTTCCTTTTGTTAATTTCTTATTCCAAAAAGGAGTTCATCTAATCCTACAAATAATTGCTTTCATGGCTTTATTTTGATAATGTGGGATTTTTCTCTTAAATCCCACTTTGAGGCAATGCAAAAATCCTTTTAAGGATTCACAAATTTAAAAAATGTGTATGTATTTTAAATACTAGCTTATATTAAATAAAAGTTATATGCCTTCCCTTTTCAATGAGTTTTAAGACAATGTTACAAGTTCAGTCTGAAAACTAAGTCAGATTTTCTAAATTAGTGTTAGCTGAATGATCCAGTTACACTTTGATTAGAATGAAGAATCACAGAATTTTATAATTACATAAATATCTTGAAAGGGTATTTAATTCAATCTGCATATTTGAGTCAGTGAAGGAACCAAAGAACAGAAATTGTGAAACCTTTGAGTTCTCATTGCTCTTTGGCTATTACTAGGGTTGCCATATAATTTTCTACCCAACCCAGGACATTTTTGATAAAGATAACATGAGTATATAGACTAGGCAACAGGTTTATATCCAGGATTGTCCTAGAAAAATGGTGACATATGAATACCCTTGCTTTTAGAGATATTCAATCTATATATTTTTTCAAATGATTGTGTTTAGAGTACCTTCTTAAAGAATTTGAAAACAAATATTTATACTATTTATACTAATGAGATAAATGGTGTTGGATATTAAATTTGCTTTGCAGAAAGTACTTTAACAAAAGTGACCAAATAGAATATGCTTCATGAATCTTAGGTGCTTATGTCAAAGAAATTCAGTACAATAAAATACTGATGCCTTTGTAACGTAATATCCTTAGTTAAATACAAGGATGAATATCTGTGATAACACTTTTTGCATCCCTTTTCTTTGGAAAATTTAACTTATACAATAGGTGACACAATGCCCCAAACCCTGCTACTTACCTTAAAAGAAAACATTAGTAGTTAGGTTGTTTCTTCAACGAGGTAAGATAAAATATTAAATAAAATTTCAAACTAAACTGTAGATAATAGATTTTTTTAAAATTTATTATTATTATACTTTAAGTTTTAGGGTACATGTGCACAATGTGCAGGTTAGTTACATATGTATACATGTGCCATGCTGATAATAGATTCTTATATAGGTTGACATTATTCTCCTACACAGCACTTTTTCTTGAAGTAAGTAATAATAATTAACCCTAGAAGAAATGTTTGATCATCTGAAAATTTACTGGCTAGCTGCAAGAATTAAATAATACCTTACCTATTCAAGGTAAGTGATTTGATAACTTTTTGTGAATAATCAGGTGACTGTTGTCACTAAATCACAATCTCTGGATATAAAAGATATCCTTTACATCAGAACAAGTGAGTTTTGCATTGCAGTCCAGATTACACCAATCACTCGTTCGTGTTTCACAGTGGAGCTTTGCTAAGCCTGTGTTAGTGCCTGAGTGAGTAAGTGGCTCTTGGAAAGATGGTGAAATTGACACATGAAAACATTAAATGGCTTATTTGACAAAGATCTAAGAAAATGTCATTCCCAGGATTATTTCCCAACTGTTCACAAAATGACCATGATCATTTTCCTATAATGCTTCTTTTCATTTTCTTTATTTTTCTTTTCTGTTGAAAATTTCAGTATTTGAAGTGCCTTAATTACGAGATGAGTAAAAAAAAATATTTTCAAACCAGATACCTCTCCACTTAATTTCTTGTTCACTTTTATATATAGTGTATGGAAAGAAAAGGATGAAAAAGAAAGATAGAAAAGAAGGTAATTATGAGTCTCTAAGAAGTCTGTAAAGATATCAAAAGACTTCAATGCCGATTTTTAGGAAAGTATTACTTACATAAAAAGTTTCACCTAGAAAACCCTATTCAATTTTAAGTAGACAAAGCTTTCTGAAACTCATTATAGAATAGACTATCACAAAAAATTCTTAAAAGCTTTTATTATGAAATTGTGTAAAGCATATTCCAATTAGCATTAATTGTACTGTGGCTGAAACTAGCAGCTTCCTGAGCTATATCAAGGGAGAGATGTGTAGTATCTAAATTTCCCACGATATCTAAAATAGTTGTAGATTTTTATGCTCGTATAATTGTGGCTGATTGGCCTTTCCTTCATTATAAACTTACCTTAAAATTAGAACAAGGAGCTATAGTGATTAGATAAAATATTTGTTTCTATTACTTTAAAGATATAGTTAAAATATTTCTGTTTTAGTACATATGTGTTATCCTTTATTTTACTGTTTCTTTTTCCCTTCTCCCTTTTAATACTCTAGTTCTTTCCATAACTATGTCTAAAAGTTTGAAAAATCCTGTCTTTTAAATATCAAAACAATAAATAGCAAGCTTGACACATTTCTTTTATTCTAGCAACAAAAGATTCTTTTCAGATCGAAGATTTTGTGATTCTATGAAATGTTGGTACAATTGCCATATTTGCCTGGAAATATTTTTCTCATCAAATGTTAAGGGAAAAACATTCTATTTTACTTTTCTCTGCATAGCTTCTCCCAGTAGGCTGCTGTGCTGATCATAAATAGCAGTAACACCTGCTCGTAAGGCTTTGGAAAATGGGTATGAGAAGAAATTGACAATTATTTGTTGAAAGGGAAAGTATAATGTTTAAACACTGTTTGCAACTTTTAAGAGTCAGGTGTAGAAAGAGACATGATGATTCTATGTAGACCAGCCATTACCCTCTGTCAGTCCAGAAACCTAGAGACTTTTATTCAAAACAACCCCTTCTTGCCCCATTTTTGCAGGGAAAAACAAAGAAGTATAGTGAGAAGGAAAAACAAATTTGGATAAGGGATATAGGTTCTCTTGCTAGCTCTGACACTAAATAATTGTGTAAGGTTTTGTGTGTAGACATGGGATATTTTCTGCTCTCTATAGCAGAGCTAAGACAGGGCCAATTAGCCCAAGCGTCAACCCATTTTTCTTTACATATTGTTGTTGCTGTCTTCATGGAGCAGGAAATGGCAAGTTTAGAAAGGAATTAACACTGAGTAAGCCTGAAACTGGAACAATAGGTGGGGCATTGTCATCTATTTCAGATTATGAGAGAGCTATAATGATTCACACTATTAGCATACATATTTTTAAGTTTCAAGTTAGAAAAAAATGTCTCTGGCCTGTATTTTTTCTTATCTTTAAGCTTAGAACATTATAAGAGAGATTTCTAGGATGGATTTCAGTTAGAAAATTTTGGATCTCCATTTGTTTCAAAGTTATAACTGTCATATATCCAGGGATGTAAAGAAAGCTGAAGCTATAGACCAGCACTGTCCAATAGAAATAGAATGTAATCCACATATTAATTTTAATATTTCTAGTAGCCAAAGTAGCCAAGGAAAGTGTTTTAAAGGTGAAATTAGTTTTTTAAACAACGTATTTAATGCAATGTATCCAAAGATTACCATCTCAATGTGTAATCAATATTTTCAAAAATTATTCATGAAATATTTTTCTTTTTTGTGCTAAGCTTTGGAATCTGGTACATATGCCCCACTTAGAGCATCTCAATTCAGACTCACTACATGTCAAGTAGTCATTAGCCACATGTGGCTGGTGGCTAAAATGCTGGTCAGCACAGCAATAGACAGTAAGTGAATGGGTACTTAGCTTGGATTATGAGTGGATTGGAGGTTGGGGAGAAACCAGCCATTTGGTAAAACTGAAAGATCCACATCCAGAGTATGGAGGGTATTGCTTTTCTGTTTTCTATGTTTCTCTGAGTATCTCAAGTCTAAAACAATCTATTTTGAATCACAACCTTCAAACTGGAATGGATTCTGTAATTGTTTATGGCAGGTATTTTATACAGATTATTCACAGAGCTTGACTTGATTCTTCTGTAATGCTAGGTTCTTACAAGTCTTGTGTAGTTCTAATGGGAAATCAGGTTTCCATTAACATACAATACCCAGAGAAACCGATGACAATAACTTTCACCAAGATCTCTTTCCTCACCTTTAGTATTCCTTTTTATTTTCTATTGTTGCCAGTGTAGTACTAAGTCTAGATCTCAAGAATTCCAAAAAATCAAACAGTTAAATATTCTTTCTCCCTCCTGTTCAGGGATAATTTTTACCTGTAATTTTATTACCCCCACCATGTTGTTAAAATGGGTCAGATCATGATCGCTACTCAGTAAGTCCAACTAGTGGTTGGCGGATCTTAGGAGTGAGCCCTCTGAGTGGGCTTGAGCACCCACTGCTGCCTGGTGGTGTTCTGTCTGATTGAAGGAAGTGTGGAGTTTTGCCTGAGTGTAGGAGAGGGATGATATTCTGAGGATTCTCTTAAAATACCAACTTACCAAACATGAAGCTTCTATCATCCAAGCTGTCATCACCCATCCAGGCTGTGTAGGTTTCTCTACCTACTCCACCTAACCTCCACCAAGCAGACTACTACCATATTGGTCATTTAAAAAATAGCCTTTAAATAAACCCTGATCTTGACCACATAGAGGCTTCTGCTCACCCTCTAACATCATCCCACGATGACCTTCTTTCAGCTCCCCGCAGTTCTCTACTTGTGAAATGCCATGTCATTCAAGTCCTGCTTCAGCTGGTTTGTCTTCCCCAGTCCTCCAGCACAAGCCTACCAAGTGATGTACCATCCTCCCCTTTATTGTAGAGCACTTCTCGTATTCTATCCCTGAGTTATCCTTCTCACTGGTTGCCTGGCAACACACACCCATAGTCCACTGAACATTTCCCACAAAGTACCTTGCACGTAGTAGGCATCTACTTTCATTAAAAAAGGTTCATTGAACCTCAGCTTTCTCTCAATACCATGAATTATTGCTGGGATTTCAGGTACCAAGTTGTAGTTTTTTGTTTGTTTGTTTGTTTGTTTGTTTGTTTTGAGGTGGAGTTTCACTCTTATTGCCCAGGCTGGAGTGCAATGGCACGATCTCAGCTCACTGCAACCTCCGCCTCGCAGGTTCAAGTGATTCTCCTGGCTCAGCCTCCTGAGTAGCTGGAAATACAGGCGCCTGCCAACACACCCAGCTAATTTTTCATATTTTTAGTAGAGATGGGGTTTTGCCATATTGGCCAGGCTGGTCCCGAACTCCTGACCTCAAGTGCCAAGTTGTAGTTTTTAACATATATATATATGACTATGTAGCATGGGCTTTTGGTAGTTTTTTACTGAAATTGTAGTTAGGCACTTAGTAAGTTTAACTTAATTCTTCTTCTCTTTCCTTTTCATTCAGTGTAGTATCTGCCTATTATGTGTGTATGTGCATGTTTGGAGAGAGAATGAATATATGTACTATACATGTATATATTTATACGTTGAACTTTCAGCAAATGGCTTTTATGTTTCTGTTTTGGCATGATCTGTATGTGTTAATAAAGAAAAATATTATTTACAAAGGCTGAACTAAATAAGCTAGAGTTAATATAGATTTAATTATGAAATAAATAATCTCTAAGGTTTTAAAATAGAAAATGTCTTTTCTTTAATATATGGTCAACTTTTAAGCTTTTTTGAAAATTTCTTTTTTTAATTAGCACCTTATAATGGTACATATTTCTAGGGTACAGTCTGATGTTTCAATGCATATATATTTTGTGTAATGATCTAATTAGGGTAGTTCAAATACCCATCGCCTCATACATTATTTATCATTTTTTTGTGTGTTGAAAACATTCAAAAGCTTCTCTTCTACCTATTTTATAATATACAGTAATTTACTGTTGCCCATAGTCACCCTACTGTGCAATAACAGAACACCAGAACTTATTTCTCTTAACTGTCATTTTGGCCCCATTGACCAATCTCTCCCCTTCCTCCTTCCCTCTCTGCTCCCTTTCCCAGTCTCTGGTAATCACTATGCTACTTTCTCCTTCTATGATGTCGACTTTTTATTTTAGCTTCCAAATGACTGAGATCATGAGGTATTTTTCCATCTATGCCTGGCTTATTTCATTTAACATGATGCCCTCCAGGTTCATCCAGGTGGTCACAAATGACAGGATTTCATTCTTTTTTATGGCTGAATAGTACTCCATTTTATATATATATATATATATATATATATATATATATATATATATATATATATATATATGGCACATTTTCTTCATCCATTCATCCATTGATGGGCATGTAGGTTGATTCCATAGCTTGACTATTGTAAATAGTGCTGTAATAAACACGAGAGTGCAGATATCTCTTCAACATACTGATTTCCAGTAGTGGGATTTTTAATCCAGTAGTGGGATTGCTGGATCATATGGTAGTTCTGTTTTTAATTTTTTTGAGGAACCTCCATACTGTTTTCTGTAATGGCTGTACTCATTTGCAATCTCACCAACAGAGTGTCAGTGTTCCTTTTTTCAGCCTTTTAATCTTAACTTCAGGAAAATTCAAAATCATCCATGAAAATATTTAATATGTGGTAGACCTAACTGCAACAATTAGAAACACAGTTCAAAATAATGTTAAACATTTATATTTTTATATGTACATTCTAAAATGTTCAGTGTTTTCTTTTTTACTTTTCTTTAACTTTCATAATACATTTATCTCTATGACAGTGGAGCACATGCTGAGAACCCAAAAAGAGAAAGAACAATAGACTCAACTCTCTACAGCCTGTAATGGGCTAACTTTTTAAGTTGAAAACAAAAGAATTGAATGTTTAAAGTGTTTTCATTTTCTATCACTACCTTCCTTAGTTGAAAAAGTAAAAGAAGAAAGTAGATGAGAAGCATGTTTGTAATAGACAAAAAAGCAATTGTCCTTCAATCTGTGAAAATGTTCATTCCTTCCCACAAAACATATTCAATAAAACTTTTCCATCCAACAGTCAAAAGTTAAAAATCTTTTCAATTGATTGCAATTTCATAGTCTTCGAAAGCCAAACTTTCCTTTCTCTGTTCATCTGTAGTTATTCTATAGTTTTTTTTAAAGATAGGATTATAACTAAACTAGTCTTATCCTTAATATTTTAACAAATACTAGACCGGGCATAGTGGCTCACACTATAATTTGATAACTTTGGGAGGCCAAGTTGGGAGGATGGCTTCAGCCCAAGAGTGTGAGTTCAGCCTGGGCAACAGAGAGAGACCCCATCTCTACAAATTTTTTTTTTAAAAATTAGCCAAGTCTGTTGATATGCACTTGTGGTCCCAGCTACTTGGGGAGCTGAGGCACGAAGATCACTTAAGCCTAGGAGGTCAAGGCTGCAGTGACTCATGGTCACACCACTGCATTCCAGCCTAGGTGACAGAGTGAGACTCTAAAATAAAATAACTTCTAAATTTATGCATATTTATCTCATTAAATGAGGATTGCTTGACTACTGATCTGATCTTTACTCAGAATTAAGGTTTACTGCAGTGACATATTTGTGCATTTTCCTCAAATATTAAATTACTTTGAGTCAAATACTATGCTTTACATAGCTTGGAGGAATTTGATTTAGTGACTTGAGCCACTGACCTGGTTAAAAAAATCTATAGAAACATCTGGTGCTGTGAAATAAAAGACACTAATACAATGAACACTCATTTTCCCCTGATGCCTGTAGTAAACCACATTCATTATTGCTATGTTAAATGAGTATATGTCTTGAGTTTTTCCCTACCCCCAGTCCGCAGGAACGTTAGAAATGGATATACACTAAACCATAAAGAGTTTGCTTGCTTTATGGCAATGTTGCCGAAGCTGTTGAACATTTAGTAAAAATGCAAAATGTTCTGGCACCTTTAAAAACATCTAAACTTGTTTTGTCTTAGTTCTTGCAATGCCACCCATACACAAAAGTTATTAAATATTTCTCTGTGCATGCTCACTACAGTGTGGCAGGTGTAATACAGCATACAGGTAGGCCGTGTTCTTACCCCTAAGAAAGTTAGAAAGTTGTCTGTTTGATTTTTATATTCATGTCTGTTTTTAGATAGACAAAATGAGGTAGTGAAAGCAAAAAAATGGAATAGAAAGGGGACAGAAACATCTCTGGGATTTCTACAGATATTAATAGTTATATGCACTGATATTGTATGGCCGGTACTTGTCACCTTTTACATTATAAGCCTACTTTTGGAAGTGTGTCAGAAACAAGATAAAGGTCATATTGCTTAAGGCCTACTATGAACATAAATGATAGGGAAAAATCTAGCCCATAAATTGGCAAATTACCATGTATCATGATTTAATAATCTATAAGACATCTTAAAATGAGCAAAATAGATCAATGAGCTTATTTTTTTCCTTACCGTAAATGTATAAGCTGGTATGCTGTGATTAATTTAGATCAAAATTTCAAAATGACTTCCTTTTTAAAATAATGCTTTGTCTGTCTCAGTGTACGACTAAGAACTCTTAGGCCCTCTTATCTAGAGGATGTGACTGTACAAGCACTACAAACAAGAATTTACAAGGATCTCCAGCTTAAATGGAAAAGTGGATCTATGATAACTTTATAAACGAGTGTGGGAGTAAAGAGTGCAGAGGAAGAGGTTACAAGAATTATCAGGATTATGAGTACTCAAAATGAATTAGATAGTTAAGAGACTGTTTTTAAATATTTCCTAGGCACAATCTGAAAAAAAATCTTACAAAGGAGAACTATGCCTGTCTTATGCTTAATTGACATATATGAAAATTCTTTTGCCTCGAAACCCAAATGTCATGTTTGGAAACCAAAGGATAACATTATACATTTGAAAATCCCATTTTATAAAATAATACTTTGTTTATTTTCCCAGAGAATCCTGGGTTTGTCCCACTGAGAAAAAAGAGAACTCGAATGTAGCTATAGAATGATCTCTTGATCCTTGGACAAAACTGAGGAAAAAGTCTAACAAATGCATCGCTTTGCAGTAAATTAGATCAGATTTCCGCATCTCCACACTCAGTCTGTGAGCTGACAGTTCAGTAAAATGTTCCCTTGTAAGATTCGCCCTCTTAGGAAAAGGGGCAATAATTCATCATTAGGATATCAGAGTCCAGGTGTAGATGGAAACTGATGGAGCCTCCAGCGAGGCAGGGAAAGTGCGTGGAAGAAGAAAATTTTATCTGAAGCCTAATTCCCTGGTTACAGCAGAGAATAATTAAGATAATATTGCTTCAAGAGTCCTTTAATGATTAAAAATCACATATGCAGAATCCATAAATTGGAGGGCAACAAATTGGAAGGCTATAACGTCAGAGAACTGTTTTGTGCACATTGTAGTGGAAAGTACACTGGTAGCAGTGCGCCGTACGGGCAGCCATCAGAGACTCGGACCATTCCAAGGACTTTGTTTAGATGCAACAAATCATTTGTCTGTTATTAACCCAGAGCTTGTAATTATGCAGATTGCCATAGATTTTCCTGGGCCTGGAAGTGAGATTGAGGGTTGTTCACAGTATAGCAGGCAGCTCAGGGCTGGCCATGCATTACTGAACTTGCCACATTTATCATGTTGACTGATGGCAGCAGAAGCAGGTCTCAGGTCCCAGTGGTTAATGTAGTGGGTAATTAACTGTCATTTGCCTAGTAATAGGCTGATGATCAATGGTTTGTGTGGAAACAAATTCTAATCAGGTAGCTGATAAATGCTCAGCTAGCGAGAGCAATTGAAATGGGGGAAAACTACGTCCAGAATTTCAAAATGGCATTGTGTGTATGTTTATTAGATATGAACAAACTGAATAATTCTTAAAAACGGCTTTATCGCATGTTAACCAGATGTTATATACACAAGTATATCTATATTCATTGAATAAAGAACTTTTAAGTTTTTCTTATTTCTCAAAAATAATAAAGAACAGAAGAAACAATGGCACATGTAAGTGATCTCCTAAGCAGATCTCCTAAGCAGATCATGTTAAGTACACTGAAAAATAAATATGAAATGTTAGAATGAACTAAAAAATTCTCCTTACAAATGAATAGGATGAAAGCTTTAGTTGGTGATGGTTTCATTTTTGATGATGCCAGTAGGAAATTAAGATATTACATTTTCGAGCAAGTTCTTTCTTTTTAAATAAATATTATTTATCAAAATACAGATTACAAAAGGAGAACATGAAGGTTACTTGGGTTATAGTCCTTAAAATAAGCATACTAAAGTATTTTTTAATTCATTAAGGAAAATAAGTGTCTAACAATTATGAATTTGATCTTCTTGAATGTAAACTTCGCTTACTTTTTATCAAGTGCACAGACTATGTTAGCAAAGTCTTTAAAATGCATTTATTGTTTCTACCTTCAAGGCGCTTATGCTCTTCAAGAGACAATCCAACAAAAATATGAGCATAAACATTCATTGCACATTTTGCCAGACACTTAGAAACCATTCTCACAACTGTTTCCAACAACTGTCATTATCCTGGTAAAAGGAAATAGTTATAAACTTGAAAATGAATATGCATGCCTTAAGAAAAGACTTCTCTTTGGAGTCTACAGAAAGTAATGAGAGACTTCAGCACATTTGTGCCTAATCCTTAAATTCAATAAAATGAAAGGCTAAGGTTTTTAAAAGTACATTTTTATAACCAAAATGAGTTTTCTCTATAGCACCTTTGAATTCATTAGTTTAGAACTGCTTTTAATTTGGTCTTTCCCATGAGAGCCATTATATTTTCCTCCTGTCAGCCTGACACTGGAGAAAAAAGAAAACTGGCAGATGTGGTGTTTTTCATCTAGTTTGCTTCCTAGTAAAAAAGTGCATTAACTACTATGCATGGAATATTATTTGTAATAATTCTTCCCCTCCATTATCAACTTTAAAGAAACTTGGTTTAAATATTGCCAGTGCAAATGGATAAAATATTTCCTCACGTTATGAAATGAGAGACATTTTATTTTGTACTTCTTTTAGGTCATTACAATAACGATTCTCAGGAATCTGCAGCAAATAGGAATTTTTTTTAAATCCTAGACAATTCCAGTGGTTCTGACAGTATATTATCCTTCAATTTCTGGTCTAGCTATATATAGTTTACAGCCTCATTTACTTTAATGTGCTACTTGAATAACATAATCATAGCTATAACTATGGTATAGAGCCATAAGGTGCATGCATGCGCCTCTATGTTTTTTGACTATTTAAATGGCTTCTTCATAAATGTATTTTTAATAATAATGGCAAACCTTTTAGTAACTAAATGTCAAAAAGTAGTGAATCATTCATTAGTTGGTTCCTTTCCCAACTAAAATGTTTAATATATAACATTAAGAGCAAAGTTATATTGCTTTTATATTTTCTATATACTCTAACCCAGAGATTTTTGCTATGAATTCACCCCCATTGACTTCTGTTTATGTGCAGTTACGTAAGCTTCCTAATGTATTTGTCTTTTCCTTTTCTTCTCAAACAAGATGTGATTTTCATCAAGGAAGGTCAACGGAGAATATATTGCAGAAGAATATTTATGCATACACCTAGGATAAAATCCACTTGTGTACATCATAAAGCATTGTGTATTGTAGCTTTACAGAGTATATTAACATCATCTCTCTTCACGATCTCAGATTTCTCTGTAAGAGTTTGTAAAAAAAAAAAAATGTTTCTTATTCTAGGCTCTTTGGTGTAACGGGAAACTGCGCTGCCTGTAGTAAGCTCATCCCTGCCTTTGAGATGGTGATGCGTGCCAAGGACAATGTTTACCACCTGGACTGCTTTGCATGTCAGCTTTGTAATCAGAGGTAAGCAGGTCTCTTTTTGGTCTCTAAGAAATGGTTAACCTCTCTGTGCTGGCTATTTATTTAATAGGTGGAAATTATATTCATACATTTAAAGCAATCAATCTCAGCGTTTTTCTGTTCTGTAAACTTTAATCCCATGCCAGAGACAAGCTACTAAGGAGAAGAAAGGTCTTAAGACTTACTTCTACCTGAAAGAAAAGCATCATATAAGAGCAAGTAACAGAAAATGGAAACACTACCGTAAACTCTGACTTCTTTTACTCATTCCTTCTTTTATTATTTTCCTGTCTTTTTAAAAGTAGTTTTAAATATCTACTTTTTTATACTACTTATGTGAGTAAATAAATTGGCAATGAAGCAAATATACAGGAATTTGTTGCAGGTATTTTATATTCTTATTATTTTTTATATTTTAAATTCCTTATCCCTCATGTTTTTGTTTTTGCTTTTTTAAATACAAGGTCTGGTTCTGTCACCCAGCCTAGAGCGCAGTGGCACTAACATGGCTCATGCAGCCTCAACTTCTGTGCTCAAGCAATCCTCCTGCCTCAGCCTCCCGAGTAGCTGGGAGTACAGGTGTGCACTCCCATGCCTGGCTAATTTTTTTTTTTTTTCATTTTTTATAGAGATGATGGAGTTTCACTATGTTACCCAGGCTGGTCTCAAACTCCTGGCCTCAAGCAATCCTCCCACCTCCACCTCCCAAAGTGCAGGGATTATAGGCATGAGCCACCACCCCCACCCAATCTAGCTGTTTACCTTAAATTTTAACCCTGTCCTATATGTACTTTTGCAGTTACTTCAAATATCTTTGAGAATCAGTCCAGATATAGCTAATAATTAAACAATTATTATCATTGGAGAGGAGCATTTGAAAAAGTGTTGAACAGGGAACCTGGAAACCTAAATTCTAATATGGGCTCTGCCACTAATAAGCTGTGCGATCTTAAACCAAACAAACACCTTCCCTCTCTGGACCTCAGGTTTTTCATTTGTAACATATGAAGCTGGATTAGTTCATCTCAGAGAATTCTTTCAGCTGAAAAGTATTATCACTTAATTCCATTTTTTCTTATTGAAAGTTATATTTTTTATTTCTGTGAAAACTATATACTACTGGCACCTGTTTTATATGATAAATGGAGAGGATTTTAGAACATTAAAATGTACGTATTAAAAATACAACATTTCAAAAATTAGAACACTTGATAGATTTTAATGAAAATGAATTCACTGACTTTCTGTGAGAACACCTGGCAGAGTATATAATCAATAAATATTAGTTGCATCAAGTTCTCAGTTATTGTAATTTACTCTGAAAGGTACTATTTGATGCAGAATCTTCTTATGAGACCCTGTAGAATAGTAGAAAGAATGTGACATTTCTAGTGAGAACGGGATTCAAATTTCAGCACCACCATATATTAGCTGATATATTAGCTGTGTGATCTTGAGTATGTTACTTAATCTCTCTGAATTTGATTCCCACACCCATAAAATAGAAACACTAACACCTCTCTTGCAGAGTTTGAAACTTAAATGAAATAATTAATTTATATTAAATGTCAGGAACACAACAGGTTCTCAAAAGTTAGTTATCTTTATAATTTACCAAATAATATTCCATTAACTTGACTTTCCCACAAGGCATGTATCACAATAGTGTTTCTTGCTAAATGTAGATATTCAGATTGTTGCCTAATGTACCTTATAATGTAATAGTTACCCAGACAGTCATGTAAGATGTTATCTTACAATGTCTTGACTCTTCCCAGCAAGTACTGAGAATCAAAGTAAGTTCATTCAGTCTAGGGTAACATTTAGACGAAAATAAATTGGCAAATGCACATGTTTTTGGTAGGGATAAGGATATACAAACACAAACATTCCCACATCCATACAGACACCTTTATGTGCATGTATATATGTATTTTATACATTTTAAAGGTGTCTTAGTAGTAAATTTAGAATACTTTTGTTGACTTGTCATGTTGATCAACTAATAGCAGCCAGTAACCATGCAGTTCCCATTATGGAATCATAAAGTCATTGCTTTTCTACTTATAAAAGATTACATATTCATAGTAGGAAATTTAGAAAATAGAAAATGATAAAAACAAGACATTGTCCCATGTCTCATTCTTCTAAAAGAAAACATTTTAATATTTTGATATATAGCCAGCCATACATGTTCCTATGTCTATAGGACAAATGACATTGTATAAATATTACACTCACATTTAAGCAAATTAAAGTTACAAGGGAGAATCCTAATGTTTGATATTTGGACTTTTTCACTCAATTTATATTTTGTGCCTTTTTTACCTGCCATTAAAAATTCTTTTAAGATATTTTAAGCTTTTCTGAGTTCAGCTTTATGGACAGAGCTTCACATATGTCTTCTATCATCAGATATATAAGTTGTATCTTCAAAAGTTTTTGTGCTGTAAATATTATCAGTATTATCAATATAAAAATGGACCTTATGAGACCCTGTAGAATAGTAGAAAGAATGTGACATTTATAGTGAGAAGAGATTCAGATTTCAGCACCACCATATAGTAGCTGATATATTAACTGTGTGATCTTGAGTATGTTACTTAATCTCTCTGAATTTGATTCCCACACCTACAAAATAGAAACACTAATACCTCTCTTGCAGAGTCTGAAACTTCAATAAAATAATTTATGTTAAATGTCAGGAACACAACTGGTTCTCAAAAGTTAGTTATTTTTATAATTTACCAAATAATAGTCCACTAACTTGACTTTCCCACAAGACATATATCACAATAGAGTTTCTTGCTAAATGTAGATATTCAGATTGTATAAAAACAAATGCTCATATCTCTATCTGGTTAAATTCACAGAGCATGATTACTTAAACAAGGTATATAACAGTTTGAAGGCATATGCTGTACATTGCTTAATGATCTCCAGGAAAGTTATACCAATTATTCTCCTAGCAGAAATCTACAAAACTACGCATTCCCTCACATTCATTCTAAAACACTAGGAATTACGTTTAAAAAAAAAAAAAAAAAATCCTTGCCACCTTAAGGGATGAAAGATAGTATTTCATTATAATTTCTAACTGGCATTTATTTGATCCCTGGTGGTCCTTTGGTATTCCTTCTTTTAGAGAAGTAGGCAGTTTATGTCCTTTGTCCATTTTCTTCTATTAAGTAGGGTTACCTATTTTATCCATGTTCTACATAGAAAATAAAAACATTCAAGTGCTAAACCCAGCCTAAATTCTATTATGATGCAAAGTAATTGTAGGTTGTTAATGCTATTTACAAATCATATATCTATTTTATTTCACCATTGAAATAAAAAGTTGCATTCACAATTAAGTCTGTCTCCTCAGGAGAACTCAGTCAAGTAAGACAAACACTCCTAAATTTTGACTCTAAAACTGTTCACATTCTTATTGCTGCGAAATACTATTCTAGTATCATTATTAAAGTACCTAATATATTTCTGTGTTCGCTTCATTTATTACATGCCATAATGGGACTGCATATCTTTAGTGCCGGTTATGCACAATTAGCACTTAGTTATTGTCTTGTCACTTCAGCCCCTACAAGACAAACTAATGCGGGAAGTCAGCTAATCTTCATCAGTCAAGCAAAGCAGACAAATTTTGTTACCCAGGATACAGAAGGTTTTCATATAGGAGATTCTCCTTTTACTCTGAAGTTTGCTTCAGTCTCCTCCAGGAAACCCATATCCCACTTCCAGTAGCCAAATCATTGTCGCAATATTGCACTTTTCAAGTGAAACACAAGGCAAATAGGTAATTCATAGGCATTTTCTCTTAAGCAAACTTTATTGACGTCTAAAGTTGTGGAATTACGCGTTTGTGAATTGTATTCAGCAGTCATTTCATCTTTACCTTTAAATCAAAGTATCATTAAGATCCAAAGCATTTCTGAATGTTTTAAAAAGTAGCAGTAATAATAACCTTTCAGGATTGATTGTCCCTTATATATAGATCTCCTCTGCCCCTTTTAGAGGCGTATAGCTAAAACGTGAATCCTGCATTAAAATTCGGCTAGTTTCTCTATTTTAAAAGGTACCGCAGGAGGGTTATTTAAGCTTATTTTATGATATCTTGAATCTCATTCAGAATTGGAAGATTCTATATAACAGGTTAATTTCTTAAAGGTGAATAAGCCCCTTCTCCTTAGAAAACACAATAAAACTAAATGATAGTTTTGTAAGAAAAGGAAAAATAAAAAGCTTGTGATGAAATTTTCCCAAATATGTAAAATTATGTAACAATTAATTAATTTTCTTTTTTTTAAGAATAAAGCACTGTGCTAGGCTCTGTGGAAGCTGAGGTGGATAAAATCTGGTTTATTTCTTAGAGGTGTCCGGAGCTACGGGAGAGACAGGACATCAAAGACTCACAGAAGAGTGTAATCGATGCTAAATAGAGCTATACTGAGGGAAGAGAGAGCCATCCTTCTTGAAGTGTTAGGGAAGCATCAAAGGCCTGATATGCTGGGTCTTGAAAAAAGAACTCCCTAGAACTGGTTGACTTACAGGAAGTGTGTCTGCTCGGGGTTGGGGAAGATGAGGGAGCCAGGGAGCAGTGAGGAAAGGAATTTTCAGGCAAATTGAGCAACGTGCAAAGGCATGCAGATGTGAAAGCATTTGACGTGTTTAGGAAATGAAAAGCGGCTCAGTATGTTCAGAGATTAGAGAAGCGGTTTGGTAGGCACATGGAGGAGTAGAAAGAGAGCAAGCACCTAGAGGAAATGAAATTGTAAACTTAGTCTTTGAAAAGCCATTAAATAAAAGTCAAAATGAATACAAATTTAAATTAGTCATCTAAAATACATTTGTTATTTAAAGCTGTTGGTTTCTGGAATAAATCTACCTTAACCAATTTTTATTGACCACACACCTTAAGTGGTAGTACAGTTTATGATGGTTCTGCAAAGGGTTCAAAAGAAATATAACTCGTGGTCATTTACCGCAGAACTGCTGACTATAATGGCAAACCAGTTACACATTCATGAGAAATTTTGAAACACCAAAATAAACAATACACCAATAAATAAGTGCTTTGGGAAACATCAGAATAAGCAAATTTACATGGTCAGAAGATGTTGATGGAGGCAATGGGAACTCAAGGATTGTTACAATTTAAGTAGACAGAAAAAGGGGAGAAATATTTCTTGCTAGGGAACAACTTAAGTAAAGGTGAAAAGATTATCATTACCAAATAATAATGATAGCAAATTCTGATAAAGTATTAGTCAAACACCAAACACCGTTCTGAGTGTTTTACATGTACTCATTCGTTTAATACTCAAAATATCCCATAAATAGGTAGTTATTAGCTTCATTTGACAGATGAGGAAAGTAAAGTATAGGAAATGTAAGTAACTTGCCCAAGATTACAGTTAGAAGAAAGTGGTAGACTCAAGATTTAAACCTGGCCGGGCGCGGTGGCTAATGCCGGTAATCCCAGCACTTTGGGAGGCCGAGGCGGGCGGGCGGATCACGAGGTTGGGAGATCGAGACCATCCTGGCTAACACGGTGAAACCCCGTCTCTACTAAAAAATACAAAAAAATGAGCCGGTCGAGGTGGCGGGCGCCTGTAGTCAGAGCTACTGGGGAGGCTGAGGCAGGAGAATGGCGGGAACCCGGGAGGCGGAGCGAATCTGGTCTCCCTCTCCGGAGTCAGGCCCATTTCAAGAGAGGTATTTTATTTTCTGACTAAGAGCATATAAATGTGAATAGATATAGTGGACTTAAAGTAAGGTAAACTTTGAATAATGTATAGCAAGATTTGGGGTGTGGGTAGTGTCATTTGATACACTAAGGGTTGTTAGCAGTGAGATGTATAATGACAACCGGACTGTCAGTGGGAAAGACAGTAAATTTGTTCACAGGTGTATAGTGGAGGAATGAGTACACAACCCGGACTTCTTATTGAAAACAGTATAGTATAGAAATCTCTAACTTACAGTTAACTGAAGATGTGGAATAGGAAAGTATAGACACTAGAAATATGGATTGGAGCTCCCTAGCTAAGTGTTGTAAGATAGAAATTAATCATAATTGTCAGTCACTAACATTAGGGAAAGAAGATGGCTAGGCTAACATTTTTATTTCTTAAAAGGGATGTTACCAGTGGAGGCTTCTTAGCATAGGCTTTTGATAACCTGCTTAAAACTAAGCACTATATTTTATAAGGATGATTTACTATTTACACTTGTTTCATATACTTCTCAAGTCTCTAAGACTATATGAAGTCAGCTAAATCACTCAAAAATATCTAGAAATTACATCTCATATTAATTCCAAAACATCAGAATTAGATGGTTTAATAATCTAATTGGGCATCTTCTTATTCCTTACCATAATTTTTTTAAATGAGGGTAAAATTAATTGAACTGAGCATACTACAAGTAATTAGGGTCAGATTACAAGAAAGATTATGTTTATTTTTAGTAATTGTAGCCTGTTAATATACTTACAGTATCCTCTGGCTATCACTCCTTTCATAATGCTTTTTTTTTTTTTTCCTGCAAATGCTGAATCTCATAAGAAGTTGGTTAAATCACACTGGAAATTAGCATTTCTTACAAAATCACAGTTACAGATTAATTTGTTAAATACATACTATCTGTATTGCTGTCTCTGAAATTTCTTTATATTTATATATGAAGCATTTTTTAAAGAGGATGTCAACCTTAATTGCATACCAGTCGTAATCTGCTCTTAACCACAGCTTTCAAGGCTGTTTTGTTTGAGTCATATGTGCAAGTGTGACATCCCTCATCCATGTTCGTTTCATCTTGACCTTTAAGTATAAATTGAAATGCATATAAAATGCACTTTATCCAGTTGATAACATATTAGTAATAAAATATGTCAGGTAGGAATATTTTAGAAAAGTTCTGTCTCTCTCTCGCTCTGCCTCTGTTGCTCTATATATACCACTTAATTGAATAGTAGGCAGACTTTTTTAAAGTTATGCAAAAGAAATAATAGTAATACAAAAAACACAGTTACACCCTGTATAACCATTTAATCTTCACATTATTCTTGTAGCCTGCATGCTTTACTGCCCTCAGGTAAAAGCTTGAGTCTTGAATCCAAAAAGGCCTGGGTTATTTTTCTTCCTTTACTATAAACGTTTTAACTACAGAATCTTGGGCAGGGCTTTGAAATTCTGGCACGGAGTCTTAGGTTTTTCTTCTGTAAAAAGCCATGACAATGCTTACTTTCTAGGTTGGATGTAGGGAATAAATGTGATCATGTACATACATGCTTAGCATTTAGCACATGGTAAGCATAAAAAGGTGGCTATTTTACCTATGTTTCAAACATTGAGGTAAGATTTTAGATATTTCATTTCTACTCCTTGCCACAAGCCTACAAAGTCGACTGATGTCACAGGTATTAAAAACCAAAGTTTTATTTTCAATTATCATAAGTGGGAAGGTAGAGTTTGGACCCTACTGGTTGCAGTATACCTCTCTGCCTTTCAGACACTTTTCATTTGATAAGGATATCAAACTGGCTTGCACAAACACCATTATTGAAGTGCAACATTTAAAGTATACAGGTTACAACTAATACAAAGAAAATATACTTAAAGCCCCAAACTTGAATGTTCATTGTATCCAGTAGCTTTGACCACAAACAACCCTAGGATTTCAAGATCAGTGCATAGTCTGTGCTTTCAATCAACATCATCAGCAGGCAGTAATCCTGGGGAAAAAAAGTAAATTCCACAAATAGACCAATTTTCCTTTAAGAGGAAAGCTAATTCTTTTCAGTCTACTTTTTTTATTACACTATTTTCCTCTCTATCTACTTAGCTAGTATAAGGATAAATTTCCAAAGCTACCCAGTTGGAAAAAAATAGGTTCACTGTTTGTCTAGCATTCCAATCTTTGCAAATGTAAATCAGTCCAACTGCTCCTCATTTAAACCTTCAACTTCACAAAACATTAAAGGGTGGCTTTCACTACACAATTTAATCTATCCACTAAGATTTCTGCTGGAACATCATTTGAAATTGACTATCTGATAAAGAGAGACTACTATCAAAGGTCATAGAGGTCAACTTGTATAATTACAAGTAGTTTTACTGGGTCAACTCTACCAGACACCACTATTTGAAGGTTAAATTGTTACAATTAAATATATATACAGATCTCCCCAGAGTTACTTTATTGTTAAATGTACCAGAAACAGAAAAAACATTTATTTCTGACCTTAATTGTGTCCAAAGTGTCACCGTGGGGAAATCATACAGAAAGAACACTTATTAAAAACATTGCAGTCTTGCACATTAAACAATGCTTTATGAAATAAAATGCATAATTAGCTATTGGAAACTAGTTTAGTTTATCACATCAATATTAAGTAGTTCATTTAGGTTACTCCCTTTGGTTGAATTGGAAGTGCTCTAAGAAATGACATCTACTATTTCATGTTGGTGAACTTGCCACAAACAAAGGAAAATGGCTCAGCATCAGAATCTGATGCTAGAGCAACTTTCATTTCAGAATGATCACTTCTAGATTACTAACATTTAATCACATTTTAATAACAGAGTAAAAGAAAGCTTTAAATGGGAAGCTTTAAAATAGGCTATTTTCTAATTGTTTGATTCATTTTAATGCCTTTTACTTTTTTATTAAGTGCCTAAATGGCCAGAGATGAAATCATCCATAATTACTGCAGTGAAACATTATTATCATTCTTTCTTTTATTTTAATGGGTGTAAATACAGATCAGTTCTTTTTATTTTTTTTCTTTCCAGTGTGGTTTAAAAAAAAAAAAAGCAAGTCATCTTTGGTGCCCAAAGTGTTTATCTCAATATCCTTAGAATTTTTGCATGCAAAGGCAAGATTTCAAATGTGTGCAACATTTCATTAAATGAAGTAAATGGTAAATGGTCTAATTCTGATAATGAAGACAACTGTCTAAGCCAGGTTTTCAGATTCAGGGAATTACCATGCGAAACTATTAATAGGAAAATAAATCTTCAAATTTCTAGATCCAAGTGAAATGGTCTTAACCACATTTTATTGTTTAAAATATTTTCAGATTTTGTGTTGGAGACAAATTTTTCCTAAAGAATAACATGATCCTTTGCCAGACGGACTACGAGGAAGGTTTAATGAAAGAAGGTTATGCACCCCAGGTTCGCTGATCTATCAACATCACCCCATTAAGAATACAAAGCACTACATTCTTTTATCTTTTTTGCTCCACATGTACATAAGAATTGACACAGGAACCTACTGAATAGCGTAGATATAGGAAGGCAGGATGGTTATATGGAATAAAAGGCGGACTGCATCTGTATGTAGTGAAATTGCCCCAGTTCAGAGTTGAATGTTTATTATTAAAGAAAAAAGTAATGTACATATGGCTGGATTTTTTTGCTTGCTATTCGTTTTTGTGTCACTTGGCATGAGATGTTTATTTTGGACTATTGTATATAATGTATTGTAATATTTGAAGCACAAATGTAATACAGTTTTATTGTGTTACCATTTGTGTTCCATTTGCTTCTTTGTATTGTTGCATTTAGTACAATCAGTGTTTAAACTTACTGTATATTTATGCTTTCTGTATTTACCAGCTATTTTAAATGAGCTGTAACTTTCTAGTAAAGAATTGAAAAGCAAATCTCACTAATGATACACAGATAGATAAAGCAAGTCTATCAACATTAAAAATACTAAAAAATAAAGACACACACAGAGCATTTTAGTGACATCCACTACTTATTGCCGCTATGAGTTAGAGTCTATCAGTGTTCTTGTTATAACCCCCTATTTTCAGGGGGTTAAAAATCAGCTTTAAAAAAATACATAAAAATTTCATCTTAAAGCACTTTCATTTTATACCAACGTGAAAAGTGCCATTTTTAGAATAACTTTAAAGCTTAACAGGTTTCCTTTTAATATCCTTTTTTTGTGTGCTCTTTACTTACACAATGGCTTTGTTTTGCTTTTTCAGCCACACCCCTTATGTGAACTAGTGCCTTTGGGTATCACGTAAAATTTTTTCCAAAGGGTTACTTTAAAAATCTGTTACCACAATTATGAGATGATTTTTAAGTGATAAATTAAACTTCTTCTTGTATAAATTCTGCCCAGATCTCTCCACAAGAGCTGAGGGTTTCATAACTTTATGGCTTAATAAATGTATGACACTGAAAAGATTTGAGTGTGAATCTACTGAAATCACTATAATGCACATTGAAGCTATGATGGTATTTGAGTAGTGAGGTTACTTTTGATCGGAGCAACATAATGCTCATAGAATCTTCTAGAAGAAGAGAAACAAAGGGATTGATAAAATGCTGAGAACTAGTGATTATATATTTTTCTGTATTTACCTGACATTTATTTTAATGTTCAAAAAGTAAACACTTTAAGTTTGATGTGTTTTACTCTCTCATTGTTTTAAGTAATTGCCAACTCAGAATACATCATTCTTAGGCTGAAATTTGTCTTTCCATTTTTTAAGGTGAAATAGTACTACCTTACGTGATAGCATACAAAGAAGAAAGCTCTAGAAAGAGAAATTATGGAGAATGATTATTTAAATTACAATTAAGGAAATGAGAATATGATCCCCTCTTCCGAGTTGCCCACAAACTTGCTTCTTTGCTTTTGCTCCCTGTAATAGAACTACTTTTCAACAAATCTAATTTTGCACGGCACCGTTAACCATATTTTCACTACAGCAAACTTAGTGCTATGGGTTTTCTTTTTCTTTGTTTTTTTCTTGATCACTTGTATAGGAAACAATATTTTCCAGTGTTATTTGCATATATATTTTGTCCTTCCAATATATGCATTACAGATGAAAATTAAATGTTATACCTGAATTCTTGGGTTGGGGCCAAAATATTAAGCTGAAAATAATGCTGGTGTGGATTTGTTTTAAAACAAAGCTTTATTATGAACATGCATGTGAATCTGGATATTGCCTCTTATTTTTAAGAAAATGGTTCTGTGAAAAGTGAATGATATGTATTTTTCCAAATGCTTCATGGTTAGGAGTCTTCAAGTTCCATGTTCCCCAGATTTGAGATATACTAAAGAAAGAAATTCAAAAGTAGCTATTTGGGGCCCACAAAAATAACTATTATTTTAGCCTTAGAGCCTTACACTTGTTTCATGAAGAGAAAGGACTTGCATAACCAAAATAAACAAAGCAAGACAAATTAAAAATATGTGGGGGAGAGATCAGTGAAAAGTGGTTTTCTTAATGCAGCCCTGCTGGTCCCCATTAACAATTGCTTGAAATTCACATGGATGTAAAATTATAATTGTCAGGATCTTATTCAGATGATCTTTTAAGGTTTAACTGGTTTTGCTTTTGTTTATCTATATGTCAAAATACTTGTAAATTGGGAACAAACTTCTCTCAGCTTCTTGAAGTTGTTCAACTATCCTTGCCACTGGAAGACCAAACAAGGTTTTCACTGCTTTTTCTTTTACATAATATGCTGAGAATTATTTCTTATGCTTTTTACTACAAACAAAATTACTCACCTGGATTAAAGATTAAGGCCTTAATCTGTTTAGATTATCTTTAATCTCCATGAAATCGTGAAATAAGACAAGAATAGTGTTTCAGCTGTAGGCCATTTTACAGCTAATTGCCCATAAATTGTAGCATTTATTGACCTGAAGTACTAAGCTAATTGTCTTGACTACTCAAAGCCCCTGAATTGTTGTCAACTTTCCCCTTTGTGTTGTGTAGCCCTAACGTCATTTAGCTTGTTGTCTGATGCCTCCAGTAGGACACCTCCGATGGAGCTTTGATTTCTGAGCAGCGAAAGCTCCCTTCCTAAGATGCATCTCGCATAGGCTGCCTATGATGAAGGACCGTGCACCTCCACTCCAACAGAGTGCTGAGTTTAAAAGTTGACCTGTGTTTGTAATTTCACTTTCATCTTGCTTAATAAATATCTGCTGGATTCTTTCATTCACTTTTTTACATTTGGATTTATGTTTTTAATAAAAGGGGTGTTACACTATTTGATTGCACTTAATTGGCAAAATTTAAGATGATCTCTAGAAAGCATATGTTAAGTCCATGAAAAGAAAAAAAAGGTGTGTAAGGACATTTACTTTCTAAAGCTAAGTCATAACAAGCATAGACAAAGCACCCCAAATGTTTCTCTGAATGTAATGTTTAGGATCTCTGCGCTAGGTCGTTTACCGCTATTTATTTTTATGGGGAAAATAAAACTCTCAAAAATGAAGGTAGCAATTGCTGGGTGTAATTTTGCACATTTATACAAATTTTAGGTGATCTTTCTGAAAGCAACTCTGTTGCTGTTGTCAGATTAAATTTCAAATTTTCTATTCTGTATAATGAATTAAAACAGGAAACTCAATTCTACATTTTTACAGAAGAGATGTTGCACCTTAACTGAAACAGGGCACTGAAAATTATATCTGTAGTAAAACATGCCATGCAAAAGTGTTTTCCTTTTAACTATCACTTTAGGCAAACCACTCTCTGAATCATCACTTAAACAGTTTCGTAGAAATTATGTAGGCCAAACATGTTTAGTGTTCACTTCAGTAAGTTGCAAAAACAATCTGCATGTTTATTGTAATAGGCCATTAGCACAAAATACAATTTTAGCAAAAGCCTTTTTGATCATTACTTTTTCTTAAAAACATTGTTATATTTTTTAAATGTGGTTTTAATGTAATTTAAGGTAATAGAAAGCAGAGATTTAATAGTCATTAGTTTAATTGACATTTATTGCGCACCTACTATGTGACAGGCCTCTCCCTGAGCATTCAGCCTCCTGTTGGGCAGACTTAGGGTTGGCCTAGATCAAATAACTTTAACATGTCTTTGCACTGGTTTGTGCTCATCTCCAACCTGCTAATAATGAGCACACAAAAGCGAATAGCATCTTCTACCTCTCCAGCATGTTATTGATATGAAAGCCCCAGAAAATATCTCAAGTAATCAATGTGTTCAGAGAATTATCGCACACAAATTACTCATTAACTCAATAGCACATGATAAAAAAGAACATCAATTAATTAATGAGTCACCCTCAGATTGCTATGATTACAATAGAGCTCTGTTGAAATAGCGGTTATAAATGAAGCTGCCTCTCTTTATTCGTTGTTTGCAACTGGTCCATTATTTGGCTGAAACCAGTGTCAAGTTTAACACATGCCTGTAGGTAATTGTGTGATTAGTATCATAAACGAAGATTTCAGAATGCCTAGGGTTTATAAAACCTTATGAATGGCCAGAAAAATGAAGAAAATTCATTTTTACTAGAGCTTCCTTTGAGGCCATGCTATTAGAAAAGTATTATTCAGAAAGGTATATTTTTACTTTTATAATCAAGATGTAAGACTTTCGTGTTGAACAGTACAAAGAATAGCTGCTAAAACACTTGAGTCAATTTTACAACGCTTTAGTATACACACGATTTAATTTCAGTAACTTTTCCTGAAGACTAAAATATGCATGATCATTGCCAGTTTTGCATTTTGGTACCACAAAATGACATTTTTTTGCTTTTGGCAGGCTTGGTTGGGGTGGGTTTGTGGATAATGACAGCAGTAGGGGAAGGGATTTAAAAAAATACCAAACCTGACATAAAAAGTCACCAACTAAACTTTCCCAACTATCTTGGTAAATGCCATTCCAATAAGCTTATAGAATAATTACAACAGTTCCCTTAGGTAAGTAAGAAACATCTGTTGGTAACACATAGCAGGTGTTAACAATTACACACACTGAACTTTTTAAAAATGTTTTTAATTAAAAGAATTCTGTTTTCTGAAAAGGAAAATATGTTAAATTCAAAGATACTCCTGTTTTGGGCGTGCAGATCACGTAATGCACAAAATTATAAAGACCAAATCATCTTGGATCAACTAGGTTTTGTGTTTGGTTCAGATCATTACATTCAAAAGTGAATTGGAATTCTCTGCACTTTTTACACAATTGGTATTCTGGACTCAGAAGCTGAATACTCGAAATTGGTATCACCGGGGTGATTACAGAATATTTTGGCTTTACGGGCAAAGTGGTTGGCATTAACTATACCAAATTTAGTGGCCATAGTACAAATTAAAATGGGAACAAGAGACATTCAGATAATACATAATCAAAATCTTTTTTCACCCTGCTCCTGGAGAAGAGTTTAAATCACCTAAAGCAAAACAGTTCATTTGAAACAGGTAACATTTTCATATGACCCATCTTCAATAACTTTTAGTAATAATAGCGAATATTTACCAAACAATTGCCATGTATCAGGTAGTTCTGCACACGCATGTAATTCCCACAACACCCCTGTGACACAGGTACTATTAAAATGAAAGCACAGCCAGGTTACTTAATTCGCCCAAGGTCATAGAGTCAGAAAGTAGTGTGCCTATTTAAACACAAGTTTTCTGGGTCTAGTGCTTTTCACTCTACCATATCATCTTTTATATTGTTGTCATTATTATTGTCACTATTATTTTTTCTAGCTCCTGGGAATAGCCAAGAACTAGGAGTTATTTATGCTTGAGCAAAAATTCCAAACATATCAGAGTTAATATTATCTTTAAAGATAAAAATTGGGAATGAGAGTGATTATATTTTTCTAGATGCAATCTGTTTGGGAGCTCTTTCTTTCAACCATAACATGAAGGCATTTATTTGAGCCTGTAAATCTAGGGTACCAAGAATAGAGGATTCTTCATATAGCAGTAATGAAAACAAGAGTGGTCAGCATCGACGTGAGGGTACACTGAAGTAAAAAGTTGCGAGTTTCAGCATAAGGATAAATATGCCATAATAATGTGAGGCTACAGTCTCAGAATCAAGATAATACAACAAGTATACTATTTGTCTTTGGTATTACTTCCAGAATGAGTATGTTATTTGTCTTTGATATTTTAAAACTTCCAGAAGATGAGATGAAAAAAATTAAAGGCCCTAGAAAAACTATATATGTCAGAACTGTGGGCACCCACCCTGTGTGTAGCAGCATACCAGTCCTCTTTAAGTGTTATTTGCCTGAGAGACATCGGTGCATAAAATATAATGTTTGCTGCTACTTATTCTTTGTTTAATGCCCAATTTATTAAACATACAACCCTAATAAATACAATTTATCTCAACATTTGAACACCATTTAAGCAGCTAATAAAGCAAAACTTGTAAATTTAATAAATCAGATTCAACCATTTAAACATTGATTAGAATCTTAGTCTAATTCTTCTAAACATTTTACTAAAATCCCATGTAATAAGTTTCAAGTACTTTAAAAACAGACAAAAATTCTCACAATGGGCCATTTTTTAAATATACTTAAAGCTGTAAGAAAAATATTACTTTAATTTAAAATTTCTATATTTGTTTTATATCTTTCTAAGATTAGTAATTCCTTTAAAAATTTAGAAAATAGTGTGTTTGCTAAACTTACAGGATCTGTGTTATTGACGATATGAACCTTGGTTGGGGCACAAGAACTAGCTATGCTGTCCAAAATGATGCAAACTTCAGCCAGTGCACATCAAGTTAGCCGATAATTTAATAGTCATCCTCCCTATCACATCAATGGAACTTTCATAATTCCAAGTCTTTCATATAGGTTATAATTTTTCATAACCCAGTGCTTTTTCCCAAATTGACTAGAATAGTATGTATGCGATTTTAGTATCTCATTATAAGCTATAGGATTATTTTGATATTTTTGTCCCCTCAGAAATAAGGACTTGAACCTATGTAGTCAAATTTCCTGTTAGATATTTGGCTAATTCTTTTTCTCACACAAATTACTGGACCACTTCTGAACTGATTATAATGCATTCCCAATTGTATTGATTAGCACTTTGTGTTCTTGGCATGGTTTGACTTAATTCTCTACATTTACATTTAATCTTATCTACTTAGAAAATAGAGATGAATACAAATTGATGCTATATAAGTAAATACACATTCAATAGAAGAAACAAGCCACATATATCATATTTGGCTTTTTCTCTTTTGTATGACAACTCTTTTGTATGCATTAACATTAACTCTTCCCCTTTTGAGTACAATTGTGGACCCATAGCTTTTATAGACCCTGATGCAATGCAGGCAGATTGACTAGTAGGTTATGTTTTGTGTGTGTGTGTGTGTGTGTGTGTGTGTGTGTGTGTGTGTGTAGTTCTTACTTAAGGTGTCAATTTAAAAAGTTTGTTTTGAAAGACAATACCTTAGAAAACCAGAAATCCAAAAATAAAAGGCATGAGAAAAACGCAGTGCAGCACAGTAAGATGCTGTGAACTGTTCCAGAAAGGAATACTCAACCTGAAAACTGCAGCGACCAAACAAATGTGTATAAAGCAGCAGTATAAGAAATCACCTGCTTACACTTAGGAAGAGTATGAGTGTTTTACACTAGTTGGACACTGAGATGTCAATAAAGAAACAGAAGAATAAGTCAACAGCTGAGATGATGACTTAAGAATTTATCCCCAGTCTTAATTAAGGATATTTGACAAGACTATATTTTAGTTATTATTTTTAAGGTTAGCTTGATTACTGTTTAACTCAAAACACAATTTTCTTAGTCTCAATTCACCCTTACATTTTTCCCATTGAAACTGTTTGAGACTGTGAACATCTTGGTTAGCAACATCAGCTTTGCCATCAGGCAGAAAATGATCTTGAAAATATTACTTAGCTTTATATTAGTAACAGTTTTCTCATCTGTAAAATGGAGGTAATACCTACTTTACAGCATTTTATTGCAGATTAAATGAAACAATCTAAGGCAAGCATTTAACATAATGTCTGATACATAGTGTTCAAGTTATTAGTACCACTATTATTTTTATTAATCTCAAATTCTCTAAGAGTCATTTATGTGCTAATCTGCATTGGATGAGCATCAGGCATGGTTTATGCTCCATTAGGTAGACATGGGCCAAATAATAACAATTACAGATGAGCACTCAACAAGCAAACAAGGCAATTTCTTCTAAGTGAAATACTGAGATTCAAAGAGGACAGTAAATTGAGGATTCAGGCCGTAGTCAGAGATAGTGGATGGTAAAGCATTTTTTTAATTGCCTTCTTTTGGTCTCAAAAAAAATTTGTTTTGAGTTCCATGTATGTGTCTAGCATTTATACTGGGGAAGCCTCTGCTTCTGATATTTAGCAAGATGAACTCAGTAATCACTATATTCATGTAGTGAGTCATTCAGACATTTATTGGGCACCTTCTGCATGTCAGATTCTCAGCCATGTTCTGTGAGGAATGTAATGAAGAGTCCCTGCACTTGAGGAAGACAGGCAAACAACTGTTAACACAGAAGGTAACAGGTAATAACTGAGGAAGTAGAGATATCTACAAAGCACTGGGGGAGCACCCAGGAGGAAGTGATTTATTCTGTCTGGGCACATTAGAAAAGGCATCACAATTGACATTTACCTTTAGTCTTGAAGAACCATCAGAGGATGGAGGGAATGTGGGTGTTTGTATAGAGACCACCCCTAATCTAAGTTTACTAGCAATTAGTTTCATGGTGACTCATCTATCTGACAGAGAGAAAGCCATCACAGATGTTGAACAGATATATAGCATAACTAATGCCAAAGTTCAAGAAGATTTACTCCAACTGGAATACAGGGTGGCCTCGGGGAGAGACAAGAGAGGATGTTGATAGTTTAGTCAAGACGGCTTGGTAAAAACCAAAGAAAGAGTTAAGCATCTACATTGCATAGTAGCCATTACAGAATGAAAAGAATGGGAAATAGCAATGGAGAAGAGGAAATTTTACCAAAAATGGTAGTTGACTGAACGTGAAAGGAACAATGAAGAAGGGTCAAGTATGACTCTGAGATTTGAGAATTTTACCCTAAATTATTATAGCTAATGTAGCAAACAGACTTACAAAAGAGGGAATAAGAAATGTATGTTCTTCGATGACTCCCTGGATATGAGGAATGCCATATTTCAAGTGAAAGTGCAGTTGTATTCCGGTTTCAAAAATTCTTTGGGCTTTTAAGGACAAATATGACATAAATAAATGCTTTTGATTAGAGTGGCAGAACTTGCTAGTTGTCCACTCAATATATTTTCTTTCTTTTATTCTTACTAACAGCATATGGACCAGTGTTGTGCCTAATCAAAGGGTTTCTATTTCATAGCTTTTTTTCTTGCATCCAGGAATAGCCATTTCACACCATTTTAATTGATGAAAATTAATCAATGGAGGATTTATGAATCTTTCCAGATGTAGGAATTACTCTCTTTGCTATTGTTTCCTTCCTCTTGCCTGAAAAATGCAAATGAAAACTAGAGGTGGACCAACCATCTAAAGCACAGATGACCAAGAGAATGAAATCACAAACTAAAAGGTCCACTGATGATTTGGGGGCCACTGCAGCAGGGCGGACTTAAACAGACTTGAACTTGGACTGTCTAGGCTATCTCTGGGCATCTTGTCACCATGACTGACTTACTTTTGTTACTCTGGTTGGGTTTCTGTTACATGTAGTCAAAAGCAACCCCTGCCTGATATACTTGGCTTACCGAAACTTACGAATTTTATTGACACATTGTATTCTGATATTCTTACTTAGCCTGATTTAAAGAAGGGAAATTTTGCAGAGTCCATTATAAAAGCCCGAAGTATGATGTCGTCACTTCTCCTTCCAATCTGGCTCTCTCCTATCACATGAGAAACCATAATCCTTGAAAAAAAAGAGACCTGAGAATAGTTTCTGGTATCTGTTTTATCTTCTCTCTGATCTTGCATAATCCCAAAACTCTACCCTAACTTTTTAATGTAAAGTTAGTATTTCCATTAGAATGTTACAATTTGTCTAATTTTGTGTATGGTTAGTGGGGAAGGCTTAGTTCTTATTAGATTGTCATAAAACAATATAGGAAAAAGGATGCAGAGAAATAGCAAAGGTATTTTCAAGTAATTAGTTAGAACTACAGACAGATCAAAAAGAAAGCCATTGTGCAAATGTCAGGCCATTCAAGGGTATTTCACCTTGAGGAGATAATGTCAGATCCTTGCCTTAGATATAAAAGAAGTTTTGAAAGTCTTTCTGCCTATTTCCAAATCCTATCTGAAGATCATTTCTAATCTATGAAGTTTTTCCTCTGTTTGCAGGGAAAAAAAAGAAAAACAAAGATAATATTTACATGTATTTTACTCAATTGTATTTACTAAAAAAAGTTATTTAATTTGATATTTACTTTTCCTGCTTGTCTTGGTATACAAATAGACTTTTTAATGAAAGTATTGTGATTTTAGATAATAGGTCTAGTTTTTAAAATATTACATGAAGAAATAAACAGTCTGCCACTTCATTCTTTTCCCTAATATATGTGTGTATTAAAATATGCATAACAAATTTGTGAAATCAATTAATTTGGTTTTATTGGTTGTGAATCCAAAATCAGGTTTTAACCTTGTGCCCCTCTAAAATTTCTTTATTTTTATTTTTATGTTTTTGAGAGAGAGTCTTGCTCTGTTACTCAGGCTAGAGTGCAGTGGCGCTGTCTCGGCTTGCTGCAACCTCCGCCTCCTGGGTTCAAGCAATTCTCATGGGGTTACAGGTGCATGCCAGCATGCCCAGCTAATTTTTGTATTTTTGGTAGAGATGGGGTTTCACCATTTTGCCCAGGCTGGTCTGGAACTCCTGGCCTCAAGTGATCCTCCTGCCTCAGCCTCCCAAAGTGCTGGCATTACAGGCGTGAGCCACCACGCCTTGCCTCAAATACAATTTTTTATTTTATAACAACCTTCTAACCCAATCTTAAATGTCGCTCTGTCCAGATGCCAAGTGCTATAGCTTCCTCTGTCTATAGAGAAGATAATTTAATAATTCGCAAACTTCCAAAGCATCATCTCAAGAGTATTTCATCTCATCCTCTTTTCTTCTTTCTTATGCATCTAAGAACACATATTCAGTTCCTTTTATACACCAATCACCAGCTGGTGTGCACCTATAATCCCAGCTACTCGGAAAGCTGAAGTGAGAGGATCGCTTAAGCCCAGGAGGTAAAGGCTTCAGTGAGCCATGATCACAGCTCTGCACTGCAGCCTGGGTAACACAGCAAGACCCTGGCTCTAAAAAATAAAATAAATTATGCCAATCACTGTGCAAATCCAGGAGCCTGGAAAGAAAAGGGTGGAGAAGGAAGAGGAAGGAGATATCAAGGCTCCAAGATCAAGTAGCTCACAATCTGTGGGGAAAGCAAGGGCAAAACAGCTCCATTGCAAATTGATGCTGTTAAAGTCTGGAATGGATAATCTGGGAGCAGGGAGGAAGGAGTGCTCAACTTTAAGAGTGTCAGCTATATATTCTGAGAAAAGCAGCTGAGTCTTGAGCAGTAAAAAATGGTGCTTCCAGTGGGTTAGGGAAAGGAAGGAAAGTCATTCCAAACACACACAAAGACTTCCAAGTATGAGAGGTTTTAGTATGTTAAAGGAACTTAAACTAGTATGTAGAGGAGTTGCAGATTAAAATCCAGTGATGAAGGGCCTTGTTTATTTTATGAAATAGTAGTCTCCAAATCTTTAAAAATATATGTATGTGTGTACTTTGATTCAGTTGGTATGTTGTCATGCCCTGAGCTCCATATAAGTGGAAAACAATCAGACATGAAGACCACTGACACAGAAGATGAGGAGCCTGTTAAAACTTACAACACAGGGGAAGGCATGATCAGGTTTACATTTTAGGATGTTCAATCTGGTGGCCTTATGAAAGCAGGGGTAGAGTCGGCAGACATTATACGGTGGGGACCAGCTGATACAGTTGACAAATATGGGTATACTTAAGCAAATAGAGTAGCAGAATTAGAGATAAGGTACACCTCCACGACACTTAGGAGGCAGTCAATACAGGAGGAGGTGGTCATTTGTTGTGGAAGAAGATGAGTTTTAGACTCATTGCATTGAAATTATCTTGGGATAGAACATGGAATTACAAGTATTTATAATTTAAAAGAAAATTTATGATTAGGATACCATGGAAATTAAGTATTTGTGTACCTGGGTGGTAAATGTAATACCCCCTTACTCTTTAAATTGTATTACTCAGACAACCTGTTAAAATCGTAGGGTACATTTTACCTTCTCAAATGTAAAAATCTTATTTAAAATATTAAATTTAATCTGAAGTTGATGGGAAACAAAGATTAAGAAATTAAGGAGTTCAGAGTGATAGATTATATGTTACCCTAACCCACCATATTAATTTCAATAAAGTTGTCTGATATGGTTTGGCTCTGTGTCCCCGCCCAGATATCATCTTGAATTGTACTCCCATAATTCCCACATGTTGTGGGAGAGAGCTGGTGGGAGATAATTTGAATCATGGGGGTGGTTTCCCCCATACAGTTCTCATGGTAGTGAATAAATCTCATGAGATCGCATGGTTTTATCAGGGGTTTCTGCTTTTGTATCATCCTCGTTTTCTCTTGCCACTGCCATGTAAGAAGTGCCTTTCGGCCGGGTGCAGTGGCTCATGCCTGTAATCCCAGCACTTTGGGAGGCCGAGGTGGGTGGATCACAAGGTCAGGAGATCGATACCCTCCTGGCTAACACAGTGAAACCCCGTCTCTACTAAAAATACAAAAAATTAGCCAGGCATGGTGGTGGGCGCCTGTAGTCCCAGCTACTCAGGAGGCTGAGGCAGGAGAATGGCGTGAACCCCAGAGGCGGAGCTTGCAGTGAGCCGAGATCTCGCCACGGCACTCCAGCCTGGGTGACAGAGCGAGACTCTGTCTCAAAAAAAAAAAAAAAAAAGAAGTGCCTTTCATCTCTTGCCATGATTCTGAAGCCTCCCCAGCCATATGGAACTGTAAGTCCAATTAAATGTCTTTTTCTTCCTAGTCTCAGGTATGTGTTTATCAGCAGTGTGAAAATGAACTAATATAGTAAATTGGTACCAGTAGAGTGGGGCGTTCCTGACAAGATACCTGAGAATGTGGAAGCGACTTTGGAACTGGGTAACAGGAAGAAGTTGGAAGAGTTTGGAGGGCTCAGAAGACAGGAAATGTGGGAAAGTTTAGAGCCTCCTAGAGACTTGTTGAATGGCTTTGACAAAAATGATGATAGTGATTTGAACAATAAGGGCCAGGCTGAGGTGGTCTCAGATGGAGATGAGGAACTTGGGAACTGGAGCAAAGGTGACTCTTGCTGTGTTTTAGCAGAGAGAATGGTGGCATTTTGCCCCTGCCCTACAGATGTGCAAAACTTTTAACTTGAGAGAGATAATTTAGGGTATCTGGCAGAGGAAATTTCTAAGCAGAAAAGGATTCAAGAGGTGACTTGGATGCTGATAAAAGCTTTCCATTTTAAAAGGGAAAAAGAGCATAAAAGTTTGGAAAATTTGCAGCCAGATGATGCAGTAGAAAAGAACAACCCATTTTTTGAGAAGAAATTCAAGCTGGCTGCAGAAATTTGCATAAGTAACAAGGAGCCACATGTTAATCTCCAAGACAATGGGGAAAATGTGCCTAGGGCATGCAATAGGTCTTCACAGCAGCCCCTCCCATCACAGACCGGGAAGGCTAGGAGGAAAAAATGGTTTCCTGGGCTGGGCCCAGGATCCCCATGCTGTGTGCAGCCTAGGGACTTGGTGCCCTGCATCCCAGCTGCTCCAGCTGTTGTTAAAAGTGGCCAAGGTACAGCTCAGCTCATGGTTTGAGAGGGTGCAAACTCCAAACCTTGGCACCTTTCACATGGTGTTGAGTCTGCAGGTGCACAGAAGTCAAGAATTGAGGTTTGGGAACCTCCACCTAGATTTCAATGTATGTATGGAAATGCCTGAATGTCCAGGCAAAAGTGTGCTGCAGAGGCAGGGCCCTCATGGAGAATCTCTGCTAGGGCAGTGCGGAAGGGAAATGTGGGGTTGGTGCCCCCACACAGAGTCCATACTGGGGCACCTCCTAGTGGAGCTGTGAGAAGAGGGCCACCATGCTCCAGATCCCAGAATGGTAGATCCCACAGCTTGCACCATGCTACTGGAAAAGCCACAGATACTCAAAACCAGCCCATGAAAGCAGCCAGGAGAGGGGCTGTACCCTGCAAAGCCATAGGGGTGGAGTTGCCCAAGACTATGGGAACCTACCTCTTGCATCAGCATGACCTGGATGTGAGACATGGAGTCAAAGGAAATAATTTTGGAGCTTTAAAATTTGACTGCCCCACTGGATTTCAGACTTGGATGGGCCCTGTAATCCCTTTATTTTGGCCAATTTCCCCCATTTGGAACAGCTGTATTTACCCAATACCTGTATCCCCGTTGTATCTAGGAAGTAACTAACTTGCTTTTGACTTTACAGGTTCATAGGCAGAAGGGACTTGCCTTGTCTCAGATGAGACTTTGGACTGTGGACTTTTGGGTTAATGCCAAAATGAGTTCAGCCTTTGGGGGACTGTTGGGAAGGCATGATTGGTTTTGAAATTTGAGGACTTGAGATTTGGAGGGGCTAAGGGTGAAATGATATGGCTTGGCTCTGTGTCCCCACCCAAATCTCATCTTGAATTGTATTCCCATAATTCCCACATGTTGTGGGAGGGACCCAGTAGGAGATAATTTGAATCATGAGGGTAGTTTCCCCCATACTGTTCCAGGGTAGTGAGTAGGTCTCATGAGATTTGATGGTTTTATTGGGGTTTCTGCTTTTGCATCTTCCTCATTTTCTCTTGCCACCACCATGTAAGACGTGCCTTTCACCTCCCACCATGATTCTGAGGCCTCCCAGCCATATGGAACTGTAAGTCCAATTAAACCTCTTCTTCCTCCCAGTCTTGGGTATGTCGTTATCAGCAGCATGAAAATGGACAAATACATTGTCATTTCAAGGTTGCCTTTTTACTTAGTGCCAAAACAGAATTCTAACCAGAATTACCAACATTTCTTTCAGTTCTAAATGATTTCAAGTACCATTCTTTACTGTCTTTACTTCTCTCAAAACCATTTCTTCCACTTGTTCTTCTAAAAGACTACTGGGGCTACAGTTAGATAGAATTGATAATTCTGAAATTTTTGATTTCATTTATCCACGTAGTTTTTTCATACACAGTGAACCACATGAAATACAATGACAGATGGTAATATATCAGTGTTACAGATTACTTATTGTCCTGCTTCAAAGTCAGCGTATAAATCTAAATGGTTAAAATAATTTTTTAACTCTTTCAATTATATCTCATAGACTTCCTAATAAGAGAAACAGCTAGTGTATTCCTGGCCTTTAGACAAGAAACTCCCCTACTCCTCCTCACCTGACACACACACACACACACACACACACACACACACACTCACACACACCAAGTTACTGAGATTCTACTCAGGCTTTAGGAGGAGACTAAATAACCCTTCCAATGGTTGACAGCCCTCTTCACCCAGCATTTCTCCTTTCAAGCCTAAATCCTTTGTGTTTCACTTTTAGCCTTTGGTAGTGGTAGATAAAAAATGCTTATCAACTGTTCTCTGAATAAGAAACTTAAAATACTCATAGATAATCTCAAAATCGTTTCTCATCCAGAATAATCCCCAATCTTTGACCTTTCCTCAAAGGTCTTCTTTTCCAAAATTTATATAATCTTGGAGGCTTTCTTCTGAACATTTTTGATGCTTTTGACACATATTTTTGGTTGTGGGCAGAGTAGCCTGCCTGGTGGGAAATATATTAAGAGCCATTGCTAATGAGGACCACGATTTATATTGTTGCTGCTTTATATATATCAATATCATACTTTTTTCTAATGAAAACTGCAACTTTACTAATTCATTGGCAGTTTGCATGGTTCCACTATAGACCATAAGTATTTTCCTGCATGTAACTGGGGAATCCCCATGGTGTTTGTGTAGTTTGACTATCTCTGTTTTTGTCGCAAGCAAACATGAATGTCCATATCCGTCATGCTGGAACTTGATCCAGCACAATTGTGAGTTATCTTCTACTTATACTAAAACTCTTTATAATTCTTAGTAGGTCCCCCAAATTTCTAAATATCATTACCTTTCCCAGGCCTGTTTTGCAAGCTCTGTCTTTTGTCAGCCAGCTGTGTATATTATACATTGAGCCCACAGCTAACTCTCGCGGAGGCCACTTGTTCATTGATGACCACCCTTTAGGTATAATTTTCAGTTTTGTGTCCTTTTGGATCCCACCCTAGGGTGAGCAATTGGTAAAGCTGAAGAGTGGGCTAGTGGCTAGAAGCTAATAAGAGGAGGAGTTAATTAAGGCATTTGGGAGACTAAAGTAAAAGATGGAAGCAGAATTTTTAAAATGCTGGATAAGAAGAGAACCAGAAATGGTGCCTATAAGGGAGTCAAACCCTAAGGGGGACCAGAGGCAGGCACTGCACTCAGTGTCATGAGCTGGGATCTGGATTTTCAAAGTAAGGACAACAAAAATACGTGAAGGTAAATGGGGTGAAGAGCAGCACCCGAGAACCATCTCTCCCACAAGTAGTTTAGACTTACATTTCTGATCAGATTTGGTAGTGTTCAGGATATGGCAGCCTGGCTTACAAGGCCTGGGAGAATAGATCAATGCTGGATGGTACAAATGCATTTCCCAATTGATTGCCTAGCATGTTATTATAGGATGAAATAAAAAAGAACGTTCAAGTTGAGAATCATTATCATTTCCCATTGCTTCTACCAAACCTAGCACTATCTCACATTTTTTAAAAAAGGTTATTGTCTAGAAAAATAAAAACCCAAAGCCCATTTTATTGTCCTGCAAGTCTATTTCCGGGATTAAAAATTACAGATTATATATTATTAAATATGTCAAGATCATTTTCTAGCTCTTTAAATAGGCATCCTTATCCCTGCTACACACAATACATAAGGGAACATTTAGCCCCGTGTTTCATGTGCCATCCCTTACTATATGCAGCCCCCTAGAATACACAATAAAAAGATAAATGAAAAGCACATTAGAAATGCACCTAGTGGTGGGAATCCAGCCAGTGATGGTTGCAGATGTTTTGTTTGAATCAGTGACTGTGTTGAGGAGGAAAATGCCCATTATAGAAAAGATAGTATTGCCAAAGAATTTGGGGAGGAAACATCATACTCTAACAAATACCTTTTATCTCAAATGTGCATATCGAATATATGTGTTTCATAGTACTTTCCTCCAGATTACCTTATTTACTACATAAAGGTTATTGATTGTATTTATGCATCATTTATAGTTATTCTTTTGTCTTATTTTATCAATGATTTTTTATTGTTTGGAAAAGTAAGCTAAATAGTGTCTAAATTTGAGTTGATATCCCACTGCCTTCAGTTAAAAGATTCTATAGTTTTTCCACATCCCAAAATAACATGCATGGCTTCATCTACCTTTCCAGACTCATCTTCCACCTCACCGTAATAAACCATGCGCCAGCCACACTGCATTTTCCCTTATTCCTGAATAGCCATGTTCTATGATGCCTCCTGTTCCTACCTATGCTGTTCCCTCTGCCTGGAATATCCTGTTTATTTTCTCTTCCCGGCAAACATTAACTCACCTGCCAGGTACCTTCTCTAAAGAAATTGCTGTGGGAAAGCTTCTCTAACCTGCAAGCCCGAGTTAGATACACCCTTGTCAGTGTTTGTTTACCACCACATTCACGTTACTGTGAGTAATTGATCACAAACTTTTTTTTTTTTTTGCATCCCCCACTAGACTGTAAGTGCCTTAAAAGTCCTCTAGGATCTATAACAATATCTGGCACATAATGGCACAAATGCTTCATTAATCAATCAATCAGTTGGACAATGCAGTTTACCATCCTAGAATATTAACACAATCCTGGAATCTCCAGATAAGTAATTTATGACTGAACTATTCAGAAAGGTTCCAAAGAGCCTGATGAGCTTGAAGAAGAAAATGTAGGAAAAAATTAACCGAGAAAAAAGCAAGGCTCAATTTACAGTATAACTCATAGAAAAGCAGATGTTCCTGTTTCCAGGAGAACCCAGAGAGACAAATGGTTGGCTGAGCCTCCCAGCTGCTTGGCCTAAATGATATGGCTACAGGCGATGCTGATTCCACAAATCAAGGTGTACAGCCTCTTTTTAACACATCCAGAGGCTACTATGAGGTGTGTACAGCCTCACCTTTAACATTTTCCCCGACACATGAATATTAAAGTGGAATACCAGATTATCCATAATTCTAGTGAAATGAACAAAAATGAGAGTCCTCTGTCTTTTACATGCCAATTCTTTCTTCATTAAAACAAAACAAAATGAAGCAAAACCAGAAAATCAGACTGACTCTTTAAATACTAGTTAAGAAAGTATAGTCAGCTCAACTCAACAGCTTTGGTTTAAAGTGGCAGGAGGAAGAGGGAGGTTCTGTGAAGGCGAAAGGTCCCAAGCTATGCTCACATGTTTTCCTTAGCTTCACCTGAGATTCAACAAAAAGATATTTCTTATTAGCTTTGTTAATAATCTCTCCTGGGATTTGGAGCAGGTCCTAGGTGAGCCACATGTTATTACATAAGTTTGGTACAAAAGCAACTCTGAATATTAAGACAAAAGAGCCATGTTTTAGTTCTTTCAGTATTGTTTTGTATGAGGAATGTAAAATTTAAAAAAAATGCATTACATGAAACAGCAGATTTGTCAAAATGCTAAGGTAGTATGCAATGGAGAGAAGGAAAATATGTTTACCCAATCTGCCATCTGGAAATTGCAGAATTCCAGGTTTGCAATAAAAACCTGGGATAGAGACGAACGCTTTGTGTACCCCTGAACACTCCAACTCAGTGTAGTTAAAATGGCTATTGTCCCTAATGATAAAATCAACTGTTTATGATTCTGTTTTATAGCTTCCAGTTCCCTTTCCTCCTCTGTTGCAAAATCTCACATTAATAAACATAAATGAAAAATATTTCTGGTCTAAAATTAAACCCTATAGCTTTGCTGGATCATTAAGCCCCACTCACAGATTCTTTCCTTAGTCCAATCTGAAGTTTTTGTGGTGAGAATGTTAATTTTTTTAACTCCCAGCAACCATTTTAGTTCAATTTCTTTGACAGAGACTCAGAGGGAATGAAACAACTTAGCAGGACTGGCCTTGGCGTTTTTTATGCCCCAAGCAAGCAAACAAGAATAAGATTATAGTGGCCCTGAATGGAATCAGAAATGGGAGAGAGGTTTTCTCCCCCCGCAAGAGGCTTCTTGAAGAAAAACAACTTTAAGATGCAATCTGTAACATCTGGGAGAAAGACACTCGACACCTGCTAGAAGTTCCTGTGATTTTGCAGTCTGTCCTGAGCATCAACACCTGAAGATATAGCCCTTGAACTTCTGTTTCCTCCTGGACATGAGTAACTGCCTGGTTTTGAATTTGGGAAGCTTGAGGCACCCTAGACTCATTGACAGACACATAGGAGATGCCAAGGGCTGCTTTCAATTTCAGCCTGAAGTTTTACATTTTAAGAAGACAAATGAACAGCATTACCTGTTTACTTCAATATTGACAAAGGGAAAGCCTGTGGTCCCCCCTGCACCTGTTAATACTTGCTCTTTATACTGATGTGACCCATGCAGCTGCTCATTTCAATTAGCCCAGGGCCAGTCTTGGCATTTACCCACAGAAACAATACCGCACAAAGAAGCGCCTCTGTGCATTCCCGCTGGCATTCTTCCAAGTCACACTCAGCTTCAGCACATTTTACCAACCTGTCTCTCTGAGTGCAAGGTCTTGCTGGACATTTAAGTCCCTAAAAACTCAAGGAATCCTTTTGTTTCATTTAGTAGTTCTTTTTCAGAGATGGGTCTCACTCTGTCATGCAGGCTGGAGTGCAGTGGCACAATAGCTCACTGCAGCCTCAAACTCCTAGGCTCAAGGGATCCTTCTGCCTCAGCCTCCTGAGTACTGGTTCTTTTTAATTTTCCTTCTGAAATTTCACTTCTTCTTTGCACCTCTATTTTTTTCTCAACCTTATTTTTTCTTCTACCTCTATACAGGAAAGGGCCCTTGTTTTAGTTTTCACTGTATAGCAACAACAAAAGAACAAAAAGATGAAAGAAAGCAAAACACTGATGTTAACTTTTCCTAGTTTGTCAAATAAAAATAATCTCAATAAAAAAGGATTGCCTAGCCTGTGTCTCTTTTTTTCAGTGTTAAATTTGTTTTGAAAATTAGGTTTTTTGGTTAGAAGGGATCATAGACCCTCCTACTCCACTCACCATGATCATTACTTTTTTTTTTTTTTTTTTTTTTTTTTGGTCAGGGGTAAGGTGAAGACAATTCCTTTGCTTCTATTCAGTGATGAACACATGTGCTGCAACTTACTTCCTGAATTACTACTAAAAGCACCACTATTCTCTCCCTCTCTTTCCCAAGCACCATCAGACATTACTTTTTCATATGAGTTATATTGAATGTGCCGTTTCCTGACATGCCTAAAAGATGCTTCAAGACATTTCTTTATTCACTTCCCAAGTCTTCACTGTTGCTAGCACACGAAATTTATTACCTCATGGGCAAAGACCATGCTCTTACTTTTAGTGAAGCTCTAATCTTGCTGGGAGGCATGTGATATATGCCCAGTGCTGGAAAAGTTCCTTCATTCAAATAATGAGGGGTGGGTACCTTCAAAACTACTTGCCTGTTACATTACACATGGACAGTGAAATATCCTGCCCTGGCCCATGATGGAGAGTTACTTTCTTTTACTTCATGGTAGAAATGAGCCAGCTCATTGAGTCTGTCTTGTATCTATGCAACCATCTGGAACAACTTATCAAGGGGTAGGCAGACATGTTTACCATGCCTTCACCCCCTCCATAAACTGGCCTCAGTGGGTCACTTCTTTCCCATTTGCCAGCAGATACATCTGCAGACAATCTCGTTTTTCAGCCTGAGTGTTTACAGATTTAGTCAGAAGGCAGGTTTTATAAAACTCCTATATCTGTATTTATTTGTTTCGCTGTCAAGTTCCCTGTAGTTTTTGTTTGTTCAGGGGCTGAGTTTGTAGCAGGTGTTTGGAACAATTAACAGAAGCAGAGATACCAGTAGTGTGCAAAGGTTGGAAGAATATAAAACAAAAGCTTGACATTTTAAAAAAACAAAGACCCTTAAATACTACACTTAAGAACTGCAGACTAGAACACACCAATAGTATTATGATAAAAACTTAATCAATTATAATTAAACTTTGAATATGTGCCTTGGCCATAAAATATTAGATGAAGTATAAAAACATCATTTTTATTAACGTTTTATATGATTTCTTTTTGCCACTAAAATCATATTCAGTAAGATTTTTAAAGCTTGAAAAGTGAAACATAGATCAGATCTGTCTATACAAATGACAGAATCAGTCCATTCTATTTGCTCTGAGTTGTGAAAATTTCCATACAGAGAGAACAACCAGGAATGCTTTGAGTGTTTTTGCTATTTGCAGAAACTTATAATCAGATGGAAGGAGTCTTCTTGATTCTGTGTGGGTGACTAAGATAGTTAATTGGAGCTATGCCAAAGAGTCTTTTTCATATCAAAGCAGTTTGGAGAAAATTATATTTATTTGGATGGTTTCACACTTTGAGTTTTGATTTCATTAAAATCAGCATGAATTTACAATTATAGATTTCTAACTTATTCCATAAGCATAAATGCCAACTCATTTATGTTCTAACAAATAACACAAGCCCAAACACTTTGCCTAGAGAAGAATAACTGGGCCCAACTCTCACTTTTTCATCATTTCACAAAAGAAGTTTAAGCAATTCTTCAAACTAATATTCATTGGCCATCTCTTAAGTGGAAGACACCAGGAGGCGATGGGGTTATATCAGTAAGGAAGATGTGACCCCTGCCTGAAGAAGTTCCCATTTCATTTGTAAAGACAGGTATATTAAAAATTTAAAACGACAATGAAATTGTTGATAGACTTGTGTGCCAGGTACTCCCAGATGAAGGGGTGGTATTTAATTCTGCTACAAGAATCATGGACAGCCTTGTTGAAATGTAACATTTTCACTAAATCTTGACGTGTGATTAAAGAGAAGGCACAAAATAAGTCAATAATTATTTTTGGCACTTAAATTCGCAGACTATCATTGGGTGGATAATGAATATACCAGGGAATTGTAAAGCATACTGGGTAATCTCGGAAATGAAACAAATCATCATAGTTACAATGGTCTGGGTATCCTGGGAAAGAAGAAAGTCATTTCCCAAGAATGAAAGAGTGAGCGAGAGAGAAACAAAATGAAAAACTAAGAAAGGAATTGTTTATATAAGAAGCACTAAAGGAGAAAAGAGCTACAGAAAAGCCAAGAGTGCCCTGAAATTAGTAGTCATATCTAAAATGAATGAGGTTAAGTGGATTAATGAATGGTTTAGGATTCAAATCAACTTAAGCCCCTTCTCCTCTCCCTGAATCATCAAGGCTAAGAGCTCTCACTGACTTTCATCTTCTAACAAAGTAAGTCTAATTATCCACAAGGACCTAGCCAAGTAGTTGATTAGTTCTCAAATTGGCCCGTTGTCAGATAAATGTTAAAGTAAAATGGCATTCACCCTTCTAGCCAGGCTCACTGCATCCCCAATCCACATGGGCTCTTCTTGGGTGCTTCATACTTATATATGTTATGGTAAACTACTGCATTTGTTCAAGCATAGAAGTCTTCCCAGGCTAAGTGATGAGTAGATTCACATAATAGGCCTCACTATTATTGTCGTCTAGAATGTAGTGCTAGCACTAAACTGTATACTCTCCACCATCCTTTTACCTAGTGCACTTTGCATTAGGCTTTGCCACTTATCAAAGACAATATGATTATAAAGTAAAATTCATCATGAGTGACTATTACGCCACCATAAATTGATAATACTCCTGGGACAACAGACATACATCTGACTGCCTAGATATATGGCATTAAGAAAAATAAAATAATGCTTCATAAATATTGGATATTTCTCTTGCTTGCATAATAATATTCTTAAGAGCACGGGTCTTGTTTTTAACTTATTTGAACCAATGTTTACTTTTATATTCATTTTTATTGTCCTTGCACTCTATAAGACAACTCTTTATATACGTTCCCCTCGCTGAATCCTCCCCAGAGTACCATATCTTGAGTTATGTTTAGCCTACGATGATATCTGTGTGTTTCACTATGGAAAGCAGGCACTGAACCAGGCAATGCAGTCAGTGAAAATGTATGGGTTATCCCCACAAAATGAAAAAGGCGGACATTGTTTTGCCTGGCGAAAACAAGCCAAAACGATTTGGAATTAATTATTTTGTTAATTCATCATCTGGCTAGGTCTACAGCACCTGCTCATTCAAAAGTAATCGCCTCTGTCAACCCTTTTTCACAGACTCAGTAGCAGAATAGAGGAATTAGAATCAACAGATCTGGATTTAAACATATTTTCACATATTGCCTGGCTCTGCAAACTTGGATAAATACCTCCTTGAGCCTTATATTCTTTTTTCTATAGGTTGATGATAATAGCACCTTCTCTGACTACCTTGTACAGTGCTTAGAAAAATTAAATAAGGGGGCGTATGCGCTGATTGCTCTGGGCCAGACAATAAAGGCTACTTCAGTTTCCAGGATTAGCAACCACAGCAAAGACTCCATGCAAGGTGTATAAGTAAGATGAAAAATATCTGAAGATAGAATGGGATATGGCTTCCTGATGACTTATTATTATTATTCCCCATGATGTACACTTGAAGTTTGGTAGTCTTAGCAACCTAATAGAGCAAAAGCACTGACCAAGCCAGAAGATTCCAGAACCTCAGACTCCTTTTATAAGACATACCTTTTATACCATTTTAGGCTAGGAAATGGAGTGATGGGAAACAGTTATGTATGGCCAAATTACCCCAATTTAACAACTTGTTTTATAATCTCCTGCCTGCTCCATAATTCCATAACCTACTAATTCCATGTGTGATTTATTAGCCTTATTCAAAATTTTAATGCAACATACCTATATCCTATCAGAGTTGCAAAGATTTTTTGAAAATATGATGTTAGTGTAAGACATAATGGCTATTAAGTTTATATGATTTGAAATTAATTACAGAATCCTAAATCACCTCTAAATTATTAAAGAGCTCATTGTGAAATTGTGGATTGTCCAGAGCTTTAGAATTTATTCTTTTTCTTTTTTGGTATACTTTTGAAAATATTATTATTATTTAATACATGCAAAGAAACCAGATATATGATAGTGGAAGAAATTCATGTTGCAGAATGGCTGAAACAAATAACACTAGACATTTAAGATGGGTCAAACTGGGTATTTGTATTGATGGGCAATTAACTAAAACATGAAGGGCCACCGTTTGCTCCCCTCATCTGTAACCTAGAGCTAAGTGGTGCCACAGCCTAGGAATTCTTCTGCTCAGGATGGATGTAGATGATGATAGATACAGCAGAAATAGCTTATTGTAGATCATGATTCAGCTCTTTTGGTTCCTAAGTTCTTGTTCACAGGAGGAGGGGAGTTTTGGAGCAACAGTAAAACATGATTTTATAATGATACACCAACTACTGCAGCCCTGACTCTGACCCAGGATTACAGCCATCATGACTCACTTTTTCCAGATTTTGGCATTCAAAACAGGGCTTCTCCCTTCCTGGCTCACTTTTCACAGCCTCTTTAAAACCAATTTTAGGATTTATCTCTTTCAGACGTAAATCCCAAGACCTGGTTTTATTATAAATACCTTACCTAATTTATGGTGATAGAATGAATTCATACTTGTGACTCAAAATTCCTTTATGGCAAGACCTTGGTAATAAAAATAAAATCATGTTTGTACCTTCTAAACAAAAATATGCTTAGTATCAAAACCTTAACACGTTTATAGGAATTTTATTTTTTTCCAAAGGAAAAAAATCTTAACAATATTCTGCAGGAAATTTCTCATGCAGTTTGATTTCTTTCAGTGAGATAATAAGATAATCACAAATGAAAGTTTATATCTCCCCAGCAACATACCGCACTAGGAGTCTGGAAGGTAGAGTAGGAAGAACATTCCAATGGGGTCAGGAGAGCTTTGTTTTAACCTGAGTTTTGACCATGTAGCTTTATGTGGGCCACTTAGCTCCCTGGGACTTAACTTTATTACTTAAAAAATGGGTTCCTAAAAACCCTAGAAGAAAACCTAGGCATTACCATTCAGGACATAGGCATGGGCAAGGACTTCATGTCTAAAACACCAAAAGCAATGGCAACAAAAGACAAAATTGACAAATGGGATCTAATTAAACTAAAGAGCTTCTGCACAGCAAAAGAAACTACCATCAGAGTGAACAGGCAACCTACAAAATGGGAGAAAATTTTCACAACCTACTCATCTGACAAAGGGCTAATATCCAGAATCTACAATGAACTCAAACAAATTTACAAGAAAAAAACAAACAACCCCATCAAAAAGTGGGCGAAGGACATGAACAGACACTTCTCAAAAGAAGACATTTATGCAGCCAAAAAACACATGAGAAAATGCTCACCATCACTGGCCATCAGAGAAATGCAAATCAAAACCACAATGAGATACCATCTCACACCAGTTAGAATGGCAATCATTAAAAAGTCAGGAAACGACAAGTGCTGGAGAGGATGTGGAGAAATAGGAACACTTTTACACTGTTGGTGGGACTGTAAACTAGTTCAACCATTGTGGAAGTCAGTGTGGCGATTCCTCAGGGATCTAGAACTAGAAATACCATTTGACCCAGCCATCCCATTACTGGGTATATACCCAAAGGACTATAAATCATGCTGCTATAAAGACACATGCACACGTATGTTTATTGCGGCATTATTCACAATAGCAAAGACTTGGAACCAACCCAAATGTCCAACAATGATAGACTGGATTAAGAAAATGTGGCACATATACACCATGGAATACTATGCAGCCATAAAAAATGATGAGTTCATGTGCTTTGTAGGGACATGGATGAAACTGGAAAACATCATTCTCAGTAAACTATCGCAAGAACAAAAAACCAAACACCGCATATTCTCACTCATAGGTGGGAATTGAACAATGAGAACACATGGGCACAGGAAGGGGAATATCACACTGGGGACTGTTGTGGGGTGGGGGGAGGGGGGAGGGATAGCATTGGGAGATATACCTAATGCTAGATGACGAGTTAGTGGGTGCAGTGCACCAGCATGGCACATGTATACATATGTAACTAACCTGCACAATGTGCACATGTACCCTAAAACTTAAAGTATAATAAAAAAAAATTATCTCAAGGTAAGTAACAAATTATATCAGGTGAAAAGGAAAGAAGGCCAATTTATTCTATTTCACATCAGGAATAAAACCTAGCATGAGACATATTGATAAAAAAAAAAATGGGTTCCATGATTCTTAAGGTCCCTTCTTAATAAATTTTCTCATCCATAAGATAAAGGCAATAACAGTGGCCATCTATAGGATTACAATGGGGATTAGATGATATTCAACACAGAGTTTATTGTAAGGATGTTAACAGAAGCTCAATAAATTAATGACTTCTACAATAATTATTTCATTAGGTATCCTAGCTATTTATTTCAAGACTAATATATAATTATGGTATGAATATGCCACATAGTCATAGTTACCTTACACAGCATAAATATGTAAGCTCTGTATATAATAGATGGGTTTGTACAATAAGTACAAAATATAGTGAAAATGAAGACCAAAACATTGGAGTTAAAGTACCTTTGAAGTTTAGGTTGAACAAACAAAGTGACCATTACTATTTTATGAATATGCAACAACAGCCAAACAAGTCTAACAGGTTTGGTGTTCCCTCTAATCTTGCTTGTGTATGTGTTGTCTGACTGGACTTGGACTTGATGAACTGATGTGGTCAGCACTACCAGGGAACTTCTCTTTATAGACATAATTGGTGGATATGGTTGCTTGGCCTCCAGCATCGTTAAGCTCAATATTTTCCTTGAACCTCCACAGTTCATTCAGATCTCAAGAAAGGTACACATTGGAGAAATAGAGTATTTCTGGCTCTTTCTTTTCACAAACAGGTTTGGAAGTATTTTTTTTTTCCTGTTGATTAGTTAACAAAAAAGTTCTGAACCAAAGTATTTTAATGTGATTCATAAAGACAATAACCTACACTAATGTTTATAGATATGAATATTAATTGGTAATTTTTTATTTACATGTATAATTCATATATTCTGTGGCACAGAAAGTTTACTTCCTCATTTTTTAAAATGCTGACTCATTCTCATCTCTGATACCAGCTAATAAAACACAAACACTTTCTGACAAATTTAGTTGATTGATTCTTTAATAGCAACTTAAAGTCTGAACTGAGGAAAGAATTGAAATGTTTACAAAGCAAATGTATACAGATTAACACCATTTTCTTTCCTGGGAAGAAATTGTAACTTAGTAGGACAAGACATATAATGTGTGGCTGTAAGGGCATGAAACCGATAAATAAAACTATTAAATTAAATTGCATCAAACTAAAAACTGTTTTTCCAAAGTAGTTACTTCACCGGACAATATGCTTATTCTAACAATGCTGACAATGCAATGCATTCTGAGATCTCTTCTCTTGGAGTTGTGTTCATAGTCAGTTTCAGTTAAGAAACTTGAACAATATAGAGATTCACTTGAAAACTAAGTTTCCAGTCTTGATTACTCATCTTCTTTACAACAACGCCTACAGATAATTTTGGGCTTTTTCCAAAAATAAAATGCAGCCTCAAAGAATGGATAGTCATTTTTTAGAGATATTGGAATAGCATGTAAGACAGAATCATAAGCCCGTCTTGTAACATACAGTGAAGCATTTTTTTTAAGTACCAGAAAGCATCACCAGAATGAAGGTAAAACAGCAAGTGAATGGCTGTGAGAGTATGTACATCAGTGATTGCACTGTGGGCAGCAACAGGCATGAAAGCTTCCTGGAAGAGGTAGGAGGAGAGTGAGGCCTTGGGTGACAGATGAATATGTACATAACATTACAGAGTAAAATAATATATTTTACACCTAGAAAACAATCTGTCTTTTAAACTCCCCAATTTTACTGATGAGAAAACTTGAGAGTCAAAGATATGTTACGACTTTCTCAAAAAAATCCAACTAGTTAGCAGAGCAAGGATCAGATTTACTAAGACTTGGTCCAGGGCTCTTTTCGTGATAGCAGGAATAACATTTCTCTATTCAATCAAACCCGTAAGTGGTTTGGTGTATAAAATAGGATGGTTCTAATTTACTGAATTGATAGAACTGACAGATTGTTTTAATGTTAAATTCAAATCTAGAAGTACATTCTGTCAATATCTTTACTTTTATTTTGTTTTCAGGTCTATTTGCAAATATGTCATATGTCTTTCAAACTAAAAAAAAAAGCCCACTTCATATTTTATTAATTTCTAGATAATTATGACTACACTCATAAAAATTTATAGAATGACTAACATTTAATACAATATTGCCACTGTGGGGAATTTTCAGGTGTATAGATGAGGCACTGTCTTGAGATACAGCTTGATTACCTTTAAGGGAAACAGAAAGAAAGGTTACCTAAGGCCAAGTTTCTCTAGGTAGAAAGCATTTTTCTTCTAGCCATCAGCACACTTACAAAACTCACATCTTACTGCAGAAACAGAGTTGAAACTGTTAAAGCTGCTGTGATTACTACAAAGAGTCCCAAATATTGAACTAGATGGAGTATATCCCAGGAAAAATAATCTTCTCACCCTGTGTTATGAAGGGGTTAATTATGAGACCTGAGATAAGGTGTTCGCACATCTAGGCACTTCATCAAGCCATGGAGTCAGGAAACAAGGAAGAATAGATGAAGCTGCTGGGGATAATAATGATGGCAAGTAATGATTTCCCTAGAGGTGAACTGATCTATGGCCACAAGCAAAGAAAAAAAGGCTAGAAGTACCATAACATTACCTTGGAGTACTTAACAGACTCAAAAGCAGTAACCCTGTGTCAAAAAAGGCCCATCATCCTGCTCATTTTAGGTAAAAGAGTTATGCCAAAGTACAAGAGGGGAATGCAAAATTCACATATGAAATTAAACAGCTGAAAGGTATGATTTAACAATGCTCAAAACTCAATAAGCCAAAGATAAACAGCAAATTAGATGACTCAATGTCAGGAGGAAAAAACATCTTCCATCGATCCCATCGTCAAAAATTAATCTGCCTGAGAATGCCCTCTGCTCCAATCCCCGAGCTGATGAAGAGTGGAGGAATAGAGTAAAACCTATGTACGAGCGCTTCACCTTCAGGCTAGACCCTGATTACAATCTCCTGTGAGACATTTCAGCATGAAGCGCCTCTCATGTTGGGACTGCAAAATTAAATTGCGATCAATACTTTACAAAAATAATTGGGGAAAAATGTTCAGAAGTCGGAGCTGCACCGTGTGGCCACAAACATATGAAAGTTATTTTTTTTTTCTACCTTTCTGGGGGTTATTCTTCAGGATAGATCAGTTCAAAGGTGTCTCTTGACAATAGTGTTCTCGGAATGGTTTTCACTCACCTTGTTAGGGAATTTTAAAAGCAGAGGAGCATTTACAGCCTACCAAGAGTGTTATCTTATTGCTGTATTTTCACTTTTCTTTCTTTGGAGTGCTAATCTCAGCTCATAAATTCTTCTTGTCTCTTCTCACTTTGATGTTAATTTAAATTTCTTTGCAAGTTAATTCTCATCGTCAAAGGGAAAAGACAAAAAATATGTTATATTGCAATGAAGTGAGAGAAAACCACACACACACAAAAGCTTTGGTAGATTTTTGAAAACTTTGCCTAAGATTTGATTCTGAATCTCTCAGTACATTTAAATGCTGAACTCTGTAGTTAAATTTAGGGTAAAATGTATTGAATTAAACTCTTTACTGCCTTAAACAATGCTTAGTATTCAGCTTTTCCTGCTTGTCTGCCTCTAAATAAGGTCTTATTTTTGGCAAAGAGTTACTTTTTAAGCCATAACATGAGGAGGAAGTGGAAAATGTAAATGCCTATGTGAAATTCTTGCTTTTTCAATAAACGGTCATTTTTGGTTTTGTTATGTAGAAAGTTCAAAACATTGTACTTCTATAATTGCATTTTTGGAATGGGCATAGGTCTTTCTGGATTTTTATTTGTGGTCTGGCTATTCTGACAAGATAGTCTACTGATTTTCCTCACACGAATCATTTCTTAGAACCTCAGTCACTCATACAGGAAAAAATAAAGCAGCTGCATTAAGTATACACGATCAGAACCATACTGAAGTAGGTGGCCCATAACTAGCTAAAGGGGAGTACCTAAAGAGCGGTAATCAATTGCGTGCTGTCATCCTGGGGGAGGAGGATATATTGGGTGGTGTACTATAGGGCATCATGACTGGATGAAGGAATTGGAAGTGTGCTTATTAAGTGCAAAAATGACAACACCCATTGGATTGCAAACACCTGAAAAGACCTGAATACCATTTAAAGTGACCTTCACCAAGGAAATGACAGCCTCCATAAGAAGACGGGGTAAGGAAGAAGTTTTATTGGGTACCCCAAATGAAACAGGCTCCTTACAACTCATGGTTTAATTATGATAAATTTCAAATTCCAAATGGTTTCCTTCTGCCACTCTAAATGTTCTTAAATAACCTTTTCACAGTGCTATTTGGATCAGAAGATAGAATGCAAATTTATTTTAAGATTTGCTGGAGGTGAACATAATAGAGATGAGGGAGAAGACAATGCAGAGGATAGGGAGGGAGAGGAGAGACAGACATGGACACTTCTCAGCGAAAACCTATGGCCCAACCTCCCTATTGTTTCCCACACCACGTACCACACGCTCACACATCTTCCCCATTCTTACTCTGGAACCTGCTTCACAGTCATAGCCGCCTCCCAACACTGACTCAGCTCTTCGAGTCTCAGTCCAGACATCTGCTCTTCTTGAAAATTGCCCTGAGTCTCCCCTAAACTCCATCATTAGGCTTCCTCACCCTGTGCATACAGTTATTATATTTATTATACTAATCTTTCCTTCCCGATTAGATTGTGATATTTCTGATAGAATAGTCTGTCTCTTAGTGTTTTTTGTACACTCAGATTTTTTGAACATAAATAAACCAGTATCTTTGTAACATTCTTTCACTAATTTAGTTTTCCAACTTTTAATTTCTTATGTGTCACATGGGACTTATCTGTTTGAGGTCTGGTTTCCTTATTTCTAAAGTGAAAGGGTTATACTAAATAAAGGGTCTATTTTAGGTCTAAAATTTCTGGGTCGAAAATTTCAGGCAATAAAAATGATTAAATATTTTGCCAAAAAGCCAATCCAATGCCCGTCCCAGCCACAACTGGTCCTAAATGGGTGAAATAGACCTCTTACTTTTATCGTTGTTTATTTATTAAATAGCACTACCTCACTCTTGGCTCTAGCAATGGTTCCTCACCAGAGGCAACATGTATCTGATTGTACCACATGAAATTGCTGTTTGTCCATTAAGACATATACAAATGTTGATTTCAAGTGGGTCAAACTGATATCTGGCTTAGAGAATGATGGCATGGTTTTGATCATAAAACTTGAATAAGACCAATATGAGAACCTCTTCAGAACAAAGTACTGAAACAAACCAAAAACCAGGCAGTTAGTAGAATTTGGAAGCTGAACATAAGACTTAAGAGGTATGAAGCAGAGGATGGGTCATAATGAGAAAGGTGGAGTTATGAAGACAGAGTTGTAGTCAGCTGAAACTGTAAAAAAATGTAGTCTATTTGTTAGCAAAAAGCATGAAGTAATAAAAAGATATACACAATATATATAGAGACTAAGCAAGTAGTAAAAGGAGAAGAAAATATCTGATTGGAGAGCAACTGGACAATGTGAATGTTGGAGTCCTCTAGTGCATATACTTGAATGCCAGCTACTACAGTTCCCACTGCTATCTTGGATCCACTGCCAGTTCAGACAGTACTCAACAATGGTATGAGTTTCATACTTTTCTCCTCTCAAGATAGCTGTCTTTCTATAACCCATAACTTGGTGTTCCCAGAAGTAGTCTCTATAACTTGCAGCCAGATAAAAAATCAAATACAAAAACACAATACCAACATAGGCTGTGACATCTTCATAAAAATGGTAGTTATAAGTCAATAACTGTCTACGATATGCCAGGTATTTTATGCATAATATTTACATGCTTCACGGCAGCTCTGGAAAATATTACCAGTTCTGCTTTACAGATGAGAAAACTGGGACTCAAATGTTGGAAGGGCTCGTCCATGGGCAAAAGTCTAGTAAGCAATAAAGCGGAATGCAAACCCAGCTCTATTGGTTCCAGAGCCTGAGCTCTTTCCACTATGGCACACTGTCTTCTCAATTCCTGAAACACGGAGTGACATTATAATTAGAAAAGTTTACTTTGAATTACATTGTATAAATCATACACAACTTATCTACCCGATTAGAAGCATATGAAAGAATTCCCTATTTAGTTCTGGTTCTGAGATTATCAGTGTAGCTGATAATGTCCTCAGGCCTCCAAGTAGGAAATACATCTTCTTTAATGCTAAATGTCTATTTGCTTTGGACTAAGGCTCTGGAGAGAAGCACAACCTAAACCACGTAGTTTTCTTCTAAAAATCAGGGTCTTTTTGTGAGCCCCATGGGAATGCCACCACCTGACCAAAACAAAACCGATAATTGTTCTCTAGTATGGGAAGCTTAAGCTGATCAGATAACGGCCAGAGTAAAAATCTGTTATATTCATTTAAAGGACACTGATTGAGTTTTCTACATGTTTCAGATAGTCTCCTTGTTGCTAAGAATATAGCAATGGGCATAACAGGCAAGGTCCTGCTGTCACAGAATAAATATTTTTAGTGAGGAAAACATTTTTTTTAAAAAAGAGGGAACAAATAAGTGCAATCATTTTGACTAGTGTTAGCTATAATAAATAAAACTTTTCAAAACTAAATGAAATAGAATGAAGTAGAGATAGGAGAACTATATTAGATAGGATTGTCACAGAAGCCTTCTGTCATTATTTTTAATTAAGGCCTGAATGCTGAACAGGAATAAGCCACATACATATCAGGAAAAGAAATTTCCAGGCGAAGAGAAGAATGAGTGGAGAGGCTCCAAGGCAGAGACAACCTTGATAAGTTAGCAGCACAGGAAGAGAGGAAGTGTGGTTTGAGTGATGTCACTGAATAGCAGAGTTGGAGAAGATGAGGTAGCAGTGGATAAGGCCATGTCAGAAGTTGGGATTTTACTCTGAGGGCAAATGTGTAAATATTTTTTAAAAATTAAGCATAAGAATGACCTGAAGGCACATGGATGCGTTGTGGTCACCATGGGAAGACTGTCTGTATTTACTGACATTCTTCCATGTTGAAGACCTCAGTGTGACCACCATCACTTTGGTGAATGTATCACTGCCTAGTGTCTGGTCCTTGGGTGTGAAGAACAACATTTGATTGTTTTATCACATCAAATGAAAATGCATCTCTTTAAGGCTAAATGTACATTAATCAAGAACTTAGGGACCTATGTATTAACATAACTAGAATGTCCATATACTAATCTCCAATAAGAAATTATGAGAATCCAAAAACCTCAAAGTCCACCACTGGCATTTATTGCTACTTTGTTAATGAATCTGGAATAGCAGAAGACCATTGGCTAAAACTCTCTTCTCTGTGGACAGTGCTTAGATGAGCACAAGCCAAGTTGGCTTGCAACACTCTGTCATGGCCATTGTTCCATGATTTGCTTACCTGCTGTCTTGGTTCATTTTGTGCTACTATAACAAAATATTACTGATACCTGCTGTCTCTGTTTTGTGCTGCTGTAGTAAAATAGCACTGACTGGGTAATTTACAAACAATAATATTTTATTTGGCTCATGATTTTGGAGGCTGGCAAGTCCAAGATCAAGGATCCTCATCTAGTACAGGCCTTCTTGCTGTGTCAGAAGGCAGGAGGCATCACAAGGCAAAAGAAAGAACAAGAGGAAGCCAAACTTACTTTTATAACAAATTCACTCCTGTGATAACAACATTATTCTATTCATAAGGGGAGAGAACTTATGACTTAATCACCTTTTAAAGCTTCCACCTCTTGACACTATTGCATTGGGAGTTAAATTTTCAACACATGAACTTGGAGGGACACATTCAAATCATAGCACCTGCCTTCTAAGAGTCTTTCATTAGATCTCATATATTCGATCAGATGATTGTGAAGTTTGCTGGCCTAGGAGCCATTCAGCTTCCTTCCAATGACTTTGCATATCGCTTCTCAGGTTACATATTGATTTTTTTTAATGTAACTCCAATTTCATTCATGTCTATATTCTTGGGGGTTCAGCTCACTGTAGCCACTGAAAACTGTCAGCCTCTGGGATAAGAAAAATGTAGAGCTAAATCAAATAATGTACTGAGTGTTGACATTCCTGACTATCAGAGAATAGGCACACTCGCTAATTGTAAGTTAAGTCATCTCTGAAAGTATTTGATAGATTGACTTCCTTCCTTCCTCTAGAATCTATTTCTCTCAGACTTTGAGTGTCTCAGTCCTGTCCCAACTATTTTGTATGTGGACTATAGTCAGTGGGTTTGCCATAACCCATCCTAGACCTGCAAGTACATATTAGCTCAGGGAGGTCATTTCTGATAGATAGTCTTCCTTTAAAAAAAGCAATGCCCTCATTCTGATCTTTTATCACCTAGAAGCTTCTGAGAGGCTCATTGCCTTCTTCATATTCTAGATATATTCTGACCTCAAGATTCGTGATGTGGGCCCACAGAATTTCAGACTGGGAGCCACCTTATAAGTTGTACAGCTTATCTCCCCAACTTTCAGATGTAGAATGGAAAGTCTGAAAGACTAAGAAACTTGCCCAATTTTGAGACCTAATTCATGGCCACAGAGAGCTAATATCCAGGTCTTCTGATGCCCAATTGAATTTCCATTCCATAAAATCTTGCCAACATTACCTATTCTCTCAGGTCCCTGCCAGGTGACTGCATAATCAACATATTTGACAAAATCAATGTATTTGAGTTGGGGCTGTATGGCTAATAATGACTCCATATTACTTTCCTTAGATAACCTACTGGAAAGACTAATTCAGAAAATATAGTGGGTTAAAGTAACAATAGCTTGAGCTAGGATGTAAAAGATGTGTCAGACTCTTTTGTGTGAAGCGCCCTTACCTACAGCTCATGCTAAAGAGGTGGCACAATACAGACCTCGTAAGCCAGAACTGATTGAGTCAGCATGGGCATACAACCCAAGTCTGGTTAGGAACTAATGCTAAGGCCTGACATTAAAAAAATGAGTAAATAAAATTCTCTTTTTTTGCAGGGCATGGGGTGGCAGGGTGGGGGGCGGTTTACAGTAATTTTATTGTAACAGAGAAACTAGGCTGCAATAAGTCTACATAATTAGAGCAGATGGTGGTTCTTTCCAATGGGTGAAGCCTGAGCCCAGCTGGCAGCACACATAGCCTAGAATATCCTCTTTCCTAGTACTAGCCTGTGCGTCTGACTCATGATGTGAGATGAGCAAATGCACAACCACATTCAACAAAGGGAGGAGGTCCAACTGGTCAGAGACAACATCCCAACTGGAGGAATTTACACAATCATTGAAGAGGATGCTGAGATAAAGTGTGGTTACCTACTCTCCACTATTCTTTGCCGAGAAGGGTGAGGGTATGAGATCAGCAGAAAATTACATTCTTTATTCTTTTTTTTTTCTTTTTTTTTTTTTTCTGAGATAGAGTTTCGCTCTTGTTGCCCAGGCTGGAGTGCAATGGCACGATCTTGGCTCACTGCACCCTCCGCCTCCCCAGTTCAAGCGATTCTCCTGCCTCAGCCTCCCGAGTAGCTGGGATTACAGGCTCCCGCTACTATGCCTGACTGATTTTTTAGTAGAGACGGGGTTTAACCAAGTTGGCCAGGCTGGTCTCAGACTTCTGTCCTCAAGTGACCCACCCAAAGTGCTGGGATTAGTCATGAGCCACTGTGCTCGGCCTCTTTATTTTTAAATAAATCCCGATAGGATGGGGTTGATGGTCAATCATGCGGTAGAATGGGATAAAAATTTACATTGGTTAAAATTCTTTGTGCCTAAGGAAAAGAACAGCAATGACAAAGAAGAAAAGAGAGCCTTCTCTTTTTCTTAAATATGACAGGAATCTGCATATTTTCCTTGCTGTAGTGGCAGCAGACTCATTGGTTTTCATAAACATAAATTTCTGCAATATGGTCTGTTGATAAGGTTGCTCCATGATGAGAGGACAGACCTGAGGCCAACTGTTCATGACAGAACTAGGTCTTCTCTCAAAGCCTCTAATGTGTGCTATTTATCATGAGGAACCCGAACTCTATAACACTTCAGTTAAATCTTCTAAAATATTCCAATAGCATAATTGACAGGTTTCCTTGTGTGATGACTTTCTTGCACATGTAAACTCTTTGAGAAAAGTTGGATTAAAAGGATAGGGTAGAGTTTTGTTTAGAGCCACAATGTTCCAGACACCAGCCACAGATGCCTCTGCCCTATGTCACTACATGTTCTTTTCTGAGAAACATTCAATCGCTGAGTGTTACACACTGTGGTTGAAGGAAATGATCCACTTACTACCATCCACCCTCTCTCATCCTCTGTGAAGCTCCCAGTAGCAGAGGCTGAAGACAGAAAGGTTGTCTCTGGTTCCTTGCACCAGGGACATTACTTGGTGACCTGGTGAATGGTATGGACAAGGTAGCCCACATTGCTGGAGGTGACCCCTGCCTCAGAGAAGCAGCTGTCCTTTGTCACGTAGATGGAGGACTCCTTGCTCATCCTTTCCACCTGTTCGGGCTTTAACCCTGTGAAACAAAACATGTCAATTTGGGCAGTGATGTGTGGCCAGTAGTGGGTAGAACCCTCCTTCTTGAGGTTAGAGACCAGCTGAGTCTGCATGCTAATGATGCGATGGGCCTTGCCTTTCACTTCTTGCAACCATTGTTTTCACAAATCTGGAGCATTCAGAATGGTAGAAGCAAACGGGTCCCATTGAGGGGAGGGTTGGAATACATGGGACACATCAAGATCTTCAAATGTGACTCTACCCTCTTGGCTTCATCTGCGTCTTTGCAAACCATGGTGAAGCCTGCCACACCCTCACTGTGTAAGACCATGTTCTTGGTGTATGATTGGCAGCGACAATGGCGTATAATTGGCAGAGTGGCGCACAGCCCAGGCATCCTTGTTACCATTGCCACTGGCAAAGCCTTGGTAGGCCATGTCGAAGAGTGCAAAGAGATTTTTGTTTTCTTCACCACTGTTGCTATTTCCTTCTGCTGCTTGGGACCAGGGTCCACTCCTGTGGGATTATGGGAGCAAGCATGCAGAAGAAGAAGACTTTGCTCTGGTGTTTTTGAAATGTCCTCCACAGTGTCTGTGAAGTCAAAACCGCAAGTCTTGCGGTCATAGTATCGATAACCTTGTAGCTGCATGCCAGTATCCCTGAAGATGGGTGTGCGACTTCCCCAGGTTGGTTTGGGCAGAAAGACATCTTGGCTGAACTTAAGAAATCTTTGCAGAAAACTAGCTCTGATCCTTAAGGCACTAGTTCCAGAAATGGTCTGCACAGTGACAAACCGGCCACTTTTCGAGACTTCGCTATTCTCGCCCAAGGCTACTTCTGCAGATGCCTTGCAAAATTCAGCCAGCCGCCCAATGGAGAGGTAGTCCTCGTCCAAATTTTTGGCTGCAATCTGGGCCTCTGCCTTGTGGATGCTGTAAGGCTTTCCGTTGTGGTCCCTGTAGGCACTAACTCCCAGATTCATCTTTTTGCTATTGGTGTCCCTCTTAAAGCCTTCGGTGACTCCAAGGATGGGATCTGGTGGTCCCATCTCCACATGGGTCCACCAGGAGCTGGCTCTGGCAGGGGCATCAGAGGCGAGCCCGGGTGGAAGGCGGCGGCGATCCCGGAGACGACGCAGCTGGAGCGCAGAGGAGCCATGGTGGACGGTAGGAGGGCAGTGGGCAGACGCAGGACGGAGCAGAGGGCAAGCATAAAATTCTCCTTTTTAAGGAATTTTCAATGGGAAATGTGGAGAGAATCAGAGTAAGCAGGGAGAGCTAAAACAGGAAATAAGTTATGGGAGAATTCCGTAGAGTTCATGAAAAGCTGAAGTCATGAAGAAGCAGAAACTGAGTCAGATGAAGAAATCGAAGCTAATAGTAGGCAGTGGATTAAGTTATATGTATGTTTATGTATATGTGTATCTGTATATATACACATGAAAGAATGATTTGTTTGATAATGATAACTAGAGAAGCAGATATGCAGAATTTTAATCTTTATTTGTACACTGGGAGGAAAAGTAGATTAGTTACAAACACTTACTCTGAGGTCCCTAGAGACGGTTGGGGATATATCTAGTTACTAAACTCCATTCCCCTCTGAGTCCTGGCTGTCAGGTCACATGGCCCTTGATTCTCATGAGATTATCACAAGCATATTATTTTAACGTGTCATTATATACATAACTCAGATGAATTTCTACTCACTTCTTTGAAAACAGCCTAATGAAAAAATAGAGATACTGTATCTCAGTGCTATATGCAAATTGCCCTCATTGGCAAGAAATTATTTTATTTATGTAATAGACAAGCATTTTGAAAAAGCGCACTGATGATGGGCACGGCTTCTGTTTATCCCAGTCCATATTAGGGGACCTGACTTGAACAGATTTTATGTTTTGTCTGCGATGTCTATATAAAGATTTCATATTTTCAGGTATTTATTTTTAGGGATGAAAAGAAATAATTGTAAAGTGAAAAATAATGTAACATGATCAACATTTGTAATCATTTAAAATTATATTTGAAGTTGTTTTTACATTGTTTTATTGGTAATAGGTATCACAGTGAGTAAAAACTTCAGTGGTAGCCAATACCATTAGTACCAAATGAGAACATTACTATATTTTCTAACTTGGCAACAGGTCAGAATTGTGATTATCTAAAAATTTTGTAATTCAATCAATGGGTGTTTTTATTTTAATTAAATGCCTGTTATTCTCCAGAGATGAGATTATCCTATGAAAACAATGTTTATTGGAATTTTTTTTACTGCTACCAAGTACAAATCTCTTACAAATCTTCCCCACCATCCATACCCACATCCTTCACCCTGTGTGCTCTCAGTGTATATGTCCGTGCATACCTTATGGCAGCAGGGGATAAATGCAGCCAAAGGAAAAAAGAACTAGCAATCTAAAAATATAGTTGTTATTTTAGCTGCATGCTGACAAAGTTGTAGATTATTCTCTTTTTTAAAAAATAAACTTTGACCTGAAACTCAAGAAAATTCTTGAAATCCAACTAGCTCTAATTGTTTCTAAATAAAAATATAGACTGACATAAACACTGAATGGCTCCCAGGCAATGTATTATTGCAGGTTAAATACCTTTTGCCCTGAAGGCTGCAGTTCATAGGGTATAGATAACAAGAGAAATGAAATTGGTGATCTCAGCTAGTCCAGAGTGGATATTAGCATATATCACCGAACTGTCTCCAAATGTGACCCTATTTGCACTATCAGACTCTGTGTCCTCAGGAAATTGTTGCTAGTGAGAGAAGGGGTGAAAAAGAAAAGAAGAGAGGGGCTGGTACTGGTGGGAAGGGCATATTAATAAGACTGAAAAAGTAGAACATTTTCCTGATCTAATATTCTTTGCATTCTCTCCCTTCTTTAAGAACAAGGAAGAAGAAATAGCATTCCCTTTCTTAGCCTAAAGGGAGCATAAAGAACAATGCCTTCTAGGAATGCTAGGACGTTTCCATTTTTCTCTTTGGTGTTTTTAACACTTTGTGACTAGAGAGAAAAAAAGATTGCCAATATGACTTTTTTTAAGTTTAAGAATCAGCACTCACCAATTATTGCCAAATTTAGATCCTTGAAAGCAAAAAAAGAAAAAATTCAGCATAGGTATTGAAGAGGAGGCTAGATGGAGAAAGCTCTAATCCTTCAGGAGCCGAATGAATCTGTATTTCTGTACTATTAAGTATAGTAAAAAAGGCCAAAGTCATGGGCATTAGCCCCACAGGGGCCAGTTAGCTAGACTCAAATTCAAGGCCATGGAATATATATATAACTTTGCTGCTGGCAGTTAATTATATCAATGACTATCAGGAGGAATAAAAAAGTGTCTTCTCAGTGCCTACTTTAACTTGCCTAACACTTTCAGCTCGGCTGTGATAATTGTCAAAAAAATTTTAAAAATGCAAACAATTTAAAAATTATATTAACTTTGAATATAAACTTATATCCATGAGATGCTATACAAACATAGCCTTTGTAAAATACAACTAGGCCTATCTTTTGTAGAACAAATTTTAGTATTTATTTATTCAAAGCTAAGACAAAATAGTGTAATTTTTGCCTCATAGTTTACACTAGTTTTTCTTATGTCAGCATTCTCCATTACAAAAGAGCTTATAAATAGCATGTTAAATAATCATGAGAGTTTTTTAATTCATAAAAATTGATTTTGCCTTTCCCTTCTAAATTATTCTATAGCCAAATATCAGTCATTAACTTTCCTGACTAAGTCATCCTTCGAACCAGGAAGAAGCACCCAACACTTACTTTATCTTCAGCTCTAGTATAAATGTCATTGTTTGCCTGTAGTAAGACCTAAAATGATTTTACAGTGTTAGAGAAAAACTACGGTTTCTGGATTAAGCAAAGTTATCATTAACCATCATATGAGAAACTTATACTATTCACAGGGAAATGTTTAATGTAAGTTTTAAAAATACAAATTCAAAATGGAAAACCAAGGTTTGCATACTGATAAGGTAATGGGTGGCAATGCCAACTGTTGAATCAACTGAAATAAAGACAAATATAACTCAATATTACAATGTGTTAAGGCATAGCTTTCTGTTTCATCCATAATTATTTTTGTACAAATTTTAAAACAGTTTGCTAATTAGCAAATGCTGTCCTCATAATAGACTGGCAAAGTTTGTGAGGAAAAGGTATTTCTTTCCTCCTTTCTTTTTCTCTCCTTTCATCTCTTCTTTCTTCCCTTCCCTTCTTCGGTTCTCTCTCTTTCCCTTCTTCCTTTCCCTTCTTCCCCACCTCCTCCCTTTAATGTCTAAATAAGGTCATATCTCCTGTTATGCCTGCAGACTAAAGCAGGAAATTCTGGAAGACCAAGGGAGCCACTGCCATCTGACAGAGCCTTCCAAACTGCACGACGTAGAAGTCAGCAAGAAGAAGCCAGGATTATCTGAGCTTCCTTTTAAGGTTTGTGTGAGAAAATAACAACTAAAATTTACTAAGGACTTACTCTATGCCAGCACTGTTTTAACTCTTTTACATAGAATACTCTATTTAATTCTTATAAAATTTCATCTGGTATAGTTGAGGAAATCAAGGATCAAGAGAGCTATATTAGCTTGTCTGAAGTCTAGGCGGATAATAATTAGAGTCAGGATTGATTTCATTATACTGTCTCCTTGCGACCAGGTTTGGGCACAAAGCTCTGAATCACTCCTACCTAAACGTATCCAAATTGAGAAATCTAGAGAAAGGCTATATACCCTAGAGAAGTGACTTTCATCCTTGTTCCCCTAAAGATTGTTTCAGGCACAAGAGACCAACATAGTTGACAAAACTGACTCCGGAAGACTACATGCTCCTATAAACAGATGTGTAATGACAGCACACTCAGGCATGGATAAATACACTTCAAAATTGGTATGTAAGGTCCACCATCTATCTGGTTTGTCCACTCTGAACTTATGAATCTTGATTACAGTTGTCAATTGGCGTCCACCCAGTTTACACATCTATCTCAAACAATACCTAAAGGAGCTCTTTAGTCTTCTAGTTCCCTAGTTGTGCATGACTAAAGCTATAGTGTTTACTAAACTCTTCTTGTAGCTGAATGTCTAAGACTATGCAGTGGTTTCTTTTTAATGCTAAACACTATGAAAATCCAAGATTGATGGTGACATTGTAAGTGTGATAATAGTAGAAGAGATGTGCAAAAACTAGATGAAAAGGAAGAAGAAATATGGTAATCCATTGAAAATCTATTGTTTGTATATTCATAGCACTTCTTTTCTCCCCATGGAAGGGGGAGGCAGGGTCATAATAATTAACTATGTTATATTTCATTATTAACACTGTCTTAAGGCATTAAAAAAACTGGCAATATTATGTTTTCTTTAAACAATTATGCTAAAGGGTTAATCAACATTTCCTGTGAAAAGAACAATGATGTTTAGCCAAATGCTTTTTAAAAAGCAGACAACAAGAAATTGCTTTAATAATTCATATTAATTCAAGTCCTATGGTTAATGAGGCAAATGGAGTGCTCTCAGAGGGGATAAAAGCACATAGCAGCAGCATCAAGAATCTTCAAACCACTGCTGGCAAAGGGTACTGTAAGTCCAAAATACCCCCTAACCACCTACTATTCATACTTTACACTCGGGATAAACTTAATATCATTCTAATTTTGCAGATGGTAAGCTAAAACAGTGCCTATACAATTAGAACACAGGCAAGCAACTGCTTATACTCTTCTTCATTTTTATGGTTCTTAGCCATTATGATGCCAAGTTGTCTGAAGTTTTCACTACATTAAGCATACATTCATTTGATCAGGCACAAAAAGAGTGAGACTGTGTCCATCTTTGCGCAGTCCAGCAATTAAACTGTTGTCAGGCTAAAGATATATCAAAGTTGAAGATCAGATCATGGACTGGATTACCAAATGAAATGATGAATAGTCAGTCTGAATTGTTTAGAAAGATGATTGATTCATCAGAGATAAACCTGGTAAAGTGTAAGTACATGTTCATCTTACTAACATTTATTAGGCAACAACTATAAACTGTCTGTACTGCACCAGGCACTACAGATAGGATAAAAAATAAGACTTCCCCCGTGAGTTCTAAAATTCTCCTGGGGCTGACAGAGACCATCGCTATTCAGTTTGATTTCATGTAATAATGCAAGATTCTCTAGGAACACAGTACTCTGAGGGAAGTAACAAGAGTAAAGAAAGGAATTCAGCTTTATAAAGAGGAGTTCTTTTTGAGCTGAGTTCTAATGAATGAGTGGGAAAGAAGGTGAAGTTACACCTATGTATTCATTGATTCATTCATCCATTCATTCATTTACCAGCAATGTACTAAGTCTCTATTTAGTACGAAGCTCTTCATAGGGTTTTAGGAGTATAATGATAATCAAGGCATGGTTCCTGCCATCAGGTTGCTTATAATCTGGTGGGCACTGAGACCCTAAGTACATAAAGAGATCCCTTCTTCCTCACCTCAGAAAAGAATACACACATGTGCATACACACACATATGAAAAAAGCATGCTGAACTCAAGGAAAGGGACATAATTTGATGTGGCTGGAGCAGAGGGCACATGAAAGAATGTGAATATCTAATCCCATCTCCTCTTCCTTCCTATTGCTCATTCCTTGATATGGTTTGGCTCTGTGTCCCCACCCAAATCTCGTGTTGAATTGGAATCCCTAATGTTGGGGGAGGGGGCTAATGGGAGGTGATTGAATCATGGGGGCAGATTTCCTCCCTGTTGTTCTCATGATATTGAGTGAGTTCTCACGAGATCTGGTTGTTTGAAAGTGTAGCACTTCCCCCTTCTCTCTCTGTCTCCTGCTCCCATGTAAAGATGTGCTTGCCCTCCCTTCACCTTCTGCCATGATTGTAAGATTCCTGAGGCCTCCCAGCTATGTTTCCTGAACAGCTTGCAGAACTGTGAATCAATTAAACCTCTTTTCTTCATAAATTACCCAGTCTCAGGTAGTTCTTTATAGCAGTGTGAGAACTAATCCATTCCTCCTCTTCATTCCCTACTGCTTCCTTCTGGTGTTAATTATTTTATATCTGAGTCAGTGCAACCACATCCAAACTGGCATTTTTTTCCTCTTCAGTCTCACTAACTTCCAAAAATGCCATATAATTCTTACCTTAAAGCTCTCATTATTTTAGAATAAACTCCTCAGCAAGACATTCAAAGCCTCTGATGAACTTGCCCCTACTCATGTCACCCATTTCTCCACCCCACCACATACACACTGCCCTTTCTTGTACCTAATATTTTCTCTCTACCAAACACATTGGCCCAATGTTGTCTTCTTTCTCCAACCTCCAAGTTTTGAACCCTCTGCTTTCTGTATGTAGAATGTCCTTACCTCTTTCTCTATCTAGGGAATACATCTTCATCTTTGAAGACTCTCTTTTAGGAAGCCTCCCTACTCTCCCAGGCTGTGTAGACTCTCCCTCCTATGTACTTCCACAAATCCATGTGGTTACAGCAAGTATAGGAAAGTTTATGCTATATTATTTTCACTGTTCTATTGTCTGTGTCCTTTATTGGGCCTGGAGCCCCTAGAAAATAAGGAATGATTTTTTGTTCTTATTGTTTCAGCAGCATCACTATCTTGTTTGTACCCTGTCCGACAAACAGTAACTGTTCAAAACATATTTGTTTAATTCATTCGTTAATTGTTGATCCTAATGTTTAAAGTATTCTAGATAACATGCTGAAATTGTGTTCTCTATACCAGTGTTCAGTCAAGAAAAAGTAGTCTTTTTTCCTTAAAAAATCAAATAGCAAATATTTTAAGCTTGCTCTCTGTTACAACTATTCAACTTTGCCATGGTACACAAAAGCACATAGGTATATGCAGATGAATTGGCATGGCACAGGGCCAAGAAAATTGTATTTACAAAAACAGATGGCCAGTATGCAGGCTGTAGTATGATGACCTCAGCTCTATACCATAGGTCACAATCTCACATCCCACAGGTTAGAGCTGCTCTCTGAATCTGTTTTAATTTTGGTTGTAGAGAGACAATTCTCTATATGTCTCTCAGGTTTCTGCATATCTTACAAGCAGAAGTACTCACTGCCTTTGTTTTTCCATACCATCTTCACAGAGATGTTTGTGTAGCAAACAGACCTGGAAAATAGTGCCTCCTTCCAGAGTAGATGGCAGGCAAACTTACTGCCCATTATAAAATATTCAGGTCCCAAAACTCAGGGTAATTCTCCTGTACTACAAACCACTGTGTGTGTTGCTCTCTCCTGATCCCCTTCATGTCACTGTTGGAATCGGGTTCAGGGAATGAGGGCGCATGTTGACAGTGGCTATTGTTATTACCATGAGTAATAAAGTTCTTTATCTTTCATATCTTCTGCCAACACCCATGAAACTATAACAGGCTAAATTGTTAGCTTGCAATTAGCATAAAATGTCAGATACTTTAGCGTTCTTGACAGTTTTATCTTACATCATACTTTAAATAATTGGAGCTAATCATTTAAAATTAAGAGATTTTACTTAAAAAATTTAAATGTTACCTTCTCTTGAAAAACTAAAATATTTGGCAACATTGGACATGTGTTTTTATATGGCAACAAATGACAAGGACTGAGTGGGAGCTGCCTCTAGGATCCCCTACCTCTGGGCTGTTTCCTGCCCAGTCATTTTTTCACTGATTTATATTCGTTGTCTGCCTTCTAAGGGCATTTGAGTTTGTGACCCTGCTTGAAGCAATAAGGTGTCAACAAATGTATTTAGGCATGGAATTAGGTTAGATCTGTGCTTTAGAAAGATAGCTTCACAGAGTCGTTGACAGTATGAGGATGAATTACAGTGAGAGAAATCTAGAATAAAATGTTGGAGTATAAAAAAACATGTGAAGAGGGCCCAATTAATATAACAGCAGGTAAAGCAGATAACTAGGAAATGATTCCATGAAATTGCCGGAACTTGGTGCCGTATTGGTATATCTCGGAAGAAAGAAGGACACTGAATTACGTAGGGGTTTTTAGTCTGGATGATCTGTTAGACAGTGATGCCAATAGTTGAAAGTAAAATCAGGAGGAACTTGATAAAGTTTTGATGGAGTAAGAGAAGCTTACAGGGAGGGCTAAGAACCTGACAAGCTGAAGGAGCCTAAAGGATATTCAGCTAGACATGTTAATCGCAGTGCTATCTAGCTCTGGAGCAGGTTGTCTATGGATGAACCTCAAGGAGTCCATATAGCTTGAGACACAGAATATAAAACTTTATATGCTTATTGAACAGGCATTTTTTTTATTCTTGTGGAAAGTATTGCTGCCTCTCATTAGACTTTCAAAGGGACCTGTGGTAACTCTGCAGAAAAAAGTCTGGAGTTTTAGATGTGAGAGTTATCCACAAAATAGTTGAGATTGCCCTCTGGGATGTGTCCATAGTGAGAATATAAAGGAAGCAGGCTAAGAAAAAGTCACAAGAAAAATAAATACAAAATAATTTGTTGAGACAGAAACAGAAATTTCAAGAAAGAATGTTAAGACTTCAGAGAAATCCATACGATGTAGGCCTGAAAAGAAGCCATTAAATTTAACAACTGGTAACCTATAGCAAGCATGGAAGCCAGCCTCGGTGGGATTTGTTTGTTTTTAAAAAAGGAAGATTAGAAAATAGAGGCAGCATAAGAAAGCTATTTTTATGGGTTGTCTGAGGATTAGGTTGAAAGGTTAAATTTTAAGCAAGTTTGTGGGGATTATTTAGGGGATAAGAGAACTTGAATGTATTTGTAATTAAAAGGGAGACAACTAAGGAGAAAGGTAATTGAAGATGTTCTAACAAGGGCAAAGAATATTAATGTGTGAGTCCTCCAAGCATCTTTAAATTTCCCTACCTATTAGGAAATTCTGACATTTTTACTTCTCCCCACTCCACGCCCCACATTCTAATCTCCCCATTAGCTTTATCAGACATATTAGGGTATTGGGGGTTGGGGAAAAATCAGCTAAGAGATTGGGAGACTTGTATCAGAAAGGGTAGAAGTTTACTGGAATGAGAACATAGAGCAAATTAAAAGGAAAGAGAAAGCTAGAAAAGGAAAAAAGTCCCCCCTAAAGGCAATTTATATCAGAAAACTGAAAGTTTAGAGGTAGAGAAAAAGGGGTTTCAAAGCATCTAGGCGTGGGAGAAAGTGGTAAAGGAAGAGAAATTACAGAAAAGTGGTACTGTGAATTTTGAACAGGATCTCCTTTTGTGATTTTCAAGAGCTGAAAGTAAAGATCTGGGTGACATTTTACTAACATTGTTTGCTGGACTATGTTTCTTTGAATATCACACAACATTTAGGCTGGGCCAGTTGTGGTTGTAGTGTTTATTTGAGTTACAAAAAAGTGAGAAAGTTACAGGTCAGAGCAATGCCAGAACCTCTCCAAATCCCAGGGCAGGCAGCAGCAGTGCTTAGACTGATAGTGACACAGGGGAGGCAAGCCCCAAAATTGAGGCTTAGTCCAGGAGGGCTTTTGGTTTCTCCCAGGAAAGAATTCAAGGGTGAGCCGGAAGTGTTAGACAACACCTTTTATCGAAGCAGCAGCATAGGGCAGCAGCATACAGCAGCACCGGAGGTACTGTGCCTTGCAGAGCAGGGCTACCCCATAGGCAATGTGCCCAGAGTGGCAGCTCTGAGGTAGTTATGCAGTCATATTTACACCCACTTTTAATTAAATGCAAATTAAGGAGGAAATTACACAGAAATATCTAGAAAAAGGGTGGTAACTTCCAGGTCGTTGGGTCATTGTCATGGAAAGGGGTGGTAACTTCCAGGTGTTACCACGGCAATGATAAACTGACCCGGCACACTGTTGGACATGTCTTATGGAAAGCTGCTGCCACCCTATCCCTATTTCAACTAGCCCTCCTTTCGGTCTGGGGTTCAAGCCCTACCTCCAGAATTAAGTCCTGCCTCCTGTCTAAAGAGGATGTACAATTATGAAGCCAATAGTAGAGAAGAGATAGAGTGGTGAACAGAAAATGTTCATGTCCTTTATCCTTCATCCTAATAACAAAGGCAGTTAAAGGGAAAGAAAGACAACAGAATGACTGTCTTCTTTGTGCTTTGATTAGATTTTTACTGATTACCACCTCTGCCACCTTCTGCCCAAGCCTGGGGTAAGAGAACAAATATTGGAAATAAAACATAAAAGAAAGGAAAAAATAACATTTATGAGTGAAGCCAAGCTAAGAATGAGGGAAAAAGTAGAAAAAAATGCTATTTGACCACCCGTTCTGTCTTATTTTCCTTCCCTTGAAACCATCCATATTTACATTGCCTGTCCAACCCAAACTATTGTGGGGAATAACAATAAGAGAAGAAACAAAAAGGGGGGAGGGTGGGGGAAGATAAACCACATCCCATAAAAACTTCTATTTTAACTTCTTTCCTTTCCTTCTTCATTCTTAACACCATCCGCTGAAACCTCACCCTGCATCTTCCACCCTCAGAGATTGTATTTGACTTGTCATTCATATTCTACTCCTAATGTCATACTGCTCTACCTCAAAATCCTAGAGCTAACACCAGTGGTTTGAAGCTGAAGACATTCCATTGTCCTCCAGCCATCATGTAGGAAGAGTTCCAGAATCTATGCCTAGGATTGAAAGTGGCAAGACATGCTTCTGATACCCTGAATTTGAAGTACTAAATTTCTGTTCCCATAGTCACATGATTTTTGCCTTAAATTCTTTCCAAGTTCTAAACAAGCAATTTATATATGTTTAGACAAGACAATGCTTAGTGTAACATATGTGGGAGGGGGAGGAGCAAGAGAGGAGGGTGCTGTTTCTATTTTGAAGGATTCAGTTTGTTTTCTAACCATTTAGTAAAACATTTTCTTTGTTTGACTTCAGTGTTTTTTGATACGTACTTAAAATTCAGCATTAGCAAAGTGCCACTGTAAACTGGTTTATTTTTCTCTTTGTAATTTATCAGCCACTGTTTTTAGTTGCATGAGGCTTTAGGGGCTATGTTCAAGTACTTATTTTTCATTATATTTTAATTTATATGAATACTATGCAAAATTGAAAGATACTGCCTCAATAAATGGTAAATGGTAAACTAAAAATTTGTGGGCTAAAACTTCATCAGAAAAAATCTTTGAGGTGAATTTAAGCGAAGAGTATAATCCCACACAATTGCACCTATTTATTAGGGACTTGGGGAGTTAACTTCAAATTGGATTAAGAGCCATGAATTTGTAGTTTGGATCCAGGTCAGCCTAAATGTCTGAAAAATTTGCTAACTTAATGGAATGACTCTATAGAAATTGATCAGTTTATTTTTTGTCCTGGCAGAAATCTCTTCATAATCAAACAGAAAAGTTAAGAAGCCAAATTCACAAAATATTTGCCATCATTTGTCTTTGTGTTTCTAATTATTTTTGTACCTTGGAATTCATTTGTCTTCGACAATCATATAAAATAAACAGCAAAACATGGTTTTTATTTGTTCGGATTTGAGCTGTAGACATTGCTTCTCAGTAATATTAAATAAGTTATTTAATTCACTTCTGTTTAAATATTGATAAAGTTTATTATTTGTACTCCAGATTTTTCCACAACCTAGAATAATTTAGATAATTAATAGAATTTTTGATACATTTTAGAATAATTTAAATTAATATTTAATTCACAGTTCTGTTTGATATCATATAAAGTAATGATAAATATGAGTATTTGGGCAACCAGTAATTCTTTAATAGCATTCTCTTATGGAGATAAAAATGTTTAAATATTAATTAATTTAGTACTAGTAGAACTGCATAGTTATTAGGCATTTCCAAATTTGGAAGAATTTTCATTACACAGTAACTGGGTAATGAAGAAAGAAAACTAAATGCCCTCCTTTAGTCCTTATAGGGGACACATCAAATGAAATTTCCTAATAATCTAGAGATGTTTCATAATTGAGTACGTAGCAGTCATTCCAGAAATAGCAAATATAAGCCTTCATTGTTGACCAGGGTTTTCAGAATACATCCACTTCTGTCTCTACACCAAATAGGTTTTCATTACTCAAGTAACATATGGCAGTAAATGAACCAAAAGGAGAACATGTTGCATTATTTTTCTACATTAAGTGCTGACATTATCTTTGCCACACTGTGTGTGCGGTTTTATGTAACGAGAATCTGTTCAGATACAGTTGTGAGGTATATATTCTGTTCTAGCTTATACCTTTTTGAAGGAGCCCATTTTCAAAGTAGCATACAATTTGTGAATTATGCCCAATTTAATTATCATGCAGTGCTTTAGAAACCTACTCCTAAACGGCTGCTATTAACATAAACAAGTCAATTTACATGTCACAAGGAAGTTCAGGTTAAAAGAAAATGCATAATGTATATCTGTGTATTTGTGATTGACTCTAAGTACTCTTTCTTTCTTTTTTTTTTTTTTTTTTTTCGAGACAGAGTCCCTGTCACCAGGCTGGCAGTGGCCACCATCTCGGCTCACTGCAACCTCTGCCTCCCAGATTCAAGCAATTCTTCTGCCTCAGGCTACCAAGTAGCTGGGACTACAGGTGCACACCACCATACCCAGCTAAGTTTTTTGTATTTTCAGCACAGACAGGGTTTCACCATTTTGGCCAGGATGGTCTCGATCTCTTGACCTTGTGATCCGCCTGCCTTGGTCTCCCAAAGTGCTGGGATTACAGGCGTGAGCCACCACGCCCAACCTCTAAGTACATTTTCATTGAACAAAAAGAACGATAAATAGATGCACTGATTTTTCTCCCTATAGATTTTGCCCTTATGATAGTAATATTTAATAGATAATGATGACTTTCACAATCAGTCACATATATTTATTGAGCACCTGCTATGTGTAAACATCATCCTGGGCAAAGGCCTTCTAAGTCTCTGCTTTGTCAAAAACGACTCTAAGTTAATTTTGACCTAAATCTTTGAAGTAACAACTGTAGAGTTTTAGGGGAGTAAGCACCACCATCAAAGGACAGGACTGGCACACAAAATAAGTATCTTTTCCGTTTTGAAATGAAACTTTACAAAATGAAATAAAACTGTAAATGTAATGTAATCTAAATATCTAAAAATAAATTCTAATTAAAAGAGTTGAAACTGCTTGAAATGTGTCCCTGAATGGATCAAGCTAGAAGGTTGGGAATAGCTGTTGTTATAATAAGAACCTCTCTTTTTCCAGTTTATTTGTTGTCTGTCAGGCATCTCAGCCAAATATTTTATATTTTCCAACTATCGTAGTTACACTTTGCTTCATTTTGGACACATTTTTTAATGGCATAACCTTTAATTATTTTCTTTAAACAAAGGCACCTGCTAGAAGATTAAGTGGAAAGTACAGTCTTAAGATAGAAGAAAAGTAAACACTCGATTTGGAAAAAAGAAAACTTCTCTGGCAACAGTATAATCTTTAAGAAATAATTAATTGTTGACAAATATCTAAAGTTTAAACATACTTATGAAACTATCCCCTGGAATTCTAGCTTCCTTGAAATTCTAAGACTGTCCTTTAAAATGATCAGAAATGACTCACCAAACACTTTTTTTCATCTCATTGTACCTTTAACATTTATTATTAAAAATCCCTTTTAAACTTGACCGATTTGTTTTAAAAACATGCACTACTAAACTAAGGGCCGGAGTGGAAGGCATTTCTCTGGTAGCCTTAAGAAGAATGCAGTGCTATCGTGTTCGTAGTTTAATCTGCCAGGATTCCACAGCCAAGAAAAGATGGGTGTCAGATCTCTACACATAATCTTCAGAACATCCGGAACTGAGAAACGGAGCTTGAGCAAATGAAAACAAGATAAAACTAAAGCAAGTCTGCCTTTAAATTTATAAGACAGCGAATCAAATGGTGTAGAGAGAAAAAAAAAAACTCTTCTGGGTTTCAGAATTTGGACTGAGACACGACAACTTTGTTTCTTGTCTCTTTGTTCGGTGCAGATATTGGTAATGGCACCCACTGAAATGAGAAGAAGGAATGAAGGAATGCCAGAGAAACTTTTTTTCCCCCAAATCTGATTGAAACACTAACAGGAGCCATAGTTCTACAAAAAACAGGGAAACAAATGGGGACAAAACACCCACAGATGCAACTGAAGCTCCCCACACAGTGCTGGTAAAATGTTCTAGACCTGATACCTCAAAAGTTATCTAAAAGGAAGAGAGAGACTGCCTGAAAAATTAAATATTCTTTATAGAGAAAACGATAAGGAAAGGAATACCTGTCACTTCATCCTGCTTGATTAAATTGCAAATAGCTATTCGAAGTGAATAATTTTATGCATTTACCCACGTAGTTAAACATGTAAATTTTGCATCAGCATAATGAAAACAAATGCAGATGCTGTTATTGTACCTATGTTAAAGAAAATACTTAAAGGGGAGAGATTATATGTCAAAACTGGAGGGTCCCATAAAATTCCTCAATTACTAACAGTAACTCAATTACTTTTCATGAAGTATCTGTCCTAAAAGACTCCCTTTAAATACAAATTTTAAGAGGATATTTAGAAATACTATTGAGACATATTGCAACTCTGATCATTTTTCTAAAGGCCCTTTGTATCTTAGTATAACCCAAATCATTCTTTATATCACCGGAGTCTCCTTTTTAAGTCAAAGATGGTTCTGTATTCTAAAATTGCTACTTCAATACTTGTCAATAGTATAACACCCAATTTGAAACAGAGATGGGCAGTTTTTAGAGATTTTGGCTTGTTTCTTTTTCCCTTAGTTGGTGCATGAGCTACCCTACTTAATCTACTTAATTACTTACTTACTTCTAGGCTTTTCTAACATATCATTTGATCATGGAAAGCGGGTCTCCTGTTAGAGCATAAAATGGCATGTTTGTTCTTCAAGGGCTCAGCCTATTTCTTCAAAAGAATGAGATGATTAGCCTCACATGCTCTGCCCTTCCACAGGGGTTACAGTGCACTGGCATTAACTGTACCTGAGAAGAGATGTACTACCTCATTTTTCCTGGGAGGACTTGCACTCTATGTCAGCCTTAGCTGGATAAATCCACGTAGGAACATGGCCTGGACTGAGTTTTGGAGGAGTTGAGGAAGAAGAACCAGGAATAGCAATGTTTTCAATTTTCTGTTTCTTGGTATCACAGTGGTAATAATGTTCTTCTGTCTGTGCTGCTATAAAAAATACAGCGTCCTGGGTAACTGAGTAAATGCATGTTCACTGGCAGATGATGGCTTCCAGGGAGAGATACTAGGAAGTGGTCCCATTTAGGACAGTTTTCAGAATAACCATTATGCCTCTTTCAGCTCAGCCAGAAGTCTTTTCTTATCCCATAATTTTGGATTTTGAAAAATGTCTTAAATATGAGTGAAATAATGATAACTCAAAAGTACACTCGAAGTAGTGTTTCCTTTTATTTGAAAGTACATTGGAATCCTTCACAATGATATGTTATGATGGAAGATGAAAAAATTCACCCATTTTATGGGTCATATCATAGTGCTTCTAACTTTTACTTATGTGATGACTTTGCTTTAAGGAATGTGACATTCGCAGATGTATATTATTTTCCAATTTCCAAAACTAGCCCCTTGGAGATATTCCATAAAATGTGATTACAAAGACTATCATCTAGACTAGAACTGGTAGAAATGCAGATTCCTGAGCCCTACTCCGGAATTTCTGGGGGACAGATGTCCAAAGAATGTGCTATTTTAACATATTACCAAGGGAATTCTTACAAAAGCGCACAAAGTTTGAGAACCATGGCTTTAGAGATGGCTAAATTACAGTAAAAATGGCTACAACCAGAACGATTAACAGGTGAAAAATGGTTATAGGTAAGGAAGCAGAGAAAATTGGCTAAATTTGGCTAAATTTTCTGAAGAAAGTATTTGGCCCACGACCTAGTTAAAACTCCCTTTTCTATAAATTCAGAAAACAATCAGAAAAACTTTGATTGCACTGAGACATAAAATATGAAATGAAATTTATAGAAATTGAAATATCTGTTTACACATAACTGAAGAGATTCTTTTCTCACCAAACTCTGCTTTCTCTTTTCACTTTACCATGATGCAGTGTGAGAATGTGCAGTCTTCATTCCACTCTTCTCTCTAGATTTCAGATCATTGCTTTAATGAGCTTTTTGCTCCTTTTCCATTTGCTGCTGTTGCTTCCCTAGCTTGTTTTTGCTTGATTAACACTACCTCATTTCCATGATTAAAAAGAACTATTATTTGTTCCATGAGTCTTCTGTTTCTCTCAATGCCTGTCAATTTCTGTTTCTTATTTTTGGTTAAACAAAGGAAAAGCGTGTGAACAGTGGGATCTGATTTCAAGACTAGCCCTTGAGAAGAAATTTCCTAAAATGCCAAACATTTGATTCCGACAGCAAAGGATGCAGATTCAGTGGTTCTCATCTTTTCCCTTCTGGCATAGGATTAAATATTTCTTTCTCTTCTAAGAAGACAAAGCTTATTCTTAGATAACAGCATCTAAGTTATTCCCTTTCTATAATCCATAACTTCTTCCTCTTTTAGCAGTGCCAATTAATAGCTGCTAAGCTTTAGAAATCTTTGTGGTTTGTCAGTGCTTTTTCAATTATGCAAATTTTGTAAAAGGTCTTATAGGACTTCTTGTTTGTGTCTCATTTAACCTCCTATATGTTTTCTTTTTATTTTTTTTCCTGTTATCAGCATTCAGCATTCTCATTTTCTTTCTCCTACCAAAGCAACCATTCCAATGCATTTGACATACATTATTTTGGTCTTAGGTGTTCCTGAAAATATTTGCTTTAGAACAGAAAACCAAATACCGCATGTTCCCACTTGTAAGTGGCAGCTAAACATTAGGTATTCATAGACATAAAGATGACAATAGACATGGGGAACTACTAGAAGGGAGAGGGAGAGAAGGAGTCCAGGGTTGAAACACTAACTACTGGATACTATGCTCAGTTTGCGGGTGACGGGATTAGTCGTACCCCAAACCTCAGCATCATGCAACATACAAAGATTCAGGTAACAAAGTACCCCTGAATCTAAAATAAAAGTTTAAATCATTTCAAAAACTTAAAATGTGTGTTGCTGTTTTGTGTGCATACATTTTAAATGACATTGTGTTATAGTTTACTGTTCTTATCTTCGCACCCAGCGTTATATTTTAAAGATTCACACATGTTTCTGGATATTCACCTATCTGGCTCCACTATTACTGAATGCTGCAGAGTACAGTGTGTAATACATGCTGCCAACCACACTAGATCTGTGCACTCCCCTGGAGATAGACACTTCGATTGCCTCCAATTCTCTGCCACCAGAAATAACACTAACATTAGCATCCTTTAACAAATCCCCTTACACACCTCTCTGAGAATTTCTCTATGTTACATGCCTAGGAGCAGAATTGCTGGGCTGGACGTGAGTATATATTTGATTTGGCTAAGTATGACAGACAGCTTTCCAGAAGGGCAGCACCAATCCACATGCACCTGCAGCATATGAGGCTTGTTACACATCCATATCCCTGCAACGTTATATTTTATCCAGTTTTCTAATTTCATATTTTTGTCATATAAATACATAAACAGTTTATAAAGGAAAGGGGACTATAATTAATCAAGAGCTCTTACTGATTGTGACAAATGCTTTACCTTGAAGTAGATGGTGAAATTTCAAAGCAAATGATATATCAATTCAGTATTCAGGGAGGATGCGTTATAATGGATAAGAGAGACAGAAGACAGTATATTCTAAAAGCTGTTGATAGCAGAATGAATACAGTTTTGGAGAAACACAAAGGCAGATCATATAGTCCAGACTAGAGTATCAGGGAAAGTATTTTGAAAAAAAAAAAATGTGACCCTGAGGGATGAAAGAGTAAGTACACTTACTAGATCCTTGACTGAAAAATGGTCATTTTCCGGTTGGAAAATTTATCCTCTTAGACTGAAAATGCATTGTTGGTAATCATGCTTATAGACCTACATATACCATGAGCATCAAAGTTCCAAATCACCTTGCATTTTATTTTATTGGTAATTATTTCTTTGAATTTTATTCTTTTCTTCAATGTTTCTTTTAGATGCAGAGGGTACATGTGCTGGTTTGTTTCCTGGGTATATTGTGCAATACTGATGTTTGGAGTAGGAATGATCCCGTCATTTGAGTACTGGGCATAGTACTCAATGGTTCATTTTTCAACCCTCTTCACCTGCCTCCCCTTCTATTTGTCCCCAGTTTCTACTGTTGCCATCTTTGTGTCCTTGAGGACCCAATGTTTAGCTCCCAATTATAAGTGAGAAAACACAGCATTTGGTTTTCTGTTCCTGCATTAATTCATTTTAAGATAATGGCTTCCAGTTTCATCCATGTTGCAGCATTTCAAAAGATGAATGGAGGTTTGTTATCCTGGACATTGTAGGACATGGTGTTAGGAATACTGGTGTTAATTATCTTCATTTTATATTAAAGAAACAAAGCCTCACAAAAAGTATATTGCCTAACTCCATACAGCTGGTGCGTATTTGGTACAACCAGAATTTTAACAAATGTTTGTTTGACCTCAAAGTTTATCCCTGTTTGTTGCTGTACACTGGTTTTAAAAAGGCAATAAACATATATACAGTAAACATTGATATAAGAATTTTCCATGAGCTGGCTGAATTCTGTTTCAGTGGCTTAGGAGACTATTAATAAGGACCAAGAACAATCTGGCTTTCTGTTTTGATGATGATTTTCACGTTTACCCTAATTTCAGAAATAGTTTTCTTTAAAATACTGATATGTACCCATGGAATTTTTAAGCCTACTTGGGTCTTGGAAAAGAAGCCTCTCTGCAAAATACTAACACATACTTCCAACAGGAAACTTGCTCCCATTAATAGCCATACAGGTCCCATCCATGCAAGGCCTCTGAACTGTGGAGACAATCATAGCTTGCAAAAGGCAACTTTATATAACTTTAATTATAACTAAATGTTAATTAAACATTTTGTCAATGTTGTCAATATCCTTGCAAAGAATTTTATAGATTAACATATTTCTGTTTGTTAGTCCAGGTCTTACAATTAATAAGTAATTACTGGTAGTCATACTCAAACTTATGAAATACACAAAGTGTACAAAAGACACTATTTTTGTAATTAAGGCAATAATTTTTCAGATCTTAGATATGTTTCAAAGCATAAATCCTCTGAGAAGAAGGTATCATGAGAATTAAATATGCCAAATCATCAACATGCATCACAGAGATGTCTAAATATTTAAAAATAACACTAAAGGAAACCCAGTACTTTCCATGTGGTATATTCTGCATTCATAAGCATGTGAAGGACAGTGGTTTTTGTTTTATTTAATTTTTTTGATCAAGGATGCAATACTTCTCAGAAGCACACATTTTCTATTTTAATTGTTAATCAGGGAACATACCGCTTTTATGCCATTAGCTCACAAGAGATTTCTCACTATATTTTTACCTTGACGACACAGTATCCAGCATTAAGCCAGTTGAAAAAAGTCACCCTCTTATGTTAAAGTAAATTGGAATGATTTGGATCAAAGGCAGAGATATTTAGATTGAGGGACTAAATCTCCCCCTTGAGACAATCTATAAAGGTTCTCTTCTAAACATAGATATTGAAATTAAAATTAAGCAGTTCTTTTAAATAGAATGTGTTCAAGCTGACATAAAGTTTCAGAGAAGAGTCCTATCCATATCTCCACAATTTTAAAATTCTAATAATTTGAAGTCCTAGACGGAACAGATTCTTCAATGTTTATATCCCAGTGGGCTGTGACTCCACTTGAGGCTAGGTTGGTATGGGGCTAAACTAAGAACAGATACTCCTGGAGTCTCCTGAGAGAGTCTCCTTATTCAAAACTAGGTCTCTGATATGGTCAAGTAAGAACACTTCTTAACCAAAATACTTCTCTGATTACTATTAGCACTGTTATGAAAGTTCTTATTTGTCACTGCTATATCAGGACTTGGCCAATTGAAGGTGGCTAGAAACTTGATTCAAAATAACTTAAACCGGTGTTTTCCAACCTTTAATGCATCAGAATTACTTGGAGAGTCTGTTATACTTCTTCCCTATTCCCAGAGGTTCTGATTTATAAAGTATGGGATAGGGCCCTACAATGAGCATTTCTAACCAGTTCTCAGCTCATGTTAATGCTGCTGCTACAGAGATCACACTTTGAGAAACATGGACTTGAACAAGCACGTAAAAAACAAACAAAAAAAGGCTTATGCAATTTTGAAGTCCAAAGGTCCAGAAATCCTACTTCTGCTCCAGTCTGGCTGGCATAAAAGTAGAAGCTTCAGTACTGTAATGAGGACTCTGTCTTCCCAGTGATAAAGCAGATTTACTCTCTGTTCCACTAAGATGGTCACTGGCACAACCATAATCATGTTTTTCAGGGTTAGCAAGTTCATCTCAAAGACAATCTTGCCCTATTCTCTGCAAAGAAAATCCTGGGGAGAGCTCTGATTGGCCTTAGCCTACTCACATGTGCATTCCTCGGGGGAGAAAATTACTGTGCCTAGGGTAATGGCATATTTTGATTGTGCAGACCTAGGCCATATCCCATGCCCAGGGGCCCAGAAGGTGTTCCTTCAATAGGCCTGGTCATTTCAATTCTCTCTTTTAGAGTAGCTTGTGTCTTATGAAATTTCTTGGTCTTTCATGTAAATATACATTAGCAAGGTAGCCCCTGGGCCAAATTATGTCTGAAAAATCCATATCCTGATTGGGAATGTAGTTCAGACTCCAACCTTGGGACCTAGTTGGCATATAAATATAAAGTTCAAATTACCTTAATGACCTTTTTAAAAAAATCTTTAGTGATAGTCTAGCTATGACAGTAGCTGATTTTGAACAGATAGCAGTCTCTGACAGTATTATCACTCCAGAAAAGATTTAAACAATATGAAAATTGGTGAGTGCAAATGAACATGGACTTGCAGTTCAGCAGTTTGACTAATTTCTCTCCTAAGCATAAGGTAAACTTGTTCACATTCAGAGGCCCTTTAGATGACATGATTTAATGTGACTAAAAGATGTACAGATGGCGCTACACTGCCTCTGCTGGGAGGAGAGGTCAGACGGCAATTGGCTGTAACACAAACCGCGCTAATGTATAGCTACAAGCTGCCACATTGGGGTCCATCTTTCTGAGAGCCTGTTAGGTGAAGTAATCAAGCACTGTGACAGTGCTCCCCAGATACAGGAAAACATGGTGACTTTAATGCTACCCTAAAGTGCTGTCAGCCATTCACAGAATGACTATTTTTCAGGTGCAAGATTTTAATACATTATCACCTATTTTATTTGCTTAATAAGAAACCAAATATTAAAAATGTTAGGTGAGAAATCTAATTTGAATCTACCATCCTACATATCATTCCATTTTTTTCATATGAACATTGAAGGATGACATTTAAAATCACACTGGCATACATATTTATACTTTTCATACATACCTTTATCCAGTGTAGTCCATATAACTATGTGCTTTAAATAATGATAATAAGAGAATTGAACCAATGTAACAATATAGAAAGCCATCAATGTAGACAAAGTGCATTTGGTGCTACCTTGATATTTTAAAATCAAACTTTGCTTCATAGACTAACGTGGCCTTACAGAAAATGACTACTAAAACACCGGCTTTCAAAATATTAGAAACGGGAAAAAGGTATTACCAAAAAGAAAAAGTTACTGATCACTTATTTCATGAAAGAATCTGTACTGAATACAAGTGTGCAAGAAAAAAAAGAGAAACATTCATTAGAAAGAATATAGCTAAACATAATTCTATCTATAAGAAATGTTCACATCACCTTGAACTTGATGACATGTTGTATGTTGTAGTAAGCTCATCCTATTTGAAACACTAAATGTAAAGTACTTACATTTATTCAGTTTAAAATCGGTGCCTTTTCAAGCTAACAGGCAAAAGAGAACATATTCTCCTATCCTCTCATTATTTAAGAGAGGAAAATGGACAACGAAATGGTGAAACAAGGTCCAGATAACATGAATGATTTGCTGAGAATCATAAAAGGAACTGGCAGCAGAAGCAGAAGCAGAATACAGGTCTTGTCTTCCAAAACAACTCTTGTTCCACTATACCATTCTTTTTCTATGTCTCGGCCATTAGGCTGTGGCCTAACATAGAACAATTAATCATCACGCTTAGAGTTATATAATTCCTGCAGAGATCATTTATTTCCAGCTCCCAGTCAATAAGCTGTGAAGTATTTTCAGCTCCATTTTACACATAAGGTAATTGGGATCAGGGTGATATGTCAAATATTAAATATCTAGTTGGTTTTGAAAGGATGACCATACAACAGATCTACTTAATGTTAGATGATTTTTCTTTCTGCTGCCTTTCAAAATAATTATACCCCTAGCTGAGCTTGAACCATAAACATAGAAGCTAAAAGCAAAACATATAAATAGTTATATCGAGAGAATTTGATTAAATCTTATATTACAAAGGATGTTGCCCAATGAGTAAAGAGTAAGATTCTCTGCATGGCTTGGTTTCTTGAGCTGAGAAGCAATAAATGGACACATCTCCTATTGTGCTAATTCTACCCATTTGAGTAATTCAGATCTTGAAAGTACTTAATAAATCATGTCATTTCATGTTTCAAGGTCTTTAAAAAATTGAAGTTTAGTTTATTAAAGTATTGGGTCTCATGTGTCCCGGGATGGATGGAGGGATTTTGATGGAGGAGTTAATTAACCATGCTCAGGTGTCATACAGCTTGATTTTCAATCCTGAATCTACCCCATTCTTTACATGACCTTCCTAAGCTTTGCTTTCTTTATATGGAAGATAGGATAGTTATACCAGCTTCATAGGTTTGTATAAAGATCAAATGATATCATTATATGCAAAATGCTTACTATTCTGCCAAGGGTATAGTACTTGGCATACAGTACAGAATACAATACTTGTATTCTGCCAAGTATATAGTGATTGCTAAGTTAGTTAGTATAGCAGTCAGCATTTGCTGAGTTATGCTTTGTAAAAAAACAACCTGCAAATATTAGTAGCTTAGAAATACAAATGTTTATTTCTTGTTCATATTACATGTTGGCTATAGAACAGCTTTGTCTTAGCTCTATTGCATTTCTTCCTCATTCTGGGATCTAGGTTGAAAGAGCAGCCCATATATGGAACATGCTGTTCTCATGGTAGAAGGAAAAGAGCAATGGCCACAACCAATGGATCTTACATTTTGTTTGGTTTTATTTTTTGAGACAGGGTCTCTGTCTGTTGCCCAGGCTGGAGTGCAGGGGCATCATCCTAGTTCACTGCAGCCTCAACCTCCTGGACTCAAGTGATCCTCTCATTTCAGCCTCCTGAGTAGCTAGGACTATAGGCACATGCTATCATGCCCAGCTACTTTTTTTTTTCTTTTGTAAAGATAGGGTCTCACTACTTTGCCCAGGCTGGTCTTGAACTCTTAAGCTCAAGAGATTTTCCCACCTAGGCCTCCAAAGTGCTGGGATTATAGACATGAGCCACCACACCCAGCCTAAAGTTTTTGTGTAGACATAGTATATGTCACTCCCATTCACATTTTTTTGACCAAAGTAACTCACATAGCCAAGTTGGAAAGTATGTTCTTCCCTCAGGGAGACAATGGAATTGCATGATGACAGGTGAGAATGTAGAAGTCTCTTTCATGGCGGTAGAAAATAACTGGGCACAACAATTCAATTCTACCATAGTTGGTGATTCTTTATCAAGAGAGGAAGGAAGAGACATAAACAGCACTTTTAAAGAGTTTGAAAAAGTGTCTCTGCCTGCTCTACCTCTACTAACTATATGATGTTCAACAAGACATTTAATCTCTAAATGTTAGACTCCTCATCTATAACAACATTGTTGTAAGCATTAAATGATGCAAAGCAACTCAAATAAATCCTTGTAATGAATAATGGAAATAAGGAGAAAAAATTTCTGCCCCTGAAGAACTTGCCATTGTAGAAATCCAAAACAGTGATGAATACTTTGCAAGGCTGACCAGCTGTTGCCCTGGATTGTAAACAAGGGAACACAGGCAACCCAGATATCCCATTATGAGCTCTGCATACTATCAATCATGAGGGCTCCCTCTGAGAGTATGAAGGCAATATTAACACTATATACCACTAAGAATCGCTCAAAAACCAAGTCCAACTTGCTGAACTTCAGCAAAAGCAAACATGAACTAGAGATCTTAAAACAGAAATCATAAACCCTAGTACCATCTTAAGATGAAAGGAAAAAATGAATTGGAAACTGTCATTTATTTATAATGGCCCAAAATTGTTTCCTCATCATTCATTATTCAATAAATGACTCATTTATTTGTTCAATAAGTATTTACCTATTTATTTTTTATTTATTTATTTATTTATTTTGAGATGGTGATCTTGCTCTGTCACCCAGGCTGGAGTGCAGTGACACGATAATAGCTCACTGCAGCCTCAGACTCCTGGGTTCACAGGATCCTCCCACATCAGCCTTCTGAGTAGCTGTGACTACAGGCATGCCACCACTCACAGATAATATTTTTAAAAAGTTTTGTACAGATGGGGTCTCACTATGTTGCCCAGGCTGATCTCAAACTCCTGGCCTCAAACAACTCTGCTGCCTCAGCCTCTTGGAGCAGCTCAGACTGCAGGTGTGTACCACTATGCCTGGTCCACCTGTTTTGTGTCCATTTAAGCGGTGGAGAAATAGTGATTAAAAAAATGCACACTCATGACATTATGGCCAGTAGTATCTGATCAAGGAGACCAATATTAATCATGTAATTTTATTTTATTTTGAAATTACATATTAATAATATGTACATTAAAATAATATGTATTAATTACATTAATCACTTGTAATTTCAAAATAAAAATGTGCTATAGAATATAATTCTAGGGGACTATATGAAAAAGAAACCTGGCAGACTATGGAGGAAAGTAAACAAGAAAGACTTCTCAAAATAGGGGATTTTGATCTGACATTTGAAAACTACCTTAGTTCCGTGGGCTAACGCAATGGGGAAGAGGAAAAGCATCTTGGACAGAGAGAACATCAAGATATGAAGACTTTGGGGCACAAGAGGGTATGACACTGAGGAATTGAAGATCACTGTATCTAGTGCAGAGAGGGGAGAGAGATGAGGGAGGGTGGAACTGAGGCCCCATTCCAAAGGGTCTTACATGCTCTAAGTATCTATCACTACTCAAGTAGTGTGAAGCTATTAACTAAATTTAAACAGGGGCTTGGAGTAAGCACATTTTATTTTTTCATCACAGCAATGTATTGGTTAGAAATTAAATTGTTCAGAAAGATTTATAAAGAAAGCAATATTCTCCTAATTCAACTTCACATTCTCCTAGACCCTCTCTCCAGAGGAAACCATGTTTTAACATTTAATATATAATTCTTCTAACGGTTACTGCAATATCTCTAAATAACTTGATCAATCCTTTATTTCTTAATCCATTAGCAATAAAATATATATTTCAAATTCCTTATAGTACAGATGGGTATGTAATTCAAATTTTTCACCATTCTTTAGCCTATTCACCAGCCAATTTTTAAATTAATGTTTAAATGCTTTTATCATTCCTTTTGTAACTGTAAATAATATACTTAAGCCCACAAGCCTGGGCAACATAGTGAGACCCCATCTCTGCAAAACAAAAGAACTTTAAAAAATTATCCAGGTGTGGTTGTGCACACCTGTAGTCCCAGTTACCAGGAGGCTGAGGTGGGAGGATCTCTTGAGCCCAGGAGTTTGAGGCTGCAGTGAGCTACGATCACGCCACTGCCCTCCAGCCTGGGCAACAGAGCAAGATTCTGTCTCTTAAAAAAAGTCTCTATCACTTGATCTAGAAGATATAGATATTATTTCTCTGGTAGTGTTCCTAGTATTAACATATTAAGATATTACTGCCTTTACCCTTTTCTTCCTCTTGCCTCCTCTTTATCTCCCTCCATATTTCTTTACCACTTAAATGTCTACGTGCACCAGTAATATTGGCCATTCTGGACTGTATCGTTCCTATACAGTTTTGATATCAAAATATGCTAATCTGTTAAAAAAGTTAGTTGGAGAGTCTTTCTTCTTTTTCTCTTCTCTGGAAGAATTTATGTAAGATTGAGAAAATTATTTCTTCCCAGAATATTTTGTAGAATTCAACTATAAAGTTTTCTAGGTTTGTTTTTTTGTTGTTGGTGTTGGTGTTGGTTTTTTGTTTGTTTTGCAAAACCTAATGGGATTTCTTTTATTGAAAATCTCTGGGGTTTACTCACCCAGTGGAAGGGAACGTCTAGAGAGGACACACAAATGTTATTCTGGAAAAGCTTTTTTTGAGAGACAACAGAGGCAGGAGCAGTACGTGGCCTGAAGTTCCACCATTGCCTAATGGATTCTAGAGCAGCACACAGGATCTTGCAATGCTGAGCATCAGATTCCTATAGGAGAAATTCTGGCCATTGAGCTGCAGGTTTTTTAACCTGGATGATTAGGTTCTTCTCTGGTGAAATCAGGGATGGCATATGGCAGGCCCTTAAACAGTCGCGGCCTGGAAGAGCACTCTGATGTGATCAAGAACTGTAATGCGAGTCCTGCAATTACAGGAGTATAATCAAGTAGAACCCTGTACCCACTGTTTTTTGTCCACCTTAGCTTTGAAGAATTAGGGAGCACCAGTCCTTTTCCTGCTGAAGTCCCAAAACTTGTAATTCAGCTACGTGACATGATTGGCTAGTGGCTTGATCTACTCTGTGAGCCTTCCTCCAGGACTGATCGTATTAAGCACTAGGCTCTGGCCAGTTTTCACAGAATTCTTCATGAGCCCAACTCGTTTTCCAGGAAAGCCAGCCTGTAGGAATTCAGTCTTGGACAAATTGACACTTGTCTCTTGGATTTTCTATTTCTTCTTAAGTCATTTTCTTTTTCTAAATAGCATTCTGTAATAAGTGTATTTATTTCATCTAGTTTATCAAATATATTGAGATAAAATGGCACTTAATATCCAAATTACTTTTTAAATCTTACTTAGAAAAATAAATTTGCCAATTATTTTATACATTTTTCAAATAAGCATTTTTAACCTTATTTTCTATTATTGTTCTTTGTTTTTATATTCATCAATGTTAGTTATCTAACAAATAGTCATCAATTTTCGATTAATAGCTGAGCATTCTTCTAGGTGCTTCAGGCAAAAAGTTTAAAACTCCCTTAGCTGATGAAACTTACATTCTAATGTAAAGAGACATACAAATAATTGTGTAAGAGTATATTCTATGTTAAATGTGATCTATCCAATGGAAAAATTCTGTCAAGGTAGAGTAGTTACGAAGTGTGGGAATAGGGATGTAATTTTGTATCAGAGGATCAGGAAAGGCCTCAGCGAGGTCCCATTTGGGCAAAGGCCTGAATAAGAGCAGGGAACAAGCCATGTGGGTTTGAGGAGGGAAAGCATTAGAAGCAGATACATCAGCATCTGGCAAGGTAAGAGCAGTGCTTGGCATGTTCAAAGGTCATCGAAGCCCCTTATGTGGTTGGAATGGAGCAAGCAAAAGAGAAAATTAAACAAGAAGGGGATTTTTGCTTTTACTTTGTAATTTCTTTTTTTCTACCTTCTTTGAATTTATTTTGATGTTGCTTTTAGTACTTTCTTGAATTGAATGCTTAGTACAAAAATTTTTAGATTTTCCTTTTGACTAATGTAAGTACTTGGGACTACAGATCTCCCTCAAAACATGTAGCTTTGTTCCATGACATGCATTTTGTGTTTTATCTTTATCATTTGGTTCTAATAATATTCTAATGTCCATTTAAATTTTGTCTTTTGTCCATAAATTGTTTGCCTAGAGATATGTGGGTAGGTAAATTAATTATTGGAGTTCCAGAAGGAAACAATAGTGAGAACGGTAAAAGATAATATTTGAATACATAATGTCTGAGGATTTTATGGATATTTTGAAAGACAATAATCCTCAAATTCGGTAAAGTAATGAATCCAAAATGGATTAAAACATAGTTCACATCCCAATATGGTCAAATCTTTCATATTTTTATTAATTATTACTGAGCCATGTGTAACGGGTGAGTTCTTGAATAAAGTGACTAGCTCAAGCAGAGGAACTGAATTTTAAATCCTATGTAATTTTAATTAAACATAAATATCCACAGCTGGTGGCTATTACACCGAACGTTACACTTCTAAATCGAGCCTACAAGAGAGCCTGGGACTAAGCCTTGAGACAACGAGCATTCGATGGCCAAGTAGAAGATGATGAACCTGCAAAAGACTAAGAAGCTGTCAAAGAGGTACAAGGCAAGAACAATGTCCATAGAATGTGCGTTCACAGAATCCAAGAGCAGATAGGGTTTTAAGAGGGGGAAGGTGGTCAACAGAGTAAATGACAGCTGAGGGAATACAATAATGTTTGAAAACAACTATGGGATTGAGTTCTGCATAGAATATTGTTAACTGTAGCAAGAACGATTTTGATGTAGTAATGAGCAGGTTCAGGTTAGAGTGGATTGAAAAGTGAGAGATGAATAAATGAATATAGTGGGCATAGTGATCAGGGTTTAGGTGCAATCTGCTTTTACTCATCTAAGCGCAAGAGAATTAAAAAATTTATAAGATGCAAAATATCTTACAACATCACTGGAAAGTGATATGGTTTGGATTTATGTCCCTGATCAAATCTCATGTCACATTGTAATCCCCAGTGTTGGAGGACAGGCCTGGTGGGAGGTGATTGAATCATGCGGATGGTTTCCCCCTTGCTGTTCTCATGACACTTCTCATGACACTAAGTTCTCACGAGATCCGGTTGTTTAAAAATGTGTAGCAACTACCTCTTTGCTCTCTTCCTCCTGCTCCAGCCATATAAGACATGCCTGCTTCCCCCTCACCTTCTGCCAAGGTTATAAGTTTCCTGAGACCTCCCTAGTTGTGCTTCCTGTATAGCCTGTGGAACTGTGAGCCAGTTAAACCCGTTTTCTTTATAAATTACCCATCTACCCAGTTTCAGGTATTTATTTACAGCAGTGTGAGAATGGACTAAAACAGAAAGTAAAAAAATAAACAAACAAACAAACAAACAAAAAACAGATTCTTTATCGTGCCTCTGGGAAAATTTCCAAAGCCCTCCAAGCAAAACTGTACTCCAGTGAATCTTCTGTTCCTGGGGCAATCAGAACTTCACCAATCATGTTAGCAAATCCTAGCTATAGATTCTAGCTCCTGAACCATGTTATTTCTGCTACAATTCACACCAACAAAACAGCTGCCTCTTGCTCTACCTCTTTCTCCAGTTCAGTTCCAAATTTCAGACTCTGAAGAGTGCTCATGATCATTGCAAACTAAATCCCATCCAGAGTACTAGCTGCAAGGGAGTCTGACAAGGGTTATTTTTGCTTTGAGGATATTTTTAATTGCAGATATGTGGGCATACGTAGTTATCTTTCTGTTATTGGTCTCTAATTTGGTCCCACTGTAGTCAGAGGGTATGTGCAATATGATATTACTTTTTTGAAATATGTTTATATTTGTTTTATGCCTAGAATATGGCTGGTTTTTGTAAATATTTTGTGTGTTCTCAAGAAGGTACTGTGCATTTTATGTGTAGTATAATCTGAGGGCACAAGTTCTAGAAATGTCCATTGGATCCAGCAGGAAAATTATAGTACCCAAATCTTTCACATTCTTACTAATTTTTATGAAAGAAGTGTATTAAAATCTCCCATTATGATAATGAAATTGACAATATATACTTTTTAGTCATCCATTTTTGCTTTGTGTGTCTTAAGGTTATGTTATTCATGCATATTTGTTTAAAATGGTTCTATATTACTGGTGAACTGAAACTGGTAAAGACAAAACTTTTATCAATAAGGTTGATTTTTAGAGTCTCTAATAATATATTTTGCCTTCATTTCTATTTTGTCTGATATTAATATATCTATGTCAACTTTTGGTTAGAATATGGTTGTTAACATATTTGAAATCATTTCTAATATCTTGTTTTATGCTCTATTTGCCTTGTTTGTTTTGCCATTGGATTAAACGAGGGTTTGATTCCAAGTATTTTCACACCGTTGGTTGGAAGTTGCATGTTTTATTAATATATATGTTTTTAGAGTTAACATTATGATTTTATCATACATATTTAACATAATGTCTAAAGTTAATAATCAGGAAGAAAATTATTAAGGGCACATCAGGATCCAATTATTCCCCTTTTGAGGAGTAAGGGATCATCCCCAAGAAACAATAAGGCAACTTGAAAAAATCTCTTAATGAATATTATACTGACACACTAATGGTTTGCTAGCAGAATACAGTAGTCCTTATCTGTAGAATGAATGATTTTAGCAGGCTGTGCCTGCTTATGGTAAACAAACCTGGCATCTATGGGCATATAGGGCATTTATTCCAGATAAATGCTTATAGGGCATTTAAATGTTAAATAAGCTATGTAGCTATCCACATAAAGCTGTTTTTTATGACAGAATGGATCCCTTCCAAAAGTAACATTCTTGCCTACATTAGTCTTACTTGGAGGACTCATGAATTATTTGAGCCAGAGCACGTCATGAAGTTGCAATAAAGGAGCTGCACTGGTGGTTCAAGACCTTGAAACTACTCTGCCTAGGACTCCTGATTGCTGAATCCTTGAAATGATTAGTCAAGCTTGACACTGGGTAAGGTCTCTGATTTCGGTGTATCCGACATGATAGTCTAATCCTTTGCGTATCTCAGCCATTATCTTTTCCCTTCTCCAGAACATACCTGTCTCTAGAACAATCAACTTGTTGTTGCATTTTTACATGTTCTTGCATTTTTACATGTTCTCACTCTTTTTTTTTTTTCTTCCAGACAGAGTCTTGCTCTGTAACCCAGGCTGGAGTGCAGTGGCGTGATCTTGGCTCACTGCAATCTCCACCTCCCAGTTTCAAGCAATTCTCCTGCCTCGGCCTCCCGAGTAGCTAGGATTACAGGCGCCTGCCACTGCGCCTGGCTAATTTTTGTATTTTTAGTAGAGACGGTGTTTCACCCTCTTGGCCAGGCTGATCTGGAACTCCTGTCCTCGTGATCCACCTGTCTTGGCCTCCTAAAGTGCTAAGATTACAGGCGTGAGCCACTGCACCCGGCCCTTGCTCTTTTTTTTATACTTCAGATCAAACATTCCTTTTCTTTTTCTCACAGAAAAATCTATTTTAAATGTATTCACATATTTCTGAGTATCTTTACTCATAAGCCTCTCTTGACCTTCCATCTGAGATAATTTTCCTCCTGCCAGAAGTTCAGAATTTGGAGGTCTACTGGTGGTAATTTGCTTTGGTTTTCATGAAAATATCTTTATTTTCCTTCAGCGTTTTAAGTAAAATTTAGCTAGAATACAATTTTATGTTGACTATTATATTTTCAGCACCTCAATGTTATTATTTTATATGCCTTAGCTTACATTGTCAATCTGCTTATTATTCCTTTCTGTGTAAAATGTCTTTTCTCTCCAGTCTTTTTTAAGCTCTCTTTTACTGTGGTGTTCCGCAATTTTACTATCATATAACTTTAAGTTTAAAAATTTTTCCTGTTAGGAATTCATTATGCATTCAGAATATGAAGCTTGAGGACTTTCTTCAATTCTGAAAAATTCTCAGTATTTCACCTTGAATGTTACCCCCCATACCCCCCTGTATTCTTTTCTATCTGAAACTATGATCAAATTATTTTAGCCCATCTCACTCCAGCCATTGTCTTTTATAACCGTTATTTTATATTTTCAATCCCTTTTTCTCTTTGTGCTGTATTTTGTATGTTCTTTAGATCTACCGTCTAGATTATTAATTATTTCTTCAGCCATGTCCAATCTACTCCTTGACTCATCTACTGTTTCTAATTTCAATAACTGTAGTGTTAATTATTATAAATTTTGTTTGAATATTTTCTAAATATACTGGTTCATCTTATTATTTTTTATTTCTTACACATCTTTTTCTTTTTAGAACACCTAAAGATCATTGAGGATCCTAGACATATCTTCAATTTTGTTTTCTCTTTCAACATTTTAAATATTTGACAATTCCAACAGAGAAATTCTTTGGGGTTTTTCTTTTCCATTTTAAAATATTTAGTTTGAGTCATGCATTGCTCCTCTAAATCTGATTTGAGAGAATGCTTACCAGAAATTATGTTGTTGCTTCCCCTGAGCATCTATCAGCATTACCTACCCAGATCTGCCTTAATTGCATATCTTGGCTTGGGATTTCCTGGACCATGTAGATACTGAAAATTGGAAACATCAACACATTTAAGGACAGAGATGTTATTATTAATTCTCAGTAAGTGAGGGCTTTTTTTGTTTGTTTGTTTTGGTGAGGTCTTTCTTTCTGTCTCTTTTTTTCAGGATAGGGCACAGTTGATTTTTTTTCTTTGTTCTACTTGAAGCCTAGGCTAGAGATCAGCAAACTATGATCCTAGGACTGTATGTTGCCCACAGCCTATTTTTGTATAGCCTGTGAGTTATTTTTAAAAAATGTTTTTAAACATTTTCAAAGTGTTGTTAATTTTTTGTTTTTTTGTTTGTTTGTCTGTTTTGGTAGAGACAGGCTCTGGCTATGTTGCCCAGAATGGTCTCAAACTGGCCTCAAATGGTCCTCCTGCCTGGGCCTCCCAAAGCACTGGGATTACAGGTGGGAGCTACCAGGCCTAGCCAAAGGATGGTTTAATCAAACAAACAAAAAAAATATGTGAGAGAAACCATGTGTGGCCCTCAAAGCCTAAAATATTTACTACCTGATCCCTTACAGAAAACATTTGCCAATCCCTGGCTTTTGTTTCTTAGCTAGCAGATAGGTCAGGGACATTTCATCAGGTTTAGATTACCTGATAAATATTTTACCTATTTCTTCAGTTGACTTGTTAGCCTTTTTATTATTGACTTTTAAGAGTTCTTTATGCATTCTGTATATAATTCCTTCATCAGATATGTGTTTTGCAAATATTTTATCTCTGGCTTGTATTCTGATTTTCTCAACTGTGTCTTTTAAAAAGCAAATTTCTGGCCGACCACGGTGGCTTATGCCTGTAATCCCAGCACTTTGGGAGATTGAGATGGGCAGATCACAAGGTCAAGAGATCGAGACCATCCTGGCCAACATGGTGAAACCCTGTCTCTACTAAAAATACAAAAATTAGCTGGGTGTGGTGGTGGATGCCTGTAGTCCCAGCTACTCAGGAGGTTGAGGCAGGAGAATTGCTTGAACCCAGGAGGTGGAGGTTCCAGTGAGCCGAGATCATGCCACTACATTCCAGCCTGGGTGATAGGGTGAGACTCCGTCTCAAAAAAAAAAAAAAAAAAGCAAATTTTTATTTTATTTTAATGAAATCCAGTTTATCAATTTTTTCTTTTAAGGTTTGTGCTTTTTGTGTATTATCCAAAGGATCACTGCCTAACCCAATGTTATAAAGATTTATTCTTATGTTTCCTTCTAGAAGTGTTATGGTTTTAACTCATATTTACTTTATGATCCATTTCTTGACTCCTGATATTTACATATAATTGTGGAGGCTAACAGGTGTTTTAAAATGTTAGGTGGTGGGGCATATGTGGGCAATCTCTGTACCCTCCACTCTGTTTTGCTGTGAACCTAGAACTACTCTAAAAGATACAGGTGCAGTGGCTCAGGCCTATAATCCCAGCACTTTGGGAGGCCAAGGCAGGAGCGTTGCTTGAGGCCCGGTGTTTGAGACCAGCCCAGGCAACACAGTGAGACCTTCATCTCTACAAAAAATTTTAAAAATTAATCATGTACGATGGCATGCACCTGTAGTCCCAGCCCCTCAGGAGGCTGAGGTGGGAGGATGGCTTGAGCCCAGGAGGTTGAGGCTGCAGTGAGCCATGAGTGTGTCACCTTACTCCAGCATGGGCCACAGAGCAAGACCCTGTCTCAAAAAAAAAAAAAAAAGAGGCCGGGCGCAGTGGCTCACGCCTGTAATCCCAGCACTTTGGGAGGCTGAGATGGGCAGATCATGAGGTCAGGAGATGGACACCATCCTGGCTAATGCGGTGAAACCCTGTCTCTACTAAAAATACAAAAAATTAGCCGGGCGTGGTGGCGGGCACCTGTAGTCCCAGCTACTCGGGAGGCTGAGGCAGGAGAATGGCGTGAACCCGGGAGGCGGAGCTTGCAGTGAGCCCAGATCGCGCCACCACACTCCAGCCTGGGCGACAGAGCGAGACTCCGTCAAAAAAAAAAAAAAAAAAAGATACAGTCTATTAAAAATACGTTATATATATATATACACACAATGGAATATTATCAAGCATAAAAAGGGATGAAGCACAGAAACATACTTTAATATGTATAGTAGATACATACTCCTATACTATACTGTAGATGAACCTCAAAAACATGCTAAGTGAGAGAAACCAGACACATCACGTACTGTATGATTTCATTTATATGAAATACCCAGAACGGGTAAATTCATAAAGACACAATGCAGGTTGGTGCTTGCCAGGGTCTAGGGGAAGGGGCAATGGGGAGAAACTGTTTAGTGATATGTTTTATTTTGGAACAACGGAAATGTTTTGAAACTAGATAGAGGCAGTGTACAACACTGTGGATGTACTAAATGCCATTGAATTGTTCAATTTCACATGACTTTATGTTATGTGAATTTCATGTCAATAAACTAAAAAAACATTTAAGAGACTCAAGGATGAAATCCTTAAAAGTTTAATTATTTTGTTTTTTTGAGGGGTAAGGACAAAATAAATGTCATGTGGTCCAATCTATACATTTTTTAATATTGTAATTTATTATCTATTTTATGTATATAATGTCCTCCCACTTTCTGAAATTAAAAAAAAATTCACCAAAATTTTCTTCTAGTAATTTTGTGGTTTAATCAGTCTAAGATATATTTGACATAGAATATTAAATAACATAAAAAATATTATAGTAACATCAAGACTTCACAGTGAAAGAATCACATAGGTTTGGAAAAGTGGCAGTGCAAAGTATAACTACAAAGTCATGAGTTAAGAAGAATGGAGAGAGATTCAAAATTTTCTGTATTACAAAAATAAGAAGAATTTATTTTAACTTCATTTTATGTTTGGCTTTCAAGAGAATGAGAGGAGAGGGAGGCTCTAAAAACACAGAGAAAGGGCCGGGCGTGGTGACTCACGCCTGTAATCCCAACACTTTGGGAAGCCGAGGCAGGCGGATCATGAGGTCAAGAGATCAAGACCATCTTGGCCAACATGGTGAAACCCCGTCTCTGCTAAAAATACAAAAATTAGCTGGGCGTGGTGGCACGCGCCTATAGTCCCAGCTACTCGAGAGGCTGAGGCAGAAGAATTACTTGAACTTAAGAGGCAGAGGTTGCAGTGAGCCAAGATCGTGCCACTGCAGTCCAGCCTGGCCACAGAGCAAGATTCCACCTCAAAAACAAATAAATAAATAATACAGAGAAAGGCTAAAGCCTGATTTTCAAAAATACCTACAGATGGATATTTTTAAAGGACCAAGATGTTTAATATGCAATTTTGACATTTACAACGCTGCACTGTGAACCCTTTCCATTTCCCCAAACTATCATTAAACTCAGCTAATACTAAAAAGTTCTTTGTGAGACATTTACCTGTTAAAAGCAGGTAAACAGGATGGCTTCCACCTCTGAGACAATATGACAGAACAGGGACAGAATGAACAAAATAGCAAAATGATGCATGATCTAACCTACTGTAGAAGGAGCTGAAATCTCAAGACTTAAAATAAGGAATCAAGTAAATCTTCCTTAGATTTAAGAGGCAGTATGACCTCAACTGATAGCTGAGCATTAGTTACTTGTAGGATGAAAATGAAGTTTCCATCTACCTATTCTACAAATATCATTGTTCAAATACAGTTGAGTAGTATACAAGTAAGATAGTAATTTTATTTTTAAAAATACCCTAAACTATATATGCTTGAAAGAAACTCATTTGTATTAATCTGTTTTGAAACTACTAAAATTTAAGTTAGGGAGGATTCTATTTGTGTTACATAGAAAGGAATAACAAACTCAGGAGTAAGAACTATCACATGCATTTAACATGCTTCATTTTACATGAAATTTTATAAGTTCACATGTCATTTTTTAGGCTATCTATAAATAAAAGAGATTCTACTTTTAAGATATGGCTATTCAAAGAAAATGGCTGATAATCTACTTAGCTGAGGACAATAAATTTTATCTTACACTCAGAAAAAAATCAGGAAGACATTTTTACTGATTTTACCAAAACAGCAGGATGAACTTCAAACTAATCTTTCTATTTTAGCAAAACCACATATAAAAGTGAGTGAATATAAGATCTTAAAATACTTCCTTGGATTTGAATAGTATCTTTCTTCCAACAGCTCAAAGCAATTTGCTTTAGGTTCTTATTCAGCCTAGAAACCATTCTGTGAAATTGTGAATTACAGTATAGACAAATATATATTCTCATCCTCATTTCTATGAATAGGAGAGTTAAAAGATGATAGATTAAGACTGATTGGCTCAAGATTATAAAATTAAACCCAGATCTCCTGACTTCAGGGCCAAATCTCTTTCCAAGGACTTTATTTACACTATCTGCAATACAGAAATCCTCTTCTTTCTCACCTTATTTCAGTCGATTACCTCGACCCCTGTCAGTACAGGTGGGTGCCATGCTATCTTTCAAAGACTGGATCCTTTTTTAGTTACATATTTCCATCAATCTGGAATGCTCTTTATCCCTGTGATCTATTCAAATCCTTCCTTCAAGTCTGACCTTATCAAAAAATTATTATCTAAAGCAGTTCAAGTTTTGTTGGGTTACCAACAAAATGATTATATTTAACCAATATGTTTAACCAACTATGACGATGACTCTGGTGTAGCAACCAAATCAGCACATTTTAAAAGAAAATTCTAGATTTTGTCCTCTTTGAGGGCAGGGAACATGTCTTGGTCATCTTTGTTTATCCAGCACCTACGAAGGGCCTGAAATAGTAGACAGTGAAGATGAATGCTTGCTGAGAGAAGGTTGCAGTATATTACTATATTGATATATTGTTCTTGCTCAATATTCATGGGAATAAGTAGCATATACACCAAGAATTATGATTATATACTTGTAGTAATGTAAGTTTAAATAACAGAGCACAATGTTGATTTAGTTGGTGGTAAATAAAGCTGGCAACTACCTCACAACCACTGCTGTCTCCTTATTTTTCCTGCTTAGTGTTTGATGTCAGCTAGCTTATGATGTTAAAGATGTGAGGAGTCTTATCTGCACTCTCACTACATCCACCTTTCTTAGTCTTTGGCTGCATTCCCTATGGTTATTCTCCTTTCCACTTTTTTTATTGTCCTTCAGCAGTTGCTTACCTATTACCAAGTCCTCACTGGGTCTAGACTAGGAATATGAGAGTAGGGGCTTGTGGTGGTAGGTAGGAAAATGGAAACTGAGGAAGCTAATCTACTTCCTCTTTCTAGTCAAGATCATGTATTTTTTTTTTTTCTTTTCAGACGCTAACTCTTTCCTGAACTGTCAGCCAGAAGGTAGTGTTTGCTAGTTAAGCACGGGTTTTCTATTTCACTGTATCATTTTCTTTGTGGCTCTCTAGGTACTTAACAATGAATCAGGCACATAGTAGATGCTCAGTAAATAATCATTAATTCATCAGCCACCTGGGAAGGGAGTGCAACAGGGACACTTCTAAAATACCTGAAGTAAGAGCCAAGGTGACTGATGTCACTAAGAGCCACTAATCATTCCAGAATTGCTACTTCCAACAGTCTCCTTAACCAACATGAGCCCAGCCAACCATATTTCTATGCAGCTGAATTGCTATCTACTCCACTCCTCTCTTAAGGGTATAAGAAATGCATTTTAGTTGAAATAACAGAACTATAAACCTGCTACTTCCCTAGCTTCTTGGCTAACTGGAATAAGGGAAACAGAAATGGTATTGCCGTTAACAAAGAAACTATGTAAGAGATCTTGAGATCATCAAAAGCAATGGGAATCATTAATCTATTAATAATTAAGAATCAAGTTTAAAAAGTATGTTTTAAAAGATGACAGATTCCCAATAGCATAGAGACTCCAGCACTTGCATTTTTAAAATTGTATTCATCAGCTTTAATATATAAGCCAGAGGTTTCAAACTGAGAACTAATTGATTCTCTTACTCTTTCTTTTCACTGTTCATTAAAAAAAGAGTACAGTACTTTTTCATCCATTTTTATTAACATTATTTAACATTCATTAAACAACTCATGTATATGCTGGGCCTTGTTAGGGATATAGAATTGGTTCTGTTTTACATGGTCTTGCAAAGGCACCTTCTGAAACATGATTTGCTGCTGTAATCCACACATGATTGTACCCTTTGTTTCCCCTTAAGCCAAAAGCAGCTCGAGCTAAATGCCAAGCTTCCCTGAGTTACAAATTTAGACTCTCCCTGAGATGCCTGTTCACATGGTGCATTAGCCTACTGCACCGGTTGATTAGCAGTGCTCTCTCTGAGTGGTATATTGACTCCCATGTGCACTTATCATTTATCATACTTATGTTCATTTTATTCTTATCCCAATAATGACAGCTTTCATGTAAAATGAATGGAGAAAATAAGATTAATACCTACTTAGTACACCTTTAACACCATGCACAAACACACTAGCTTCTGAATCAAACGCAGGTCTTCTCTGAATTTGGATTTTATTATCAATATTACTGTTATTGCTCTCGTTCAAAAATGACCTCAAGATAACCATTTGTCATTTCTTCTGGAATGGTCAAGACATAAAAGTGGCAGTAGGGGAAGGACAGAGGGAGAAAGGGGATCAAAAAGGTTATATGAATTTGTGTGTTCAGTGGGGAGTAGAGCAAGGCAGTGGAAAATCAGCCCAGCCACCTGGCCTAAGACAATGCCCATCATTTGAGAATACCTTGGAGATATGTGTTCAGCTTTGGGGTAGAGTAATTTTGAAAGTCTGCTTTGGTATTGATATCCAAGAGTCTTGGCAAAATTGAATGAAATCCAATAAGCACAAAGGTTTTCTAATATGTTGCTCTAATTTTTTAGAAGTATCAGAATTGACAATGTTTTTTAGAAGTATCAGAATTTTTCCCTGATGAAATGTAAAATTAAAATTTTTCCTTGTAATTCTTCATCTGAAGCTGCAAACACACTTTTACATGTTCTGTCAATTTCGTGACATTTTTGCCTTCTTGCTATTGGGTATGGAATGTTTAAATAGGAATACAAAACAAAACACAATGTTAAGCAGCTACAACAAGTACAGTGAGAAGGATAAGTGGATGCTTACTGGTATTACACAAGGAATGTCATCATGTCTACATTCACAGTCAGTAATGGGAGCTGTTCCAACTGAAACTCAAATGTTGCAGAACAAATTGTTCACTCCGTTCCAGTATAGCATAGAATACCCTGGTTAGACACATAACTTCTATAGGGACACAAGCAAATTCCCTATAGAAATAAGATGACAAAGAGTGCTACTTAAAATTAACTTGAGGCCTTTCCATTCTCAGTGATTAGACTTTTTTAAATTTTTATTTATTTGTTTATTTTGAGACAGAGTCTTGCTCTGTCACCCAGTCTGGAGTGCAGTGGTACAGTCATGGCTCACTGCAACTTCAACCTCCCAGGCCCAAGTCATCCTCCCGCCTCAGCCTCCCAAGTAGCTGGGATTACAGGTGTGAGCTGTCGCACACGGCCAGTGATGAGACTGATTTGCAAATAGCATTGCAAGTCATTATACAAGGAAATGACCATTCAAAACACAAACAGCACAGTCAAGAATGGTGTGGGAGACAGAGGAATACCAGCATCACTAGAAAATTAAGAAACCAACCAAAAATAAATAGAAAGATTATTTCTAGTTCCTTACAGAGGTGAACTAAAAAACAACAAAAAAATGGCTATTAGAAGCCTAGTGTATTTCTTTGACAGTTGTATATGGTTATGCTTAATTTAATTCATAGTAAACCATGTATAATTCTCATTCCAGAGTGGGTGGTGAGATATTTCAACACTCTCTGTGTTTGTGTTTCTAATACTCTTCATTTAGAGCTGAATTACTTAATCTCAGCCCTATTGATATGTGGGCAAGACAATTCTTCATTGGTGCATTGGTCCTGTGCGTTGTAGGATGTTTAACAGCATCTCAGGCCACTAACTCCTATATGCCTGTACCAACCCCACAGTGTTGACAATAGAAATGTCTCCAGACTTTGCCAAATATCCTGGGGATGGGGGGAATGTGGAGCCAAAAATTGCTTCCATTGAGAACTATGGAGATAGAGGGATATCTTAACCTGTCTCATGCTAAAGTGAAGATTCTGGCCAACAGATTTAAAAGTTATCAAGTCGCATTATGGATAAAATCTTGCCAAGCTTTATTTTTGATAGGTATGCTACATCTAAAAGGTAGGGATTGATCTTAGCTGGAAGAAGTGTTTATTCTGAGAAAGTTCTTTTTGCCTTCATGGAAAGGCTAGCCTACAAAATGCAAGAAGCTAAGAAACCGATGCAAGGATTTCCAGATGCCTTTAGAGCTTGGCTCAAAGTTAAAATTCTTTCTCTTATTTTAGGAAGGGATGAGGATTTTTTTCCCTGCCTCTCCTTTTGCTGCCAGTTCAGTACAACGCCAATTGAAATAAATCATTTTCAACTGCTTACCTATTTAAGAGCACTTTTAAAACTCATTCACTACCTAAGTATCCCAATTTGAATATTTTTAGTCATCCATGACCATGTATGATTGTATTATTGCTCAATATACATAAAAACAAATACTGAAAAGATATCTCCGAAGATACTAACAATTGTAGAAAGAGAGTTTATTAAGTCAGCAGACAACATATTATCATTCTGGAGGCTGGAAATGTCATGTGATACCATCTCCAGCCACTAATACCATTTTTCAGCTCAAAACTGAAAACATTTTGCTGAACTTTCAAAGTGATTTGGCGTTAATAGTCACACCAACAGAGGACTTTAAAAAAAAAAAAAAAAACAGAAGGAAGGCCCTACTCAACTGAGTAACCAGGTGGGCAGGCGTTTACCCAATTTAAAACTCTTGATTTTTGTAGTAAATATGTTTACAAACATATTATCCCAAAAAATGATCACACCAGTAGTGGTACTTGTAATTTGACAGTAATTTACAAAGATTTGTTTTTTTTCTGGTTGTGAAGGAGACAAGAAAAAAGTTGTTTTATAAGTACTTTTTATGGGGCAGGTAAGAAGTTGGCTGAAAGATTACACAAATTTTATGCACTTATAATTCCTTGAGAGATTATAATAGTAGTCTTATAGAAGAATGGGTATAATTTATGTGATCATGGAGGACAGTTTATATTTGCCTAGGGACAGGTAAGGAAGGAACTAGCAGAGGACAAAGTGAAGGCAAATAATGAACAGGGGGCACCAAACAGTTCAAAATGCCTGGAGCACTGGGGAAATGTGTGAGTATGTGGAGCGGACAATGTGTGCATACATTGGTGTCTGTGTGTGTGTGTGTGTGTGTATGTGTGTGTATGTGAGCTCTACACTTGGTAAGTATTCTGCTCATAGTACCCACCTATAACTTCAGAGACAGATCATGAAATGAATTTGTTGCTGTAATATTTTTTCCACAACATTGGTGAGATGTCAAGGAAGATAAAAATTTGTAGGCCTACATTCTGGCCAACCTATTAATCACCCAGCATAGAATTTTTCTTCTACTATCAATAGTAAATTTAGTATAAAGCTAGATCATGTTAGATTGTCTTCTGGACCTGCAAGCTGAACTTTTGTAGTAAATATGTTTTTTTCTGGGCTTTGAAGTACAAGCAAGAATTAAAGGGTTTCAGTTTGTTTTGTTGTGCTATACAGCCTAAATTTCCCCATATCTTTCTCATATTTAAAAATCAAGGCATTAAAAACCTGAGTGTTAGTCCCATAAGAGTATTTCCTCTATAGAAATACCATAGATCATTAAGCATAATTCAGTAAAATAATTTTAGCAGAACTGGTTAGTGTATTGATTGATAAAATTATTAATAATATAAACAGGTGGGGGTGATTCAATTCTAATATACCATAGTGTAAGAATACCAACAGAGAAAATAATTATTCCCCGCAAAATGGGTTGTGCCCACGTTGCATATTTTTGCGGTTCTCCATTGTCTTCAATGTTGGCCACTGCCGGAGGCAAGTGTGAGACAAGACAGACAAATGGTCTGATCTAGAATGGCAAATTCTATGTTTCCTTAATACAGTCTCCTGGAATGACAGCAGTTATGTATTTTTAAGTCCGCTCTTCCATTACGGCGATAAATGGTTATTTAAATACAGTCAGGTTCAAATTACACTAGTGGAAAATGCAGCAGGGAAAAGTATCAAAGACAAAGAACTTTTAAATAAATCTCATCTCTCCTCCCGCCATATGAAGTAATTTCTATGCCAGATGGCAGATGTTTATGCTGGTACTTAAAAGAAGTAAAAATTAAATCGATCTCAAAAACTTAATTGTTTTTAGTTTTAAAATACCCTCAAATAAAGGGAGGTTGGTGGAAATTTTGTTTTAAATGATCTCAAAAACTATAGAACTTAATGTGCAATTTAATTTGGAAAAATAGTTAACTCTTAAGTAACTTATTTTTTATTTGAGTTTATTATTGATTTTTTCATATTATTTTTAAGGTAATTTTTTAAAATGTCACAAGTCATGTTTTTCTGGAAGCAATTGCTAAAAATGTTCAAAAGGCTATATTAAATGTATAATGATTCAATTAGCTCTTCAAAATTGGGCAATAGATTAGGTACTTAGAAATTCTTCATCATATCTATACTGGTACAAGACATAAAAGTTACTCATCCATGATTACTCTCCTGTTATGATGGGGATCAACACAACACAAATTACAGAAAGCCTTCTTCCCGAAACCAGTGATTTCTGTGTGGGTAGCTCCTGTTTATCCAGACCAAACTGATCAACTTACCCATAAGAAAGCTGTTCTTCAAAGGCTCAGTGTGGTGGAGAAATATTTCATTATTATGACATCTGAATTTATTGTTCAAAAAAGCAAACTCAACCTAATTGGAATCTAGAGATTTTTCTTTTGTTTTCTGTAAATATATAAACCCTGATCAAAAATAAACCCTGCTTTCTTGATCTAAATTGCAGGATAAAGTATTCAGCAGATATTCTGGAAATCCCAACTGAAACATAGCTATTAGCTCAAATAACTCTAGCAATGACTGGATTTTTTTTTATGTAGAAAGTTCCCCAAATATTTATTTTTGTACTACCAACAGTATAGCAATTACCAATGTGGAGAAAATAATACTTAGATAAGTAAACTATTGTGAAACTTATTCCAATTATTAGTCATAGACACTAGAATATGTACAATATTTTTGAGCTTCTATATTCTGAACAATCAATTCAACAACCCTCAGTGAATACTTAGGATGAGTTCACTCTTTTGCCGTATATATAAACATGATTTCTGTGCAAACAGAAATATGAAACAATCTCTTTCCTCAATTTACTTACATTTTTGTGCGTGTGTTAAGGCATAGAGGTATTTAGAAAAAAATGCTTTGATTATTCAAGGCTAAGTTGCACTTCATTTTTAGTTCTTTGCAAAACCTTAAAAAATTGCTGTTAGATTTTTATTTGAGATAATTACAAATTACATAGGCAACAAAAGGCAGCTCACTCTGATAATCTGTGCAATTCTGACTTCATTTTACAGTGGCTTCTCTTACAGTGAAGACCACAGCCTTAGTGAATTTTGCCGATACTTAGCTTGAGAGCAGGCATCCTTAACAGATGGGTTCTCTCATCTTCAATAGCCACAAATGCCTTTAAGTCAGACCTGACTGCTTCTCAGATTATCACAATCATAGTAGAAGACAACCAGTGGATCTGTGGAATTCTAGAATGGCATCTATAGGATAGAGCATTATGGCCGGGCATGGTGGCTCATGCCTGTAATCCCAACACCTTGGGAGGCCAAGGCAGGCAGATCATCTGAAGTCAGGAGTTTGAGACCAGTCTAGTCAACATGGTGAAACCTTGTCTCTACTAAAAATACAAAAAAAATTAGCTGGACATGGTGGCACATGCCTGTAGTCGCAGCTACTTGGGAGGCTGAGGCAGGAGAATCGCTTGACCCCTGGAGACAGAGGTTGCAGTGAGAGCCAAGATTGTGCCACTGCACTCCAGCCTGGGCAACAGAGTGAGGCTCTGTCTCCAAAAAAAAAAAAAAAAAAAAAAGGAATAGAGCATTATGCATGTTATGTCAGTTATAGTGCTAGCCCAGCAGCAGTAACAAAGATATCACAGAATGCAATCTCACTCAAATAAAATGGAACTCTGTTTTCTCACATTTAGCAGTGCAGGAATAGGTGGGAGGTTCAAACACATAAATAATTTTGCTCCATCTAAATTCCTTCTACCTTGTCTGTCTACCATCCCCTAGGAGTTTCTCATCTACTGTGCATGACGCTGGATGATCACTACACCTGAAAAGGTGAAAGAAGCAGAGGACAGCAGTGTCATAAGAAATAACTGGACACAGGCCAGATTATCTAGCTGCTAGTGATGCTGAGAAATGCAGTCCCTAGCTAGACAGCCATGTGTCCTAACACCAGAGGGTGGAGATGGAGCTTCTATTCCTATAGGAAGGGGTGAATAAATACTAGGGGACAATTAGCAGTCTTGCCTTAAGCATTTAATTAATCTATCCTACAACAAATATTTTCTGAGTGCCTACTTTGTATATAGCACTCCAACAGACCCAACAGGGATTTAAAATATATATACGTTTTACCCACAAGCAACATTCCATATTTTGATGAAATAAGCTATATACACTCAAGACCTCCAATGATGATATTAATAAAAATGTTGATCATAATGTACTATATCTGGTGTTAAATGAGTGATGTAGAAGATGTGTAAGATGAGTACTCAGTGTCATTTCTTGATAGGAAGATTGGAGGAGACAGCAGCTGTTCTTTTGCTCATTCTTCTTTTGCACTTTTCATCCAACAACGAGACCCGATACAAATGAAGTCATTTCAGCCTTCAAACCATAAAAAGTATAATTTCTATGTTTGAAAAATTGTATAGATACTTGTGAATCTGCATATGTATATACAGATATGTAATTGACAAACAGCAAGCTTATTTGTGTTCATTTTGACCTAGATATGATGCCGATACTCACCTTTTAGTTAAATAACATTCGTTCTTATTGTTAGAGAGGTTGAATCAATCAACTGCATTCTCTAATGATGGAAGCAGATGGAAATAGAATGAGCTTCTGAATCTTCCTCAAGGGCATTGTAGAGGATGCTGCACCCTTAACTGAAAATTGTTGTTTTGCGATAGTTGGCCAATGTAGACATAGTCTTATATTTTCCCTAATTTTGAATTAATACTCTAGAAACCAGCAGCTGACAATGAGCCTCAACAGTTGGTTTCACACCTGAGGCCTCTTTTAAAAGACCATTCTCATCACAGTCAAACAACAGGAGGATATATTAGAGGTGGAAATGAGTGCATTTTCTCTAAGACTACTTAAGTAGGAGTTTCTCTTGAGCTAATTAAGACTCAATTCTATTTCAGAAACTAATGTCTGAAGCAGACACTCTGTTTGGGAATTATTAATATGTAAAAGCAGAAGGTTCCAGAGCACTTGAAATGGTGTTTCTGACTGGTGGATACTCCGGAAAAGTGCTTGTTGAAAATAATTAAGTAAAGTCATATTTTAAACACAATATCAAATGTTGAAGGTGAATGATTATGGTATATAAAAGTATTAATGAGTTCTATGAACTTTTTAAAAGTGGAATAAGCAACACATCTGACTATTGAAAACAAACCTGAAACTCTCACTGTTATGTCTGTGGGCTCTTAGAATTCTTAGCTGACTGGGGGAAAGCACTGCAATCTGTCTAGTTTTACTTTATTCAGAGTAAGTTCTGTATAATATGAGTCACAGTTCCATTTTAAAAGGAAAAATATTTGAATATACATGTTCAACTTACATATTGAATGTGATGGTTTATGTAACCTAATTCAAATAGATCAGCTGGCCTAAACCAGAAAATGCTAATATGGCATGGAATAGCATATTTTTGCCTGGCAACTTCAATAAGCATTCACAAGTTGTCTGAATTGTACTCTGATTTTTGTATAATAAATTGTTACATGTATAAGTAGTAGACCAGAAAACACCATCTTTTCTTTCATGCAATGCATCTTTCACGCAGACTTGAAGGTGGTATTACATTGACCTTCTAGTGAAAATCACACTACATGAGGTTTGTGATTGCTGAAAGCTCTTAGATTTGTGTTTCATATCACATGACAACCCAAATTTTTTTTTAAATAAAAGAACACTGTCTGTGCTGCTTCCTGTCTTTTTACTTTAATAGCAGACATAGGCATCCACCAAAGCCATCTGCTACCTGCTATGAAGTCTCGGGGTCAGACTGCCTTTTATAAGTTACATAAAACTGGGATTATCAGTGGAGGGAAGGGAGTGATAGTTATCAGTGCAACACAATTGTGGAAAATGTGAAATCTTTAGGGAAAAAAAGAGAGGAAATTTCAAAGTGTTCAAAGTTTGAGGCCATGCTTTTCAGTGTCTGACACAAAAGAGAAAGTGTGTTAAAAGAAAGAAAATAGAGAGTTAATTATTTAACCCTTGCCTTACTTTTGCTATTGGTTTCTATCCAGAGGAAAAATGTATCTCACTGGGATTCTTGTAGGTTTCTGTAGTTTCTCCTTTTGTCCCATGCTAATATAAACTATACCCTTTACCTTACCTATCCAAGACCATCCTTCCTTTATTCAAGTGGCTCATATTTAATGACCCCAAAAAATCAGTCTTTTTTTCTTCAGTGTGGTATCAACACTTTCATTAAATCAAGGTTTTAAATCTAAGACCAGATGACAAAAGGAAGCTGTGTTAGCATCTTTGTCATGGCCACATTTCAGTAATGACATATTATGTTAAAGTGTCCTATCAAGCTTCAGTTGTATACAGTAGATTCCTTCACTTTTCATCAGAATTAGTAGCCTTGACCTCGCCAGCTATTTAAAAATTTCAGAATCCTGAGAGAGGGATGGTGGGGTGAAGCTCCTGAACCTTTCACAAATCACAAATTCATTCCTTCTCTTTCTGGGGCACAAAGTTACACTATGCTTGCCAGCCTCCTTCGAGGCTCAGTACAGCCATGGGACTAGCTGCCAATGAATGTGAGCAGAAATCAGAAATGACGTGTCTCTAAAAAAACTTATGGCTGTTTTAATCCATTTATTACACAGATTAATTTTCTTGAATGAACCACCATTTAGGTCTTTACACATATGCAAGTGTTTCCACTAAGTCAATTTTCATTCTTACATCCAGATAAGCGTAAACAGTCTAAAACATAAGAAAAATAAGAGTTATTAGCTATATATTAACTGAGAACGCACATACAAAGAAAAAAGGGCCAAAGGGACAATGGTCGAAGGGGTGTGGGAAGATGTAACTGAGTTGGGAACAAAACTATCATACTTTATGCACTAATATCTCCAACCATTTAAATCAGCAGTCCCCAAGGGTTTTGGCACCAGGGACCACTTTCATGGAAGACAATTTTTCCACAGATTGGGGTGGGGGAAGGAGGAGGATAATTTGGGGATGATTCAAATGCATTACATTTATTGTGCACTTTATTGCTAACTTTATTTCTATTATTATTACATACTCGCCATAATGTAGAATCAGTGAGCTTGTTTTCTACAACTAGACAGTCCCATCCGGGGTGATAGGAGACAGTGACACCTTATAGGCATTAGATTATTATAAGGAGCGTGCAACCTAGATCCGTCACGTGCAGTTTACAATAGGGTTCGGCTCCTATGAGAACCTAATGCTGCAGCTGATCTGACAGGAGGCGGAGCTCAGGCGGCAATGCTCACTCACGACGCTCACCTCCTGCTATGCGATCCAGTTCCTAACAGGCCATGGACCAGTACCGGTCAACTGGCCGGGATTTGGGGACCTCTGATTTAAATGTTAACCAGTTAAACCTAGGCCTTCAAATATAGGTTGTGGCTAGAGTTGAATCCGATTGGTCCTACTTTCCCATAAAATGTAGGTTCGTCAGAATTAAATGTAGACAGAAACAGCTCCATATACTTCACCTTGCTTTTCATAACTGTTTTGAGTTCAAAAGGATTCAGTCAAAAATTATTTCCTACAAGTCAGTAGAGTTCTTCTTCCCTGTACAAGCACAAACCATACCACCACCCCTCCTCTTGCCATTACTCAAATTTAAGTCAATAAAGAAAGCTTTTAGTCTCACACCTAGGTTACATCTGGAGACCTGGCTGGTCATGCACACTTCTCTTCTCAGAGGCAGTGTTGGTACAGGAGTACAGTATTTCTAGTTTGTTATTCCAAGTATAAACAACACAGAGCACTGCTGTGTCAGGTAAATACGTGTGCACAAGGGGAAATGAGGCATGAGCCAATAGAAAGCAGTCAGATGGGAATCAAAAGGTCTTTGTTTTTCAGAGTTTCCCTGGCGTTATGTGTATAAGTTATTGAAAAATTTATTTAAGCTTGTTACATACATTGCAAAGGACTATGAAGCCCTAGGGCATGGAGGGGCCACAAGATGGAAGAATCTCAGTTATCAGAATTATTACCTAAAACCTCATGCCATTCAGGAACATTGAACTCACTGTCACTTGAAGAGGAAACATGACTATTATGTTAAGGCACTGAAATTGTGATGTTATTGGTTACAGTAATATAGGTGAGTACCTTTGCATAGGAATCCAGGGACTACTACATGGTTCTAAAAGGCTAGTTTGCTTTATTCTGTGATTTCAACAATTAATAGCTTGTTGGTTGAACATGACACTTGCCCTTTGGTGAAACACACACAGCCCATGGCTAATTATGTATTACAGGCTCTTAGATTTAAATTTTTCAATCATATTATTATCTGAAACTAAATCACAGTGAGGGTGAAAGAAATCATTCTTTCACCAGAAAAAACTACCCATTCCTTTCAAAGGAAGAAAAACAACAGAAAATTTTTCTCTATTTGCTACCAGCCAGAGAAAAGAAAGATGAAGCTTGGAAGTTTTGCCTGTCTGCAGCATTAGATAACATGAAAATGGGCGGAAATGTAATGAAATAAATGGTACTTTGTGTTCCCGCTACATTTAGTGTTTCATAGTAACTGCGGTTGACCATTCACTATGTGCAGGATCTATTAAAAAACAATCTTTTATGTAAATTATTTCCCATAATTCTTATGACTTATAAAGTCTTTGTATACCCACTTCACAGATGAAGTATAACAGTCAAGTAACTGGCTCACATTTCAATAGTCAACGAGTAATGAAACTGCCATTCGAACCCAGCCTACTGAGTCCAAATATGCTTCTTAACAACCATGCCCTGTGGCCTCCAAAGATAATGATGTGATAGCCAGTCATATACGTTATGACTTCCTATCATCACAGAGAAGATACTTTGAAATTCGAAAAAGCATTTAACGTTAAAGTAATCTTTCTTTTCAAATATGTTGTGGTAGTTATTGACCAAGAGGCAGAAGCAAAGATGAGCTGTACTTAGACAACAAAACAGGCTTATTAGTGAATGTCTTGTGCCTTATTTTCACACTACGTAGGGTAGAAAATATGGAAGCAAGTGTAAAGGCTCAATATTCATATAGATCAAAGGATCAAAGTAGAATCTATTTTTAAGAGCAAAATATTTTTTCTGCTTAAAAAAAAAAACTCTGCCTCACTGATTTCTTTTTTTTTCTTCCTTTTCTTCAACTTTTATTTTAAGTTACGGGTACATGTGCCAGATGTGCAGGTTTGCTGCAGAGGTGAACGTGTGCCATGGTGTTTTACTGCACAGATCATCCCATCACCTAGGTATTAAGCCCAGCATCTATTAGCTCTTCTTCCTGATGCCCTCCCTCCCCCCACCCCCAGAGCATATACTACCTCACAGCGAATGTTCTTCACCGGTCTTTTAAAAAAATTATTGCCAATCTCTTTCTCTTAAGAAAAAAGTGAAGCTGGACATGGTTGTGCACACCTGTAACCCTAGCTATCTGGGAGGCTGAGGCAAGGAGGATGGCTTGAGCCCAGGAGTTTGAGGCCACAGTGAGCCGAGCCATGATAGCACCACTGCACTCTAGGTTGACGGAGAAAACCTCATCTCTAAAAAAAGAAAACTAGGTGTTGGGGTAAGGTAAGGGGAGAGGTAAGCAGTATTAGTCTCTTAATTTTCTGCCTTTCCTTTTGCTTAGTTTTTTAAGAAACAACATAACATTAAAAAATAGATTGACAAGTAAAAATGAAGTGTTGCTCAACTACCCTTTAAGTTTTAGATTAGAAGATCTTCAAGAGAGAGAAAGGGTGGGAGAGAACAAAGAAGACATGTAAGTTAGTCTACAGCGGGTATATCAGATTTGCCAAAGTTATCAGTCACAAAGGAAGTGAAAGAATAGCAAAGCTTCACCATAAGAGGAATAAAATCTCATCACACTTTCCTGAAATGTTGTAGAAACAACGCCAAACCTGTAGCTAGGAGATCTGAGTATTATTTCTAGTTTATAGTTAGCTACCACGTGATCTTGGGAAAGTTACCACTTTCCTTTTCTTTGTGTCTCAGTTTTCTACATTATAAAAAGATGATGCTTACCCTGCCACTAAATGAAGATCAAATCAAGATAAGATAAACAATTGATTTGAATCTGCATCTAGAACAACTTCTGCCAGGATTCTTTCTATTATCTCAGCAAAAATTGTGACTTCAGAATTTCTGTAGTTTGTAATTTCAACAAAGGTTTTTCCTAGTTTTTTTTGGGGGGGTAAAGTGCATCTTTTAATGAACCTTAATATTAATGCATTTATACATTCTAAAAAGATGGGTTTCATAAAGACTTAGAGTTCATTGATGTACTATTTATTTTATCTTATGTACTTGCTTGTGTTACACAAGACAGCAAATGCTGTCCTCTGTAGATTATATTAATGGATCAAGAACTAGAAGGTCTCTATGGACTTATTATAACCTTATGAAAGTCATCTTTTTACTTGAAATTTCTCATCTGTTTAAAAATAGTATATTCACCCTGTTCCTTGAAGAAGGTTGGTTGGAAGTTTAAAAATTTAACTGATGCAAAATGCTTGCAAAAGCTCCAAACAACTAGAAAATGAAACATATTCATATCTGCATATGTAGATACAGTATCCCAATTTTCTGAAAATGTACTTTTAATAATGAAGTAGTATCTAAGGTGAGATGGGGAGCAAATTAACATAAAGTGTGTGATTGCTGATCACAGGTTTTTTTTCCAGCTGTTCAGATCCATATCCTCAGTCAGATTATCTGTGGGTGATGAGACCTTAGGAAAACAGGCTTCTCATATATCCTCAAATCACATGAAACAAGGTATATCCGGAATTCAGTGTCATACTTTATTGTTAGGAATAGCTATTTCAAGCCAACTAATCATCTTGGTAAACCAAGTAAGATTAAAAGGTGGTTGGGGATAATACATGATAAAGACGATAATACATGATAAAGACGATTATGGTGTCTTTAAGGTCATACCCAGGAAAAACAACCAATTGTTTTGGTGTAGTTGTTCTGGGTACAGGTTGTTTCAATTATTCTGTCAATGTTCCTGTGAGATAATTGAGACACATATTAATATTCTGTTTTTTGCTAATAATTGGAAAGCAAGAAAAGCACATGTGTTTTTCAAGGAGAGTTGAAATGTTTTTTTCTCATGGGTTCGAACCCCTTCTCATGTTTATTTAGAAACAGACTCTTATCCAAAGAACCTATTTTTCCTAGAGAGTTTTTATATTGTTGGTGCCAAGACAAAATATTGACTTAATAATAAATTGACATGCTTTAAAACATCCAAGAGTCATAAAGGATCATCTTTGGCAGGCAAGTGTTAGCATAAGAAGTGCTTGGAAAACCATTCTGGTTGTACGTCTGATAAACTGTTTGGAATGATGTACCTTAGTGAGTCTGACAAGATCTAGAAGTTAAGTAATATAGAATAACTATATAAGTCAAATGCAGAAAAATAATTAATTTAAATCCCCTTAGTGTTCAGGGTATCTATGGATTAATAATAATTTGCATCTTTAATGCCATAAGTAACCTAGGCAGCCTGAGTTTGAACAAGGTCAGTGATGTTATGATGTGCTTTTTTTTTTTTTCCTTTGGGCATTCTTTTCCAATATTCCAATTTATTGAAATAACCCATTATCCTCTTAACTTAGTTGTCTCCAAAGCACTCTACTCTATAGTCTTTGTTGTTGTTTCTATTACTTTATCACTTCTATTTTGTCTCACTCTTAATGTGCTCCACATCCACTTCACTCATTTATTCTATATCTTCCTCTGAATCTTCTCCTAAGCCTTTTCCACTCTGCAAAAAGGTCACATAATTACTAATACCGTATGATTTAAGAGATACCCAGAAAGCTTCTTGCTTTATAGTATCTCCTTTAACAGCCTGCTATAAAGCCTAAAGTTACCATTTAAGAGTATTTTGTTAAGGTTAAGGGACTGCATCACCTGACATCTATTAAAACACACATGCGCTTATGAGGGTTAATTCATTTAATCATCTACTCAATAACTACCTGTTTTTAAAAACAAGGCTATTACAATATAGCCTGAATTTAGATCTAACATTGTTGATGATGGAGCGTAGAGAATGAGTTAGAAGTTATTAAACTGGAGGTGATTAACACCACCACCAAGAATATAAAATATTTTTCAAAAAAAAAAAAAAAACTGACCTGAATTAGATGCCTACACAAAAGCCCTAGGCAGGCTCAAGCCGAGTGGGAATGTACTCAGAGGAGGATGCCTGGTCAGAACAGAGACCATTCGAAGGGGAACCAAAATCTTTAAAGAAGGTAGGAATATGTAAGAGAAAATAGTCAGCAACTTCCCATCTTGTAGAGACCTATCTATGTTTTGGATAGCACACCTCACCTTGGCCTTCCGTGAACTCTAACCCTCCCACCAGCCACAAGTCTTCAAGCACTCTCTCCATTCCCATTCCCGATTCCTCCAGCAGAAAATGTATATGCCATGCTCTCCACTCACTGCTTCATTGAATGATAATAGCTAAAGTGGACATTTAGGTTTTCATCCAAACATTGCACTGCCACACTGTTAATAAGACACCAGGGCTATCCAAGGCTATCCAGACATATGACACTCTAATAACAACTAACCTTTATTAAGACTTCATTCTGTGCCAGGCACTATACTAAATTTCCTACATGGACTGTTTTATTTAATCCCAATGTCATTCCTATAAGAGTATGTTCTATTGTTCTTATACCACTGAGGAAAGTGAGGCATAGAGAGATTAAGTCACATTTTTAATCCATTAACCTTCTGTTTCTACAAGACAGAAGGTTTTAAAATGTAGCATTCAGATTTCTAAAATATGCCTTTTCCATATCTCTATGTGGGTCATTATTCCTCTTTTAGGTCATTTAAGCAAAACCGCCACGGGAGACTTTCCCATAAGGAGAGACATGCAATCCAGGCCATACGCAAAGTTAAATTCCTGCTGGGCATTGTATATATCAAGGTCATGAGAGCAAAAGATGTGGTTGAGAAGCTGAGTTCCAGAGTTACTCTGTGTGACACTCTAGTAAAAACCTGCAGCACTCTCTGGATCAAGATAAGATTCTCTACTTTACTCCCTGGCCCTTGATCTGACA